>NC_000018.10:79660573-79961929 GCF_000001405.40 Homo sapiens
GAACTATTTCACGGCGCACTGGTAACTGACTGTACTTAGAAGCTGCCGGTTTTGACAGAGCTCACCTGTGAAGTGGTGATGGCTGCCTCGCCGGGGCCCAGGACCTGGGCGTGGCCGGGAGCTCCCTCCCGGGGTCTTTCTTGGGCTCCAGGACCTGCAGAGTGTAAGCTGCAGTTCGGTGGACAAGCATGGCCAGGACAGATTGTGCTCCTGGGGACTGGGCGCCTTCCCCTAGAAAATCAGTGATGTAGGAAACAGCTGTATTAGTTGTGAGTGACCTCAGCGAGCGTGGTTCTCAGCAGTCCTGTGAGAGGCAATGCTACCCTCCCATTTATATTTTTAAAAAGAATAACCTGGTGGGGCTTTTAAGCTTTTGGGATAAAATAAAACAGGAAAAGAAACAGCTTTTCTTGATAAGACCGATACATACCCCAGGTCTTCCTCCCTGAAAGTGTGACCATTGTTGAGAGGTTGAAAGAGAATGGCCTGCACCACATCCGATGACCGTTCAGCTTCCCTCCTTCCTGTAAAAGCTTCCACGGCATTTGGCGAGACTCCTCCACGTGCTATCCCGTCCTTTCACTCAGTGAAAATGAGTGAAAATGGCTGGGAACAGAGGCTCATGCCTGTAATCCCTGCACTTTGGGAGGCCGAGGCGGGTGGATCTCCTGAGGTCAGGAGTTTGAGACCAGACTGGCCAACATGGTGAAACCCCGTCTTTACTAAAAATACAAAAATTAGCCGGGCATGGTGGTGCACACCTGGGTGTAATCCCAGCTACCCAGGAGACTGAGGCAGGAGACTCACTTGAACCCGAGGGGCAGAGGTTGCAGTGAGCCAAGATCACGCCAGTGCACTCCAGCCTGAGTGACAAGAGAGAGACTCCATCTCAAAAAAAAGAAAAAAAACTCAAAAACCTAGTTGTAAAATGTAAATTTGAAGGCACCTGTAGTATTGTAACATAGACTGTTTCTCACAGGTTAATTTTGGTGGAGGCATAAAAGTCATTAGAATCAAAATGAAGGCACTTGTGTTAGAAAAACAAACAAACAAAAAGCCCCCACGAATGGAGCCAGTGAACGCCGTGAAGGGAGTGTTCCCACATCCATCGAATAACAAAAAATATGATAGAAGACGCTGCAAAACCCAAAACCTTGCACAAAGACCAGCACAACCTTACACAAAAAATACTTCTGCAAGGATGTCTGCCCAGCACCTGCCTGTCCAACCTTGGACTGGCATCACCCTTGCTATTGATCTTTGTAGCCCGGAATAATTCTTTCAAACTAATTCTGTCATCCTCCGAATTTTCCCTTTAGAACCCTTTGTCTTCCTTTACCCGAATATGCACGTAATTTACTGTGGCATGTGTATTCCCATTTCAATGTTCTATTCTTGAATAAGTTACTTCTTCTTTGAGTGAGCCTCTCTCTGTTACTTCGACTGATACATATGGTGTCAGAAATGGGACTAGGAAAATATCACCATCGGAAGAAATCATTTTTACTCCCATTTTTTGGAGCCGTTGTGCAGTATTTACTCCAGCTGTTTGAGTTCTTCATTTCCACAGCTTGATTTTTCACCCTGGCGAGTCCTTTCTCAGGCTGAGCCTTTCTCTTTGTGCTGGAGGCTTTTTGATGCTACTCAGAATGTGACTTGGATGAGGCTGCCTTGATAAAGGACCACACATCCAGCCCGAGATGATAAACAGCCTTTTTGTCTTTTCTGCTAAGTCCTTTCTGGTACAAAGGCATAAATCTTTCTGGGTTGAATGCTCTGATTTGTACAGAATTAACATTCTCTCTGTAAGGCATGTGTTTACTTGTGAATTCACTTTTGATCTGCATGCCTGGTTTAACATTTTGTTCTATGTGGACACCTAGGTTAAAATTTTTGTGAACACTCTTACCTTGGTTCCTTTTGACTTGATTTGAGTCTTTCCCCTTGATGGTTTTTAAAAATCTTCTGAGAACAAAAATAAACATTCTAAATGGTGAGTGCAGAATTGCTAACTAAAGGCCATCAGGGCAGCCACCGCCATCTCAAACATGGTCTAAACTCCTGACATTCCCTGGCTGGATTTGCAGATTTTCTTTGCTCTCAAGAGATTAATAAGAATTGAATGAGATTCTAACACATTAAGGTATGCCTGGTGTGCTGGGATTCCAGCCAGTTACATATTGTGGCCCATTCTCATGCACATTTTTTAAGTGATTGGCAAAATGACACCAAGGAAAATTCAGAGCTCAATGGCCATTATTTGAACTCTCTAAAAAAGCAACCCTCTCAAAAAAACAACCTTGGGGCAATAGAGTTAACATGGAGTCTTCTAAGGTCTGTATCTCTCCCCCAACTTTTTTTTTTTTTTTTTTTTTTTTTTTGCCTATTTTGAATTTTCTGACTCTTCTGCTGGGTTGAGATGAAACTCACTGCTTATGGCATTCTAGCCAAGATTTTTTTCAAAGTCTTAAAGGGCTTTCAAATTAACGGCTTTAGAAATTCCGACAGCTCCATGGTAACCAACAACCTAGACACCTTTTAGAGACATCAATTTAGGTTTGACTGACTAACAATTGCTTATGGTGATGGAGCACTAAATTGAAAAATTAATAATCTAAAAGAAAAGGAACTACATATTCATAAATGTTTATAAAAGTTAGGCTCTCAGATTACAGAGGTCAAAAGCTGGAGCACAGAGCAATAATGTAAGGTATCTCTGTCCAGCATAAAAATTGTATTACTTTTTCTGCCATGCAGAGTCCAAAAAGAAAAAGCCAAAAACAAAATAAAACCAAAACCCTGCTGCAATGCTTCCTGCCCACATCTCTAACCAAGCAAACAAGACCAGCAACCAAAAGACATTTGCTGCTAGTTCAAGTCTTCTTGGAGATTCTTATACAATGCAGTCAATCCTAGCTAAAATGTTTTTTTTTCTTTTATAGATAGATATAGATCTAGATACACATACAGATACAGATATATAGATAGATATAGATATAGATATAGATATATAGATACAGGGTCTTGCTCTGTTACCCAGCCTAGAGTACAGTGTTACAATCATGGCTCACTGCAGTCTTGACCTCCCGGGCTCAAGTGATCCTCCTGCCTCAGCTTCCCAAGTAGGTGGGACTACAGACATGCACCACCAGACATGACTAGTTTTGTTGTCGTTTTATAGAGATGGGGTTTCAATCTATTGCCCAGGCTGGTGTAGAACTCCTGAGCTCAAGTAATTCACCTGCCTTAATTCACCTGCCTCAGACTCCAAAAGGGTTTGGATTACAGGCATAAGCCACCATGCCTGGCCCACCTAGCTAAAATGTAAACAGTTGAAAATTTAGCCCTAACCTCATTTGAAAATGAAAAAAAAAAAAAAAGAAAGAAGTGGGTGGGGGTAGAAATGGCGTTTTTCATTTTTATTTTTAAACTGCATGGAAACTGTTTACCCAAAATTTTGGTCCAGAGCCTTCATTAGATTTCCTACCAGGGTAAGTAGCACAAAACCAAAAATCTTGGTCCCCTATTGTATTAGTCCATTCTCGCACTGCTATAAAGATACTACCTGAGACTGGGTAATTTGTAAAGAAATAAGGTTTAAGTGACTCACAGTTCCTCATGGCTGGAGAGGCCTCAGGAAACTTACAGTCATGGCAGAGGGGAAGAGGCATGTCTTACATGGTGGCAGGTGAGAGAGAGAAGCAAGAGCAGGGAAACTGCCTGATAAAACCATCAGAGCTCCTGAGAATGCACTCACTATCACAAGAATAGCACGGGGAAAACTGCCTCCATGATCCAACCACCTCCCACCGGGTTCTTCCCTCAACATGTGGGATTATAGGGATTATAATTGGAGTAGAGATTTGGGTGGGGACACAGAGCCAAACCATATCACCTAGGGATTACAACTGGAGTGGAGATTTGGGTGGGGACACAAAGCCAAACCATATCACCTAGGGATTACAAATGGAGTGGAGATTTGGGTGGGGACACAGAGCCAAACCATATCACCTATGTTAGAACAAGGTTTTCTTAAAGTATTGATTTGCCCTTAGGAAAATTGCAAGAGGTTTTGATGTTTAATCCTGAAATGTTTCTTTTTTTCCCATTTTTTGTAGAGATGGGGGGGTCTTCCTATGTTGCCCAGGCTAGTCTCGAACTCCTGGGCTCAAGCAATCCTCCTGCCTTGGCCTCCCAGAGTGCTGGGATTACAGGCATGAGCCACTGGCCTGGCCGGCTTTTCCTGATGTGTCTGGATTATTCTGTGTAACCAAGAAAATTCCTGTGCTGTTACTAAGAGTCATGTAATTCCCTGCTCCAGGCACTCCTTTGCTTGTTTACAGTCCTCTATGATAAAGTGAACACTCATAACCCTGGACGCACTCTTCCTGTGTCTAATTAAATTCAAGTACCCTTTTCTTCAGGTTTGACTTCTGGGTTATCTAAGGAGAAGCAATCATACAGCAGGAGGTTCTTCTTTACTTTTTGTAACTAGCCTAAACACAAGACATTTTTACATTTTATCAAGTTAGATTTGTTTTTTTATTAAGTTTTTGATTACTCAAGCGGAAAACTGAGCTTTAAATGGGTTAAGGCTTTTACATTCATGTAACTTTCCGTATTTGCTTTTGAAGTATTTTAACTATCACTCTGCTTAAATGAATGATTAATATTTTACATGACTTGTAATTTTTTTTTTTTTTTGAGACAGGAGTCTCACTCTGTTGCCCAGGCTGGAGTGCAGTGGTGCAATCTCAGCTCACTGCAACTGCCACCTTCCAGATTTAAGCGATTCTCCTGCCTCAATCTCCCTAGTAGCTAGGATTACAGGCACCTGCCACAACGCCTGGCTAATTTCTGTGTTTTTAGTGGAGACAGGGTTTCACCATGTTGGCCAAGCTGGTCTTGAACTCCTGACCTCAAGTGATCCACCTGCCTCAACCTCCCAAAGTGCTGGAATTACAGGCACGAGCCACCACGCCTGGCCCTGTGATTCTGTTTTGATCAAGTGTTTTATACTTTTTGATATATTTTGTAGGCTTCCCAAATATCAGAATACCAAATTAAGTCTTTTTGACCTAGAACTAACTTTTGGATTTTCTATTTGTGCTCCTGAAGAGACTCAAAACATGTATCTCTCGTCTTGTTGAGACATTAAATAATCAGGCTTATTTGGTAAATTGTAGGGAAGCATTGTCAAATTATAAGTGATACTAGATCTTCTTTCAGATACATTTATCGGTATGTTGTTGATATGTTTCAAAAATTATGTAAACTCATAGAAATCTAATATGTTATCTGTCATAATTTTCGTTGTTATATTACATTTTTTCTGAAGCTATATTTGTATGACTATGTTATTAATGCATTCTAAAGATGATGTGAAATTTATAAGTTTCATGGTCCTGGTATCAGTCCAGCTGTCAGTCATGATTCCGGTTGTTATCTTAAAATGCCATATGTTGGCCGGGCACAGTGGCTCACGCCTGTAATCACAGCACTTTGGGAGGCTGAGGCGGGTGGATCACGAGGTCAGGAGATTGAGACCATCCTGGCTAACATGTTGAAAACCCCATCTCTACTAAAAACACAAAAAAACTAGCCGGGCATGGTGGCGGGTGCCTGTAGTCCCAGCTACTCGGGAGGCTGAGGCAGGAGAATGGCGTGAACCCAGGAGGTGGAGCTTGCAGTGAGCCAAGATCGTGCCACTGCACTCCAGCCTGGATGACAGAGGGAAACTCTGCCAAAAAAAAGAAAAAAAAAGCCATATGTTGTATGTAAGTAACTAAATTTCCTTGATAATTAGGAATTTTCATCAGATTTTTAACCACGGCCATTCTAAGCATTTGGGCTTCTCTCGTTATTATTTTCGATTATTCCCTAAAAGTATTTGCAATCAACTACAGTCCCAAATTGCCTTTCATAAAAAGACTTGCAAGAACTCTTGGACACAGATTTCTGATAACTTTAAGATCATGAACGGAAAAAGAATTTCCAGAACTCTGATGAAGAAACTGACGGGTCCATGACACTGCTAACCAAGATCAAGCAAAACAAAATACTAATTATATGAAATTTAAAAATTAACACGTTTTAATGACTTTTATTTGAAACATTGTAAGTTCTTTACCTACATGTTTTATTTTCCAGATTTAAGAAAATTGTCTCTCAAAAGCTGTCTATAGTTTACAACAATTTGGTATAGTTTAGTGAACAAAGGTGGAGGCATTTGATTTTACTGTTTACTTGATTGTTCCAAAATTTGGAAACTATTCATGTATAGTCCTAGTTTTAAGTACAATATAATTATTTATATAAGTTCAACAAAAATCTATTCTCTCTTTACAGCAGGATACAATTGGAAACATTGATTATAGTACAGAGGTTTTGACTGAATATCATATTTGAAGGTATCCATAGAAAGCCTGGTTTTAAGACTTTCCAGCCTTACAATCAGTAAATAAAAATTGTAATTTCCTGGCAGGCCCAGGAACATTCAGGTTGTAAGTACAATCGAAGATCTGCCCAGGTTTGGCTTTCTAGCCTCAAAAGGTTTTTAAATCTGATAACCTACGTCATCAGTGTAGGGAGAAAAAGTTATGTTTCTAAAGAAAAACTATCATACCCTTGTTATTAGACTGTAGCTCTGAGCCTTGTTTTCGAGTTCTTGTTATCTACCTGTAGAATGGGCTAGATCCTGAATTCTCCTAATTTTCTTCATTGTTTGGTTATAATTCTCCAACTAAAAACTAAAACTGCTTCTCTTCTAAAGCCCTGTAAGATGAACCTAAACACATTTTAAGAAACAAGCCTCATGCCTGATGTATGGTCCACACATAAGGTTCACCAAACTGCTTGATGCCACAACCAGAGATATTCAAGCTGCAAACTGGGAGGAAAAGTTGATGTTTTCATGTTGTAAACAGTTTTCCCTGGACATTGGAACAAGACTCCATATCATAAGGAGACTCTAACTCAACTCCTCTTAATGTCTATCCTTTTCACTTGACAGGATAATAATGAAATTGAAATTTCACAATCAGTAGCTTCTGCTGGTAACTTAACAGAACGTAACCTTTAAAAATCTTTTAGTAACACCCGTAATCCCAGCACTTTGGGAGGCCGAGGCGGGTGGATCACCTGAGGTAAGGAGTTCGAGACCAGCCTGGTCAACATGGTGAAACCCCGTCTCTACTAAAAAATACCAAAAATTAGCTGGGTGCAGTGGTGGATGCCTGTAATCCCAGCTACTCAGGAGGCTGAGACAGGAAAATCGCTTGAACCCGGGAGGCGGAGGTTGCAGTGAGCTGAGATCACACCACTGCACTCCAGCCTGGGTGACAAGAGTGAAACTCCGTCTCAAAAAAAAAAAAAAAAAATCCTTTAGTATTCATTGGTTAAATAAGAAAATGCCTGTGCATTTCTTATTGTGGTACCTGGATAAATTCCTCTGGGAAAGTTGAGACCCATATACACAAAAGAAGAAAACAGGCCACATCATTCAAGTCTTACCTAATTCCCTATGGTCATTGATTCATTCGTCTTTAAGCCTACCAAGTTCATGGATGCAAACTGGGATTGTCACATTACTATTAATTTTACTTTTTATTTCCCCTTTTTAAACTTTGTATCTGTTACTTGTCATTTTTTTTCCATCTAGGATACATAGGAATAAAGATAATTTTTTTGAGATAGGATATTGCTATGTTGTCCAGGCTGGCCTTGAACTCCTGGACTCAAACAGTCTTCCCACCTCAGGCTCCTGAGTAGCTGGGACTATAGGCATGAGCCACCATGCCTGGTTACTTGTTAACTGATCTGCAGAAGTACAACTCCTAATAACATAATGCTGGCCCAGCACTTTCAGATGATAGCAAAAGATCATGGAAAAGACAAAACTGCACTTAACAATGCACTCCAGGTAGACTTATCCAGGGAGCCACTCCCTTCAAACCTCCCTTGCTGCTCAGATGTGGCTAAAAGGGTTTTGACACTGGATCCTAGTCACCAATCATTCCCCTCAAAGTGGGGTGAGACCACCAACGATGACAGGTCCATCCCAGCACGGAGAGGCATCAAAACGCAACCACAGGTTGATTGATCAGTGAGGCTTTTAAAGAAAGATCTTGATCAGAAGAGGAAATGTGAAAATTGTCAGAGTCAAAAAAGGGTCACTAGTGTTAAAGAAAAAAAAGTCAGAAAAGATTCACTAGTTTAAAGAAAAACAAACAAGCAAACAAACAAAAACTCCTGACAAATAGAGTCAGGGAAGGCCTTGAAGAGAGGGTTCTCATGCTTGTATATTGATAACAAAAATGATGACAAAACCCAAAACCTTGCACCAAGGCTATCACAACCTTACACAAAAGGTGCTTTGGCAAGAACACCTGCCCAGCAATTGCCTGTCCAGCCCCAGACTGGATCGTCCTTGTTACCGATCTCTGTACTGAGGACAATTATCTCAGAATAATTATGTGATTCCTTCCCTGTCTGAATATGCAGCGTTTACTGTGGAACGCATATTCCCATTGCAGTGCTCTATCTTTAGGTTGACAGAAGCATTAGGTTTTCTCATCTGTGCCTCATCTAGTGAGCTTTGAGGTTCAACAAACATTTTTGCATCATGATACTGTGCTCTCACAGTAGGCATCAACTTATGGGAGGGTCACCCAAAACTTCTTCAGTGAGAAATGTGGTTTACATTTTGTATCAGTTTTGTAGAGATATAGTTTACAAATCATCAAATTTAAAGCATGCAATTCAATTGTTTTAATACATGTCCTGGGTTATGGAATCGTCACCGTAATCCAGTCTCAGAATATTTTAATCTCCCCCCAAAGAAACCCCGTACCCTTAGCAGTCACCCCTCGTTTCCCATGCACCTGCTAACTCCCTCAGCCCTGAGCAAGTGCTGGTCTATATTTTGTCCCTATAGACCTGCCTCTTCTGGACACTTCATATAAATATAATCGTACAGTATGTGGTCTTTTGTGCCTGGCTTATTTCACTTAGCATGATGTTTGCAAGGTTCATCCATGTTGTACCATGTATCCGAACTTCATTTTTTATGGCCAAATAATATTCCATTTCATGGACATACCAATTTTGTTTATCCATTAATCATTTGCTGAACGTTTAGGTCATTTCCACCTTTTAGCTATTGCGAAAAGTGCCGCTATGAATATTTAGGTACAAGTTTTCATATGGACATATATTTTCAATTCTCCTGGGCATACACTTAGGAATTCTGGGTCATAAGACAACTTGATGTTTAACATTTTGAGGCCAAATGTTGTCCAAGGTTGCTGCACCATTTTACATTCCTGCTGGCAACTTATGAGGGTCCCAATTTCTCCACAGAATCACCTGTTATTTTTATTTTAATACACTTTATTTTTTGGAGTATTTTTAGGTTTAGGGAAAAAATGCACAGAGAGTACAAAGAATTCCCACATACTCTTCCATCCCCTCACCCCCAGTTTCTGCAATTGTTAACATCTTGCATTAGTGTGGTCCATTTGTTACAGGATGACCCAATATAATCACATTACTATTTTTATCGTTTTTATTATTATAGCCATCTGTCTTAGTCCATTTTGCTTTGCTATAACAGAATATCAGAGACTGGGGAATTTATAAATAAAAGAAATGTATTTGACCCAGGATTCTGGAGGTGGAAAAATCCAAGATCCAGGGGCCACAACTGCTGAGGGTCCAACAGTGTGTGTGAGAACAAGAGCAAGAGGCTGAGGGTCCAACAGTGTGTGTGAAAACAAGAGCAAGAGGCTGAGGGTCCAACAGTGTGTGTGAAAACAAGAGCAAGAGAAGGCCAAGCTCCCTTTCATCAGGAACTCAAGTCCGTAATCACGAACCCACTCCTTTGATAACAGCATCAGCCATTCACGAAGGCAGGGCTGTCACAGCCTAATCACCTCTTATAGGCCACACCTCTCAACACAGTTGTACTGGGGATCAGGTTTCCAACACATGAACTTTGTGGGACACACTCAAGCCATAGCACCATCCTGACAGGTATGAGGTGGTTTCTCATTGTGGTTTTGATTTGCAGATCCCTGACTGATATGGTTTGGCTGTGTCCCCACCCAAATCTCACCTTGAATTGTAGCTCCCATAATTCCCACGTCATGGGAGGGACCCGGTGGGAGGTAACTGAATCATGGGGGTGGGAATTCCGTGTGCTGTTCTCAGGATAGTGAATAAGTCTCACAAGATCTGATGGTTTGATAAAGGGCAGTTCCCCTGCATACGTTCTCTTGCCCGCCGCCATGTAAGTCGTGACTTTGCTCCTCCTTTGCCTTCTGCCATGATTGTGAGGCCTCCCCAGCCCTGTGGAACTGAGTCAATTAAACCTCTTTCCTTTATAAATTACGCAGTCTCAGGTATGTATTCATTAGCAGCATGAGAACAGACTAATACATTGACCTTTAAAGACACTGAACATCTTGTCATGTGTTCACTGGTCATTTACATATTGTCAGCACCATTTGTTGAAAACACTTTTCTTTTGCCCAATAAGATGTCTTCACATCCTTGAAAATCAGTTGACCATAAATATGAGGGTTTACTTCTGGACTCTAAATTCTATTTAGACTGGAATTCTATTCCACTGATCTACATTTCTATCCTGATGTCAGTACCACATTGTCTTGATTACTGCAGCTTTGTAGGGAATTCTGAGTACTCTAAATAATTTTTCAAGATTCTTTCTGCTATCCTGGGTCCCTTTCATTTTTATGAATTTTAGGATCAGCTTGTCAACTTCTGCATAAAAGTCAGCTGGGATTTTGAAAAGGATTGTATTGACTCTATAGATCGATTTGGGAAATATTTCCTTCTTAACAATATTAAGTCTTCTGATCCATAAACATGAGATATCTTTCAATCTATTTAAATCTTCTTTATTTTCTTTCAACAATGCTTTGCAGTTTTCAGTGTTCACATCTTGAACTTCTTAAGTCTATTCCTGAGTATTTTATTCTTTTTGGTGCTATTATAAACGGAATTGTTTGCTTATTTTGGCTTTCTCATTGCTGGTATATAGAAACACAATTTATATCCTGCAACATTGCTAAACATGGTTTTTCTAAGGTTTTTAAAATGAATTCCAGCCGGGCGCGGTGGCTCATGCCTGTAATCCCAGCACTTTGGGAGGCCAAGGTGGGCAGATCACCTGAGGTCAGGAGTTGCAGACCAGCCTGGCCAACATGGTGAAACCCTGTCTCTACCAAAAATACAAAAATTAGCCAGGTGTGGTGGCGGGTGCCTGTAATCCCAGCTACTCGGGAGGCTGAGGCAGGAGAATTGCTTGAACCCAGGAGGTAGAGGTTACAGTGAGCTGAGAACGCGCCACTGCACTCCAGCCTGGGTAACAAGAGCAAAACTCGTCTCAAAAAAAAAAGATTCCATAGGTTGTTTGTTTGTTTGTTTTGTAGAGATGGGGTCTCACTGTGTTGCCCTGGCTGGCCTTGAACTCCTGGGCTCAAGCAGTCCTCTCACCTTGGCCTCCCAAAGCACTGGGATCATAGGTGTGAGCCATTGTGCCCTGCCATAGGCTTTTTTTACATAAAAGATTAAGCCATCTTCAACAATCTCTAGAGATTGTTTTATACCTTTCTTTTGAATTGGATGCTTTTTTTCTTGACTAACTGCCCTGGCTAGAGCCTTCTGTACACAATTACCTAGAAGGGGCAAGCCGCTCTTGTTTTATTCCTGATTTTAGGCGAAGGCCTCCCATCTTCAAGCATTGAGTCTGATGTCAGCTACAGGTTTTTTGTAGAGGCTGTTTATCAAGCTAAAGAAATTTCCTTCCATTCCTCGTATGTTGAGACTGAAATTCAGCAGACAGCTGGCACACTGACTGAAGTTCAAAGCTCGGAACCTGAACGTGAGCCTGAGTGAGGCAGCTCCCTGAGGGGGCAGAACTGTTGCCTTATGTGACAGCTAGTGGGTATGGAGGAATGAAAGGAGCCTCCACTCCTTGCTGCCCTGATCTGGCTCCTGACATTTTCCTTCAAATGGCATCAGGACCAGGGGCCAGCTGGGCTCTGTGAAACGCAGGAAGCAGGGAGCTGCGTCCACCCGCCAGCCTGCCCTCACCTCCCTAGAGCCTTGCCTTCTCTGTACTGCACACTTAGGCACGGTGAGCCCAGCCCAAGGCATCATTCTCACCTGCCCCTGAAGTCAGACCAGTCTAGCGGCCTCCGTCCCCTTCCTGCCAGTCCTCTTGTAAGGAGGGCAAAAATAAAACACCAAACAAAACATCAACTATATTCTGTATTTCCTACATTATTCAGATAAATTGTATTTATCGAAAAAGCTGTCCCGTTTCGTTTTGACGGCCCTGGAGTACGGCCCCTTCATCAGCTGAGATCACAAAGACGTCTAGCGGAGGTAACGGGAGCAGGGTCTGCAGTCAGCCACCTGGCTTCCAGATGCCAGTCCTGCCCGCTCCTGGCTGTGCAGCTGAGCACCCAAACCTCCGCAGGCCTCGCTTTCCTCTCTTATCTGTAAGCTGGAAACCGTAGCTACCTCAGTGAGTCATGGTGCAGATGAAATGAGACCAGGCTCTGCAATGCACTTGGTACAGCAGCTGGCAAAGTGTCATCTGCCCCCGACAATAAGCACCATCCTTGCCTCTGCAGAGATGCTTAGCAAGGTAAGTGGGTTCTCAGTGTTAAGATTCACAGTGTAACCAACATCTAAAGCTGTTCATGATTTTGGCCTGAATGGGAAGTTAGGAAGAACTCACAAAGAAATCACAAAGGAAAGTAAAAAAAGGAAAAAAGAAAGTCATCAAGGGGAGTAAAAACTGGTTAACATTTCATTTTCTTTTCTTTTTTGGCCTAGAGATTATTAACTTTTAGAAACAGGTGTCACAGGCAATGGTCTTTAAAGAGCATCTAAATAGACCTGGAATTTGCTTTTTTAAATGTACTTAATTCCCATTACCTCTGTGCTTCTCAAGCAATTCTGGTTCACATTATGAAATGAGTACATTCTCAGATTATTTAGTTCAGAAATCGGAATATTTATTCTATTATGCCACAAATTAAGCAGAACTCTGCAAAGTGATCTCTAAAAATAAGTCTGAAAAATAATCATCTAATTCCAGTAGAGGCCTCTTACACTTTTTAAATGTTAACTCCAGGCCGGGTGTGGTGGCTCACGCCTGTTATCCCAGCACTTTGGGAGGCCAAGATGCGTGGATCACTTGAACCCAGGAGTTTGAGACCAGCCTGGCCAACATGGTGAAATCCCATCTCTACTGAAAATACAAAAATTAGCCGGGCATGGTGGTGGGTGCCCGTAGTCCCATCTATTCAGGAGGCTGAGGCAGGAGAACTGCTTGAACCCGAGAGATGGGGGTTGCAGTGAGCCGAGATTGCACCACCGCACTCCACCCTGGGCAACAGAGCAAGATTCCATCTCAATAAAAAATAATAATACATTTTAATTGTGGTTAAAAAATACATAAAATTTACCATATTAACTGTTTTTAAGTGTACACTTTAGTAGCATTGTTTATTCATATTGGTCTGAATTTTTTTTATCTTGCAAAACTAAAACTCTGTACCCATCAAACAACTGCCCACCCTGCCCCCAGCCCTGGTAACTACCATTTTGTTTTCTGTTTCTATAAATTTGACTTTAGGCATCTCACAGAAGGGGAATAAGACGGTATTGCACAGCCAAGATCATGCCACTGCACTCCAGCTTGGCAACAGAGCAAGACTCTGTCTCAAAAGAAAAAAAAAAAAAGACAGTATTTGCCTTTTCGCAGCTGGCTTATTTCACTTGGCATAGTTTCTTCAAGGTTCACCCATGTTGTAGCATGGGTCAGAATTTCATTCCTTTTTTTTTTTGGAGATGGAGTCTTGCTCTGTCGCCAAGGCTGGAGTGCAGTGGCGCGATCTCGGCTCACCGCAAGCTCCGCCTCCCAGTTCACACCATTCTCCTGCCTCAGCCTCCGGAGTAGCTGGGACTACAGGTGCCCACCACCACACCCGGCTAATTCTTTGTATTTTTAGTAGAGATGGGGTTTCACCATGTTAGCCAGGATGGTCTCGATCTCCTGACCTCGTGATCCACCCACCTCGGCCTCCCAAAGTGCTGGGATTACAGGCATGAGACACTGTGCCTGGCCTTCATTCCTTTTTAAGGCTTAATAATATCCCATCTCACAGGCCACCTGGCTTGTCCATTCATCTGTTGATTGACGCTATGTTGTTTCTGCCTCTTGGCTACTGTGAACAGTGCAGCTGTGAACATGGTGTGCAAGTGGCTCTTTAGACTTTGCTTTCAATTCTTTGGGTAAATACGTACAGGTGGGATTCCTGGATCACATGCTAACTCTGAGGAAAACCTCCATGCTGTTTTCATCACAGCCATCCTAACTCCATGCTGTTTTTCATCATAGCCATCCTCATGAGTATGGAGTGATCATCTCATTGTGACTGTGGTTCGCATTTCTCTAATGGTCAGTGATTTTGAGCATCTTTTCATGTGCCTACTGGTCATCTGTAAATACGACTGTCCCTTGGTATCTGTGGGGGACTGGTTCCAGAACCTCCCACGGACCAAAATCTAAGGATGTTGGGAGTATTTGCCTGTAACCTATGCACACCCTCCTGCATCCTTTAAATCGTCACTAGATTACTTATAATAGCTAATGCAAAGTAAATGCTATGTAAATAGTTGTTACACTATATTGTTTAGAGAACAATGAGAAGGAAAGTCTGTACATGTTCAGCATGGGCACATTTTTTTAATAAAAATATTTTCAATCCCTGGCTGGTTACATCCAGGGATGCAAAACCCATCGATAGAGTGCTGACTGTATATCCTCTTCAGAGAAGTGTCTGTTGAAGTCCCTTGCTCATTTTTAAATGAGGTGACTTGTTTTACTGTTGAGTGGTGGTTGTCTATATATTCCAGATATTAACCCCTTATCAGATATATGATTTGCAGATATTTTCTCACATTCCACAGGTTACCTTTTCCCTGCACAGAAGGGAAAGGTTGATTGTGTCCTTCGATGCACAGAAGTTTCTAAGCCTGATGTCGTCTTAGTTTTACTTTTGTTGCCCGTGTCTTTGGTGTCATATCCAATAAATCACTGCTAAATCCAATGTCATAAATTTTTCCCGTTTTCTTCTAGAAATTGTATACCTTTATTTCTTGTTTAGTCTTTAATCCACTGAGTTTTCACATAAGGTGTCAGATAAGGGTCTTGGGGGCCACATGTTGGCCTGTGCAACAGTTAAAGGGCCCCAAGCATAGTCACATACGTGCAGATGATGTTCACACACAGATACCCAGGCCCAGGAGATCTTGGACTCCCCAAGGCCATATTCTATTCCTACAACTGCTGTCCTTCCCCTTAACCTCCTTTTGTTCTGGCCTTGCTAGCACAGACCCTTGCATGCTAATCAAATGACACAGTTGAGTTTGGAGGAAACATACATCAGTGAGGAAAAGTGACCACAGAATCCTTCCAGGTTTCACCAAAACCACCCGTGACGTAGATAAAACTAGAATTCTGGGGACTGGGATTCCTCCTTTTCCCCTGAGCCACTACGTAAAGGTGACTGCATTACAGTCCCATACCTCTTATCTGTGGCCCCAGTATCCATTTTTTTTAAGACAGGGTCTCGCTCTGTTGCTCAGACTGGAGGACAGTGGTGCAATCACAGCTCACTGCAGCCTTGACCTCCTAGGCTCAATGGATCCTCCCACCTCAGCCTCCTGAGTAGCTGGGACTCCAGACAGGTGCACACCACCACACTCAGCTAATTTTTTGTAGAAATGAGGTCTCACTATGTTGCCCAGGTTGGTCTTGAACTCCCGGGCTCAAGTGATCCACCTGTCTCAGCCTCTCAAAGTGCTGGGATTACAGGCATGAGTCACAGTGCCTGGCCCAAATTCATAGTCCTAAACATGGAAAGTTTTGTGTACTTCATTTGGCGGAAAGTCTAACCTGATTTGGCACGAGACGACCCATGATCCTTTTCGTCCTGCTTGTATTTTGCTGCAGGAATATCAGTTTGATGAGGGTGTTGCCCCAGGCCCCAAGTGGAATATGCACACGTCACTTTCCTAAAATCAGAACAATTCAGAGTTCTGAAACACACGAAACACAGCTGTTTCTAAGATTCTTGACTAAGAGGTTGTGGCTTATGCTATTTTTCCTGACTGTGGCCTCACTTTCTTCCCAATAAATGTTTCAATCTGTTGATACTAATGTTTTTTCTCATGATACTTGTAAGATAACTGATTTTAACAAAAGGTGGCACACCTATTAAAGACATGGTTAAGTTTCATTGGCTGTATAGCATCTCTAATTGGAAGACTACATGGCATCTATCCAGGTTGGAGTTGTAATCACCTAGGGATGTCTACATCTGTCTACCTAGATCAGTCTGTCAGTTCCATCGAGGTCTGTATTTCAAAGTCCATACATAACACACGGTTCTTCCCATTTTACAGAATTATTTTTTCAAACCAAAGTTCACATACTGCTGGTGGGAACAGGTTCAAATAGGGAATGCTGATACATATCAACAACCTTTGAGACAAACCTGTTCACACAGTGAGTGTGGAGCCCTTGGCCCCCCTACTTTCTCTCTCGCAGGCCCCGACATCACCCTGGGCTTGCGCTGTTGGTAGTGTTCAAAGGAAAACTTTAGAAACATTAAATTTTACAGAGTTTAATTGAGCAAAGAATGATTCAGGAATCAGGGAACCCCTCAAACCAGAATAGGCTCAGAGAGACTCCAGTGCCACTGTGTGGCCAAAGACTTACGGACAGAAAAGGGAGTGAGGCACAGAAGGCAGAGGTGAGGCCTGCAAACAGCAGGGTGGCTACAGCTCGTGTCTGGCTTATTGAAACAGAGTTTGAAGTGCTGCTGCCTGTGACTGATTCAAGAGTAGGTTACAGTGTCCACACATCCAATTAGATGACTGTTCACTACGTATGGAGAAACCTATAGGCTAAACTTACAGTATGTAAGGAGGCGGCTTCAGGCTACAGCTGAGTAGTGTGTCCTTACAGTTGGAACCAGGAGTTCATGGGAATTCTTCATCATCCAGTGGTCTGTAAATGTTGCCCATGCTGAGTAGTCTGTCCTTACAGTGTGAACCAGGGGTTCATGGGAATTCTTCACCATCCAGTAGTCTGTAAATGTTGCCCATGCTGAGTAGTGTGTCCTTACAGTGTGAACCAGGGGTTCATGGGAATTCTTCACCATCCAGTGGTCTGTAAATGTTGCCCATGCTTTAGTTTTGTTACCTGGTTGCTCTGTTTTTATGGGATTGTGAGAAACTGAAAAACTGTGACTGCTGGAGCCATTTTCCCACAATCCCCATTTTTTAAAAATCCCATAAAGGCTCTCTCGTGAGCACCGCACGTTTTCCCTTGTAGTCACGAGGGTAGGGGCTGGAGAAAGCAGCAGAGATAGTCAAAAACCCACAGCTACAAAAAATGCACTCCTAAGAGCAAGTAATGGCGAGGGCTAAAAGGCACTGTGCCCCTTCTGGGCCATTCTAATTACCACATTTAAATGGTTTTGAGAAAAGAGAATTTTTATCTGAGGAACGCGAGTTCTTTTAATTATCAGGCCGAGAGAGACATTCAAATGAGGCGACAATCGCGCCCTACTACCCCTTGACCTGTGTTCACCTCTTTAAACTGCTACTGGTGGCAACAGCGCCACAAACAGCTATAAATTAACCTAATGACGCCACAATGGACACTATACCCACACTCAATAGCTGAACAACATATAGTCAGTCACTAATCAATGTTATTTCTGTAAACCAGTGAGAATTCCTCACAAACAAGTTCCTATTAGTCCACTCCCTGGCCCCCTTTTTTGCCTTTAAAATCCACTGTTAACTGCTAATCGGAGTACACATTCAGGGCGCCTTGAATTTGTGCTCAAGTGTGGCCCAAATAAACTCTCTACTTAGAGAAACTGTGTCTCCGCTCGTTTTCAGGCCGACAGTTTCCAAAATGTTAGTATTCAGCCTAACATGAGAAAAGTCACCATATAAAAGTGAGGGGGGAAAAGCAAATACAGGATAATCTCAATTGTATATAAAATTTATATACGTAAGGACAAAGATACATAGTAAAAAAAAAATTCTGGCAGGTATTAAGGCTGAAAAAATTAAAACAGTCCAGAGCGGTCTGGCTCAGGCCAGCCTGGGCCTGCCGAGTAGCTGGGACCTCAGCCACCGCGCCTGGCTAAGTATTAATGAATCTGTTTTAGAGATAGGGTCTTGCTACGTTGCGCAGGCTGGTCTCCAACTCCCAGGCTCAGGTGATCCGCCCGCCACAGCCTCCCGAAGTGCTGAGCCTCCCAAAGTGCTGAGACTACAGGCCTGGCCGCCCGCCCGCCAGCTTAATTCACGTAAATTCCAGACAAACGTAGAAAGTGGCTCCTTTAGTAAGCCACTTGCGGCTGCTGCTCATCAGGGTTCGCCTGGGGCCACTGAGACCACGCGCCGGTGCCCGCCCTCCCGCTGCGGTCCGATTTTCTGAACCAACCAGGCGCTTCCGGGCGCCTTGCCCCAGACGGGCCCACCGCCTGCGCGGGCCGAGGGCGGCGCACCTGCCCCTGCGCTTCCGCATCGAAGGTGAGGTCGGAGGAAGAGAAGACCGCAACCCCCAAGCTCCCGCGGCGTGGGGTCCGGGGGGGGACACGAGGCGGGGCCACCAGGACGCCGACAGCCTCACGTCTCTGGGCCCGCGGCGCGCAAGGCATGCCGGGACCCGTAGTCCCGCGACGTTGCGACTCACAGTGCGCGATGGGAGTGGAGGAGAGCGGCTCGCGGTGCATGCCGGAACTCGTAGTCTCGGGATGCTGGGTCTCAGCGCGTGATGGGGTAATGGCACGCAGGCCTGCGTTGAACGCTGGGACTCGTAGTCCCGCCATGCTCTGTCCGCGGTGCACGCCGGGATACGTAGTTCCGAGCGCGCCAAGACCGTCACTGGGACTGGGCGACAGCGGCCCGCGTTGCATGCCGCTGCTCCACGGTGCCGGCGCTCCGAGGAAAAGTAGGTAGGGCTCAGGAACGCAGTTCTTCACGGCCGGCACGCAGGGTTGGTCCCAGGACGGAGCCGGCTCCGGCCCCGCGCGGCGCTCGTATTTACACGCGCACGTACGCACGTACGCGGCGCCCTTGCGTGACGTCACGCGCCCTCCAGGAAGTCGGCGCGGGCTAGGCGACGGGTGGAAGCCGGTACCGAGAGGAACTACAGCGTCGCCGCCTGGGTTGTGTCGCCGCGGTAGGCGCTGCGCTCTGAGCGCAGCGCAGGCCCCGTACCGACCGCCCGCCCGCCCTCTGTCCGCGATGGAGGTGCCGGCCGCGGGTCGCGTTCCTGCCGAGGGCGCCCCGACGGCGGCTGTGGCCGAGGTGCGCTGCCCGGGGCCCGCGCCGCTGCGCCTGCTGGAGTGGAGGGTGGCGGCGGGCGCGGCCGTGCGCATCGGCTCGGTGCTGGCCGTGTTCGAGGCCGCCGCCTCCGCGCAGTCCTCCGGGGCCTCTCAGTCCCGTGTAGCCTCCGGGGGCTGCGTGCGCCCCGCGCGGCCGGAACGCAGGCTGAGGTCGGAGCGCGCGGGCGTGGTGCGGGAGCTGTGCGCGCAGCCGGGCCAGGTGGTCGCCCCAGGGTGAGTGTGCTGAGCCGGGCGGGGCCGAGGGCGGGCGGCTCCGGGGAGGGATCCTGGAGGACCCCCGGGCTGCTGCGTCCGCGGTGGGCAGGGGCGCCCCTGGTGAGGGAGCGATAAAGCGGGACGCAGGCACTGCGCTTCTCCCCTAAAACTGGATAGTCACCACCTGTGGTTTTACCAACGGGGAGCATTTTGAGATAAAAGGAAAGGGTCCTGCGTAGCGACACGAAGTTACTGTTTGGAAAAGCTATGTTTGTTTCTTTCTTTCTGCAGTGATAGTCCCCGCCCCTTCCTTTAGCTCCACCTTTGTGACTTAGGAAAACTCATGGGTGGCTGTGAGCACAAGAGTCATCAGGCAGGCTCCAGACCTGTTATTGAAATATAAACTGTTGGGTGTGTGCACATCTTTAAATTTTTGTAAACTTTGTGAAACGCAGTTGTAAAACCTGGTGCAGTTCTGTTTCGTGGCTAAGGAACGGGCGGAACCCAGGCCTGCAGCGAAGGCAGTAGCCCCGTGGTTGACCACAGTGGGCATTGTCGCAGGCTGCTTCAGGGTGACGTGGGCGTTGTGACAGACTCCACAGCTCTCAGTAGCTGTGCTCTGACCCCAGAAGGGGATATGTTTCCGTAGCACCGAAGTGTCCAGCCATGTTTGAATCTACCCTTGTGTTCTGGGATGGGCGGGCAAGTGGACACGCGTGTGCGCCTGGCTCTGGTAGTTTTGATTGTGAGAACAGAAACTCCAGGGAGAGGTGGACACTCCAGCCCGCAGTGGGCCGGGCGTGAGCTCCCTCTGGGAAAGGTGCCGCTCCTTCTGGGGATGCCACTCTCTTCCCTCCTCGGCAGCCGCGGCTCCTCGTCCCTTTGGCTTGCCCTGACCCTGTGTTTGTTGAGGATCTTCTCTGCATCTGGTTCCGCAAGAGTGAGGACTGGGACAGGAGTCTTCCCGTCACAGCCCCAGAACGTCCTGGCTCCGCTTCCTTTGGAGACAGAGCCTGGGTCCTTGACCCTCGGCACGGGCACTCACTCCTGCCCCCTGCGTGCTGGTGGGTGGGGCTGGGAGGTTCAGGGCCTTGCCTCCCAGAAAATGCCTTCACGGCTTCCTCAGTGGGCACTGGCCGTACCTGGGAGGATTGTGGAGGCAGATCCCAATGCTGGTGTATTCCCTGGACAGAAAACCCCAGGATGGAAGATCCCTACTGAGGTTTCATTCTGTTCCTCTGATTGTACAGAAAGGGCTGCTTTGGCCTAGACAGGTGAGTAACTTGGTTATGTGGCAAGTTAGTATTGAAATTCCATGTTCAGTCAGTCTAGTGAATAAAACCAACCCAGTGCATCAGTCAGTCAGCCAGCCAGGTCATGAGCTTGATGACGGGTTCCCAGCAGTCAGTAGTGTTTACAGGGAGGTGCTGTTTGAGATCTTGGGGTACCTCACAGGGCCCTTTGAGACACTGATGTGATATCATTTCTCCTCAGATGGAGCGTCTGTGTGGCACCAGGTGTCCCTCTGGTTCCAGGAGGCTCATCTCTCTGCCTCCAGTCCATGGGCGGCAGGTAAATCCTTGCCTTAGAGAAAGCCACAGACGGTGCTGCCTGGAATTTGAGGTGGCTTCTTCCCCGTTTCTGTGTACTCCTGTGGGTTTGTGTACATGGGTTTTATGAGCGTTCTGGGGAGTGTGGTGGTGGTGGTGTGACGTCAGCATTTCCGGAGGTGTTCCTGCCCGTGCAGTGGGCGTGGGTGCCATAGATCCAGGAAGGAGCGACTGGAAGGGCTTTAGTCTAAAGCCCTGTGTGCATGTGCCCTGGCAGTTCTGGTCGTCTGTTTGGAATCAGGTTCCTGCCTCGCAGTTGCATTAGCCAGCTGAATTCGGGAGGTGCATTTGCAGCAGGAGTCCATGCTGCTGACGGTCGGCTCCGTGTGGTCCAGATGACACTGCCCTGGCTCTGGGGGGCTGCCGTTGGGAGCCGGTATGTGTTGGCCTCCCCAAAATGCCTGCTGCACCTTTGTGGAACACAGTTGAAAATTACTAGATTCAGTCACTTGTTGACAGATTTTGTGAACAGGGTGGGTTACAAGTGCGTTTCTCTGGCAGCACCCCTGTGATGGGAGTAGCGCCCTGCAGTGTGGACTTGTGGTGGCTTTGCTGACGTCTCTCCATAGAGAGTTGCAGGTAGAAATCTCCGCAGCTTTTGCTTAAAGCCAACAGTGATGGATTTCTCCAGGACGTTGAGTTCCAGCTCAGCAGCTCTTTATACACAATTTACAGCTAACCCTCGAACAACTTGCTTTGGTCTGCGAGGGCCACCTTTATGTAGATGTTTTTCAGTAAATCGTCTGCTGTTCGCATCCATGGGTTCCACGCCCAACACTGTTTGCTGGGTGTGGAGCCCAGCCTGTTTATACAGAGCGCTGACTTTCTGGATCAGTGGGTTCTCCAGGTTGACTGCGGGACCTGAGTATCTGTGGATGTGGAATTTGGTATCTGAAGGAGTCCTGCAGCCCGTCCCCCGTGAGAATGAGGGACTGATTAAATATGGAAGTCTTTCCATAATAGATTGTGCCGCTTTGTGATGAAGTAGAGAATATTGGGCATAATTCCATCCTGATGTTGGAAGGTGATAGGTGTGAGTTTAGTTCTCATCCCTGCGACGCCTCTGGGACGTCGGTTGGTGAAGAGCATCTGCCTTCCTCTAGAGAGCCTGAGTCACTTTCACTTAAAAGGTTTTTCCTCTGTTTTTCTTTTTTTCTCTGATTGCTGGTGTGGTCATTTCCAGCAACAGCTCCGCGGTTCTCTTCTGCGGTGTCCCACCACTTGGAGGCTGGAAGGTGAAGACATCAGGGAAGAGGAACTGCCTTCAACCGTCATTGACTCTGCTCACCAGCCCAGGTGTTTGATTTTTACTAAGCAAGTTCCCAGAATTGCACGTGGGCTGTTTTATAATTGACTTATCTTGACCACCTCTAAAAGTTCTCTTGAAGTTACAGATTCCTGAGATCTTTATCTGGGAGAGCAAGCATTTGGTTGAAGTTTGCTTTAAATGTTTATAGACTGATTATCGTGTATTGATCCTTAGAGTACCCCTTTCAGATTATGCAAATAACACGCACTTGTATAGACAAGCATGGGCAGAATCCACAACTGCTTTTGTGGAGGCTCCAACCCTGGCTTCAGCTCATCTGCGTGTGAGGGCAGGGGAGGTGCAGAATCTGCTCCTGGGCTTGTGCTGAAAGGAGGTCCCTTTTAACAGGGACCTCCCAGCACCAATGGAACCCCGTGGCTCTTGGTGAGAGAGAGCAGGTCCTGCCCAGCTGATGGATCAGAAACTCAGGTGTCAGAAACGGGGTTTCAGGGCGGCTGCCTGAGGAATGCGCAGGCGATCTGACGTTGGAATTCTGGCTTGGGCGAAGCCCTTGATGTGGCCACACAGTTTTGGTCCCTCAAGGGCTTACTGGTTGCCTGCGTGCCCTGGTGGCTCCTTGGTGAGGGGCCTTTGGAGAAAGTCTTGGGAAATCAGATTTCCCGAGGGTGTTGTTGAGGACATTGCTGACGAGGTGTGGGATTTACGGGGAGGACAGCCTGTCTCTTGAGGCTTGGTCGCTGTGTTCACCCTGCAGGTGTTATGAATTAGCTTCTGGCCCAGGACGGTTTTGGGACCGGGGGGTGCCTACCCACTGTTGTTCCTTTATCTTGATCCTTTCACAGGGCTTATAAAAATACTTATTTTTCAGGAATAACGGGAAGTATCTTTGAAAACATAGCATTAAATCTGCTGAACTGGAGCTTGCAGAGAGCAGACAGCGGCAGCAGCCTGAGTGTGCTAAGCTCAAGCGTCGCTTGTGTGCCATCACCTTAGTGAAGGTGGCTCTTGACCCCACTGGCCGCCGGCTGCTTGACAGTAACTTGTTTAGCTGAGACTGTGTTTGAGAAACTGAGAGGTGTGGATGTTGCTTGTACATGTGCAGCCAGCATGCTCACAGTGCCGAGGAGCAGACTACGCGCTGCTCCAGAGCGTAGATTAGAACGTCAGTCTAAACAGTTCTTTATAGCATGGAATTTTAACAAAGAAAGAAGAATCCCACGTGGGTATGTGTGAGTGAGCCTTGTGTAGCTTAGTGTCGGTTACTGAGGCGGAGCACTGCGGAGAGAGGTAATGGAACCTGTGGCCCTGTGAAACCTCCCTCTATAAATAGCAGGTGTGAGTGAACCTGTGAAAAGCACCAGCACCAGCCAGGCAGGGTGGGTCCGTGCCCTCGTTGCCTGCATTGTTGTCACCAGGCAAGGTGGGTCCCTGCTCTTGTTACCTTCATTGTTGTCACCAGGCAAGGTGGGTCCGTGCCCTCGTTGCCTGCGTTGTTGTCACCAGGCAAGGTGGGTCCGTGCCCTCGTTGCCTGCATTGTTGTTACCAGCAACATTTATCCTAACCACATCAGTGGTTATTTTTAGACAAAGAACCATTCTGGGAACTTAAAAACACTGCATTTGGGTGAAGTTACAATAGTCACTAGATTGTCGTTTTGATCTTTAATAAGATTGTATGTTTTTGTCGGGCTTCATCCTATCTGGCAGAAGTAAGAACCTCCTCACTCCATTGGAAAGAAACTGAGGTTCCAAGAAGTTTGGACCTGCCCTGCCCCTTACAGGGTGTGAGGTCCTGGTGAGGAGGACGGTGCAGGGACCTCGTGGTCTCTACTCCCGGTTTCTCTGCGGTGCTCCTTACGGGGTGTGAGGTCCTGGTGAGGAGGACGGTGCAGGGACCTCGTGGTCTCTACTCCCAGTTTCTCTGCGGTGCTCCTTACGGGGTGTGAGGTCCTGGTGAGGAGGACGGTGCAGATGCCTCGTGGTGTGCTCAGGCCCTTGAGAGAGCCTCTGTCCTTGGTTCTCTGCGTGCTGCTCTCTGTAGACCAGGTTTCAGCCCTGGAGATTCCTAGTGTGGGGGGAGTAGCTAGAACAATAGTGTTTGTCTGCTTTTATAATATTTATGTGGAGTACAATTATTTTAATAGAAAATATTCTGACAGGTCACCATCTTTCAGAAACTAAGTCTTTTTTTTCCTGCAGATTTCTTTGCTTTGGCTTTTTCCCAGTCACTCACAGGGAGGTATTTAAATCGCCACAGAAAGGGGAAGGTACCTAAAATGATCTGGGAGCCTGCAGTGACTGGTGAGAACTAACAGGCGGAGGCCGTGTGCGAGGGTTGATGACGTCTGACAGACTGTACCTGTGCCTTTAGCGTGTCCACAGGAAGGGCATCTGCATTCACCAGCGCAGGGTGTGAGAGTGCCACAGAGAAGCAGAAAAACATTGCTGAATAAAATGAAGATCATTCCAACAGCAACGGTATTGCTGTCTTTATTGCTTTGTAGATTTTGGAATGAGAATCTCTGAGAAATAGTAATACAGTTAGAATAGGCTGCAACCTAAGATTAGTCCCCGAATTTATTGTTCTGTGATGAGGGAGTAGAAGCCTCTGAAATTCTAAATGTGCTTCAGTCAGTGCACGAACGTCGTCACCTAAGGGTCCGGTCCTGGAAATAAGGACATTTCGTTTTCATCCTGGTACCAAGAATCTTGATGAATTGGTAATTCTTTTAGAATAGTTTTATTATTAACAATTCTAATAATTATTTAGAATACTTTTATTCTTCCCTGTTGACGCCTGCACTATTTAAAGGATGATACTTTAAAAAAGATATTTGTGCCTAAAATTTGGGGGGCTGTCACTTTGTCAGCCCATTAAACGTGGGTAAGTTGCACTTCAAACGTTTTGCTTTGTTTTTCCCACTTTTCACCTAACAGAAAACCACTGGGCCTTGTTACTTGCTTGGTTTTGTTCGTCTGTGATTTACCTTTGTCATGGGTTTTTAGGTATCTCCGATCTAATCTTTTAGATAAAGGACTTTGAAGCACGTCTGCCTGGAAATGGTTTGTAGGTTTCAGAAATTTTGTGTGCATTATCAGATTTGTCTCCATTTTCATGGTTTCTTTAAAGTTAGTTTTAAAGTGGGTTATGTGAAATCATCTAGTATCTGGGTACAGAGGAATGGATGAATTCTCAGTTTTATGTGTGTTTTAAAAGTGCACAAATACAAAACGGAAAACAAGCGATGTAAGTTGTCTCAGAAAAAAGTGCTTTTTATATTTTCAGGAGAAAGAGAATGTAGAGAGAATGGAACTGATGAGTTTGAAGAGATTCAGGTGATATTTCTTAAAGGATAAATGCACATTTTAAAGGTTATGAAGAGATGGTCTTGGTAGGTTTTTAAATATACATCTAGCATCATATGTGCAAAATTCCTTACAATGTTAAGAGGAACTTGAGCTAAAACTTAACTCATTTAATATTTGTAACATTTTTGAAGTAGCGTTTAAAAGACAGTAATTTCCCTACGGTGCTTTAAATGGTGAAGAATGCTGGTGTCGTACGATTTTGATGCATTTTTTGTGCTGACTATAGACTGGCGGGAATGATGCAGTTAGCGAGTTGATACCCAGCATCATGTTGGCTTCTCCAGTTCACTGGTGGGCCTGCACCACAGCAGTTGGCTTCTCCAGTTCACTGGTGGGCCTGCACCGCAGCAGTTGGCTTCGTCAGTTCACTGGTGGGCCTGCACCGCAGCAGTTGGCTTCGCCAGTTCACTGGTGGGCCTGCACCGCAGCAGTTGGCTTCTCCAGTTCACTGGTGGGCCTGCACCGCAGCAGTTGGCTTCTCCAGTTCACTGGTGGGCCTGCACCGCAGCAGTTGGCTTCTCCAGTTCACTGGTGGGCCTGCACCGCAGCAGTTGACTTCTCCAGTTCACTGGTGGGCCTGCACCGCAGCAGTTGGCTTCGTCAGTTCACTGGTGGGCCTGCACCGCAGCAGTTGGCTTCTCCAGTTCACTGGTGGGCCTGCACCGCAGCAGTTGGCTTCGTCAGTTCACTGGTGGGCCTGCACCGCAGCAGTTGGCTTCTCCAGTTCACTGGTGGGCATGCACCGCAGCAGTTGGCTTCGTCAGTTCACTGGTGGGCCTGCACCAGAGCAGTTGGCTTCTCCAGTTCACTGGTGGGCCTGCACCGCAGCAGTTGGCTTCGCCAGTTCACTGGTGGGCCTGCACCGCAGCAGTTGGCTTCGTCAGTTCACTGGTGGGCCTGCACCGGAGCAGTTGGCTTCTCCAGTTCACTGGTGGGCCTGCACCGCAGCAGTTGGCTTCGCCAGTTCACTGGTGGGCCTGCACCGCAGCAGTTGGCTTCGTCAGTTCACTGGTGGGCCTGCACCGGAGCAGTTGGCTTCTCCAGTTCACTGGTGGGCCTGCACCGCAGCAGTTGGCTTCTCCAGTTCACTGGTGGGCCTGCACCGCAGCAGTTGGCTTCTCCAGTTCACTGGTGGGCCTGCACCGCAGCAGTTGGCTTCGCCAGTTCACTGGTGGGCCTGCACCGCAGCAGTTGACTTCTCCAGTTCACTGGTGGGCATGCACCGGAGCAGTTGGTTGGTTGTCCTGAGCATACCACCAGGGGGTTAAAGTGTTTTCAGGCTGGAAGCATTTGACACCATGGCTCCCTGGGGTCTGTGGAGGTTCTGAGGCAAGGACTTTCCTTGCAGGTCTGTTTACCCAGCAGAGAGGGCAGTAGGGTCTGAATGGTGTGGTGCACGTGGTGCCACGTGGTTTTGAGACGTGCTGGGAACTGGTTTTGTTGGATGACTCGCTCTAGACCACAGTGGCAGTGTTGAAGCTTTCCAGCCACGGCTCTGTGGATGTGTGCAGTGTTGGGAATCAGGCTGGGCTGCCCTTGTTCCTTCTTTACATTCCTCAGACGTTGTGCTTTACAGCCACAGTTTCAGTAACCGCTGCCAGAGCCCCACCTGTGCGTGTTCTCCAGGATGGCTGCGTCTGGGCTCTGGGCGACTGAACCAGGTGCAGAGCGTCAGCCACAGCTGACGACTGCACTGCACTGGACTCCAGCCTGGGGCTCCCACCCCTGTGGCTGCACAGGAGACAAAACAACAACACTTGTTCCTTTGAAGCTGTTTGTTTTTTGTTTTGAGATGAAGTTTCACTGTTGTCACCCAGGCTGGAGTGCAGCGGTGCAATCTCAGTTCACTGCAACCTCCACCTCCTGGGTTCAAGCGATTCTCCTGCCTCGGCCTCCTGAGTAGCTGGGATTACAGGTGCCCACCACCATGCCCAGCTAATTATTGTATTTTTAGTAGAGACAGGGTTTCACCATGTTGGCCAGGCTGGTCTCGAACTCCTGACCTCAGGTGATCCACCTGCCTCGGCCTCCTGAAGTGTTGGGATTACAGGCGTGAGCCACCGCGCCCAACTAATTTTTGTATTTTTAGTAGAGGCAGGGTTTTACCATGTTGGCCAGGCTCATCTCGAACTCCTGACCTCAGGTGACCCACCTGCCTTGGCTTCCCAAAGTGCTGGGATTACAGGCGTGAGCCATCACTCCCAGCCACACCCGGCTAATTTTTGTATTTTTAGTAGAGACGATTTCACCACGTTGGCCAGGCTGGTCTGGAACTTCTGACCTCAGGTGATCCTGCCTCAGCCTCGCTAAGTGCTGGGATTACAGGCGTGAGCCACCACACCCAGCCACTCTGGCTCTTTTGGGACATAATTTTTGACCTTAAAGTTGCAAGAACAGTGCACAGAATTCTCACACCAGCTTCACCCCAGATTCCGCAAATGTTAATGCTTTGCTGAGTTTGCTTATCTTTCCCCATGCACACGCACATTTTTCTGGAGTTGGAGAGTTAGTTGCAGGTGTGATGTCACTTCACCCCTAAATACTTGAGTTTCCTGAAAACAAAGACGTGCTCTTACATAGCACTAATAGTCCTAATAAAGTCCTTTGTAACAAAAGCAAGCCCTGGACCCCACGTGGCATCGCTGGTTGAACCCTCAAGAGTCAGCTCCTTCGTCTTTCTTTCTTTCTGTATCATTGCCTGGTTTAGTAGGACATCCCTCAGTTAGATCGCAGCTGTGCACTCTGGTGAGACTGTCCCAGAGCCTGCGTTTAGTGAAGGTGGTGTCTGTTGTAAAAAGTTACAACTTTTCCTGTTGTAATTCAGTATCTTGAAAGAGATACTTTGTTACCACATAAATACATTTGCACCAAGCTGACCCACATTTTGGGTATCTGTCAGTGATTCCTGCTTGAATCGCTTCATTTCTAGGATGATAGTCCAGTGGTGGTGTTCTCAATTCCAGCATTTCTTCTCCACTTTTTGGTTGACTTTCTGCCGTAAGAACAAATAAGGCCAGGCGTAGTGGCTCACGCCTGTAATCCCAGCACTTTGGGAGGCCAAGGTGAACAGATCACCTGAGGTCAGGAATTCGAGACCAGCCTGGCCAATATGGTGAAACCCCATCTCTACTAAAAATACAAAAATAGGCGTGATGGTGCGCACCTGCAGTCCCAGCTACTCGGGAGGCTGAGGCAAGAGAATCACTTGAACCCCAGAGGCAGAGATTGCAGTGAGCTAAGATCACACCACTGCACTGCAAACTAGGTGACGGAGCGAGACTCCGTCACAAATAAGTAACATGTCTATTTAGCAGTGTAGGCTCATGGTTTCTTATTTAATGGCTTATAATCTGTTATTGTTATTATTTGCCTTGACACAAAACTTATCCCAGCTGTGGCCGGCGGGATCCCCGTGGTGCTGGTTCCCGGCGGCTGAGTCTTGAGGCATTGCCGCCTTGTCTGCATAACGGATTCTAGGCTGCTGCTCTCCTGGCCACAGTCCTGGAATCAGCCATTCTCCAACAAATCCTGCTGCTTCTTGGTGGAGAATGACATTTAGAAACCCAAGGTCTAGGTGCAAAAAATACACTCTTCCCTCTAAATACATTTCTACACTCAGAATGTTGGAACTTAGGGAAGACCCTGGAGCCCTCCTGATCTGTAGAAGGAAGGGAGAAGGTTGGACCCACCTGGAGGCGATGCTCAGAGGTGATGGCGTCCATGGTCCAGGCCCAGCCCGTAGCCCTCTCTGATGTACCCATGCCCTCGGACCTCCCCTGAGAGAGCTGAGAGGCCAGAACCCCACAGAGTTTGGTACTTACTATACTTGTGTATTTTGAGGCAAATAACTTGTTTAGAAGTTGCATGTCATGGCTTTCTCATGGATTTTCTTTAGGACAAACCAGAAAACATTTATTGGTGACTGATTGGACGTTTTTGGGCTGAGCTCTTTGGTTGGGTGTTTTTACGTTTGTGTATCCGCATTCAAGAATCCACAACGTGTCACACCCCTTTTTAAGGTGTGGAGACGTTTCTCTGCCTGGAGCGTGGAGGCTGGAATGAGAGCGTTCAGGGCTTTTCACCCCTGTTTTCTGTCAGCATCTGCAAAGACGAAGTGTAGAAATGTCTCGTATTAAGAAAAGACATTGCTCTCTGCTCCCTGTCTGCACGCGGGTTTCCCAGCCTTTGCACACACAGACATTCTGAGCCAGATGGCCTGGCTGGGAGCATCCTGCATGCTGTGGGTTGCTGAGCAGCTTCCCTGCCTCCAGGTGTGATATCCAGGAGTGTCTCCAGCCACTACAGGAGTCCTGGGGTGGGGGGTGGAGCAGAGCCTGCACTAGAATAAGACAGTCAGAACCTTTCAACCGCAGTACAGAAAATTACGTGACTCCGACGTGGCCAGTATGCGAGTGATTTTCTACGAAGGCCTGTGTTTGGTCACGTTGCTGGAAGCCTGCGGAGTGCTGCCTGCGTGCACTGGGCGCAGGTGCCCTTGGCGTCAGGAGCCGGCCTTGTCTCTGCCACCGGGACCTTGCGTGGTTGCCATTTCCAGCCCTCACCTGCTTCCTACTCGTCTGTCAAGACCCAGCTGTTACAGCTGCTGTGACACTGTTCTAGAAGCTTCCTTCCTCGTGTAGAACTAGGCATCTGCTGTAGTCATCTGCCGGTGGCACCTCCGTCTTGCAGTCGCTCTCGTCTGACTCGTATTACACTGTTGGTGACAGCAGGCAGTGCGCACCCGACTCAGCTTATAGTCAACTTTCTTCAGACCTCAGGCTGCGCTGGTGGCCCAAGGGAGGCTGTTTGTGGGAAGCAGGGCCAGCTTACACTCGCTCTTAGACCTGTGCTGGGGAAGGCAGGTGGCACCTGGGCTTGCTACCAGCCCTTCCTTGGAGCAGGAGGCCCCCGTCCTTTGTGGCAGCCTAGTGTCAATGTGCGACGGGTCACACAGCTTCCCAGGCAGGACTCGGGCTGGGGAACAGTGGACAGCTCCCAGGGTGGACTCGGGGTGGGGAGGAGTGGACGGCTCCCAGGGTGGACTCGGGGTGGGGGAGGAGTGGACGGCTCCCAGGGTGGACTCGGGGTGGGGGAGGAGTGGACGGCTCCCAGGGTGGACTCGGGGTGGGGAGGAGTGGACGGCTCCCAGGGTGGACTCGGGGTGGGGAGGAGTGGACGGCTCCCAGGGTGGACTCGGGGTGGGGGAGGAGTGGACGGCTCCCAGGGTGGACTCGGGGTGGGGGAGGAGTGGACGGCTCCCAGGGTGGACTCGGGGTGGGGAGGAGTGGACGGCTCCCAGGGTGGACTCGGGGTGGGAGAAGAGTGGACGGCTCCCAGGGTGGACTCGGGGTGGGGAGGAGTGGACGGCTCCCAGGGTGGACTCGGGGTGGGGGAGGAGTGGACGGCTCCCAGGGTGGACTTGGGGTGGGGGAGGAGTGGACGGCTCCCAGGGTGGACTCGGGGTGGGGGAGGAGTGGACGGCTCCCAGGGTGGACTCGGGGTGGGGGAGGAGTGGACGGCTCCCAGGGTGGACTCGGGGTGGGGAGGAGTGGACGGCTCCCAGGGTGGACTCGGGGTGGGGAGGAGTGGACGGCTCCCAGGGTGGACTCGGGGTGGGAGAAGAGTGGACGGCTCCCAGGGTGGACTCGGGGTGGGGAGGAGTGGACGGCTCCCAGGGTGGACTCCGGGTGGGGAACAGTGGAGAAAACCTTTGCAGAACACACTCTGCAGGCGTTTGTCAGCCGTTGATCCATTTGTGTGAAGCCCCACTGGCTGGAAGGTGCCCCCCGCCCGCCATGGAGTTTTCTGGGCACCTTGGTGGGTCGTCTGTCGGTCATACCTTTGAGTCTTTCTGGACTCCTCTGTTCCATGCGTTTATGTTGTATGCCTGATAAGTTCTGAAGTCAGGTAGTAAAAGTTCTCTGTTATTTTTGAAAATTGAGATTCTAGGTTTTCTGAACTTCCATATAAATTTCAGAAGCAACTTGTCAATTTCTACAAAAAAACACCTGTTTATTGGTTAAACTAGAGCCACCCCAGATCCTTCTTCATGTTAACATGTTTAGGAGAGATTGGCAAAATCCTCCTAGTTCATATTTGAGGATTCCTTTCCCTCTCTTCCCCTTGCAGGGGGTAGAGCAAGGAGGAGCCCGCGGTGAGCTGGTGTCTTGCATGGGGCAGGGGGTAGAGCGAGGAGCCCGCCGTGAGCTGGTGTCCTGCGTGGGGCAGAGGGTAGAGCAAGGAACCCGCCGTGAGCTGGTGTCCTGTGTGGGGCAGGGGGTAGAATGAGGAGCCTGCCATGAGCTGGTGTCCTGTGTGGGGCAGGAGCTGTGCAGAGTTTCCTTGCAGAAGGCTGATTGCAAAATGATGTCAGCTGGAGACCAGGGAAGCCTGTTAGAGGGGCTGGGGCTCCCAAGTGGGGTTGCTGCCAGGACTGGGGGAGCAGTGCCCAGGGAAAGGACGTGGGGCCATTGGGAGGACTGGGTTTGGGTGTTGGCGGTGGGGCCGCAGAGCCCTGTGGATGGACGAAAACAGCTCAGCCGGGGAGTTGGGGGCTGCCAGGCATCGGAGAGGAGCCTGGATGTGGAGGCCCCGAGTGCGATGGCGGTAGGGACACAGACTCCTGGGCGGGGATGGCCCCTGTGGCCTCAGCAAGCAGGGAGCAGGTGTCCCTGAGGCCTGTGAAGCCTGGCAGTGTCTTTGAGCAGGTGTGGTGACCGGGAGGGAGGATGGTCCAGTGTGGGGTTTGTGCGTTTTTTTTGTTTTTGTTTTTGTTTTTTTTCAGAGATTGGGTTTTTAGGTTAAGTCTCTGCTCATTGGGGCATTTTAGGGCAGAACTCTAATCATTCATTGTAAAGTATTTTGATAAAATTAAGGAAATCATACTTGTCACCTTAGAAAGTTTAACACACTTTTTCAAACAAGGTGTCACTATTTTGTTGTCTGGTTTAAGAAAAAAACCTGATACAGGTTGAGTCTCCCATATCCAAACTGCTTGGAAACAGAAGTGTTTTGGATTTCTGGGTTTTTTTGGATTTTGGAATATTTGCACGTATACATGACGAGATGTCTTGGGGATGGGACGTGAGTAAACGCGGAATCCATTTGTGTTGCACATGCACTGTGTACGCACAGGCCCAGGACCCGGAGGAGCTCAGATTCTTGATAGTCACCGGCAGCCCACTCCATCCCCGAGGGCTCGGAGCCCCGCACCGTGTGTCCTCAGCACCGTTCCTCCTCCAGGGTGATCCGCACACGCCCATCCTCCTCCCCAGGAAGAACTCCCCTCCACTCCCCTCCAGGCTACAGACCCGCCCCTCCCATTCTCCCTGCAGGATGCTGGCTACAGACCCGCCCCTCCGAGTCTCCCTGAAGGATGCAGGCTACAGACCCGCCCCTCCGCTCCCCTGCAGGATGCAGGCTGCAGACCCGCCCCTCCCAGTCTCCCAGCACAGCCTGCCATGGCACAGTGGGCATGGAGGATGTGGCTCCGCCTTGTTTCCGCCTGTGGCCTGATCCTTGCGCCCTCTCGATGACATGGCTGGGGGTCTTGGTGGGCCATGGGGCATCCCGCCTGGAAAGGTCCCATTGACAGATGCAGCTTGGGTGGCTGTCTCATGTCCGCGGGTCAGGGTGGTCGGAGCAGCCCGGCTGGGACGGGAGTGTGGGGGCTGTGAGCACCTAGGGGCGGGTGCTGAGTGCTGGGCGGCCTCATGTCTGCAGGGCAGGGTGGTCGGAGCAGCCCGGCTGGGATGGGAGTGTGGGGGCTACAGGCACCTAGGGGTGGGCGCTGAGTGCTGGGCGGTCTCATGTCCACGGGGTGGGGTGGTCGGAGCAGCCCAGCTGGGACGGGAGTGTGGGGGTTGCGAGCTCCTAGGGACACTGAGTGCCGGGCAGCCTCGTGTCCGCGGGGCGCGGTGGTCGGAGCAGCCCGGCTGGGATGGGAGTGTGGGGGCTACAGGCACCTAGGGGTGGGCGCTGAGTGCTGGGCGGTCTCATGTCCACGGGGTGGGGTGGTCGGAGCAGCCCGGCTGGGGTGGGAGTGTGGGGGCTGCGGACACCTAGGGTCAGGCGCTGAGTGCTGGGTGGTCTCATGTTCGCAGGGTGGGGCGGTCGGAGCAGCCCGGCTGGGGTGGGAGTGTGGGGGCTGAGGGCACCTAGGGGCGGGCGCTGAGTGCCAGGCGGCCTCTGGTCTCATAGCCTTCAGATTTCAGCACTTCTTCCATGGCTTCTGCCAGAAGACCACTGTTTGGACAAATAAAACAGTTTGTGTTTATATAAAACGAACATTACAGTCATTTTGTCAGGAAAATGTAGTTGCATCAGCCTCTGTCTAGACTGGGAATGATATGAAAGTTTTAGATTTTATAAATTCTCTAACGGAAATGTCAGAGGATCACATATAAATAGTGTGTTTTGAGACAACTTTATGTTATCCCCAAGTCTCCTCTTTGGACCAGACATCCTTAGTTTTTTCAGCTGTTCCACGGGTGGCACGGGGGTGGTGAGGTGTGGTGGCGTGTCATTTTTCATGAGAGACACCTGTAGGTGGAAAGTCCTTTCATTTTATAGACAAAGAAATGCCCTCAAGGGGTGATGTCACCTGCCTACAAAGTTATGCAAGGGTTAGTGTAGAATTGGTACAAAAACCTAGATTTTAAAATTCTTACTTGGGGGCTCTTTTGATAAACCAAGAGATTTTAAAGTGTTGTTCCCCTTGTGTTTTTTTGTAGAGCGGTTCTGGTGAGGTTGGAAGGATGCAGCCACCCGGTTGTCATGAAAGGCCTGTGTGCTGAATGTGGCCAAGACCTCACCCAGTAAGTATCCGGAAGAGTGAGATCGCTGCCTGCTGGGGCTCGAGGTGGTGGCCTCCGGGGAGTCCGAGAAGCTGTGCTGGGAACACAGTGAGGCCCTTGGTTTCCCAGCGGCAGATGCAGACGCCTCCCTTGGGCCCCATACGAGTCACACTCAATGGGTTTCCCTGGAGGCAGTCCTTCCTGCTCTGTGACCCCAGCCTCATGCCATTCTCAGGTGTGGTGGGGGGGCATGCTGGAGGGCCGAGACCTGTTTTCTCCTGACTGAAGACGCAGATCGCTGAGTGCCTGGAGCAGCCCCTCCCTCTGGGCCGCTGAGCGCCCCATGCTGGGGGCTGCTTTACCTCTAATGCCAAGTGGGAGGTGCGGCAGCTACTTTTTCTGCGTTTTCATGGTTGAGGGCCTGTTTCTGCTTCTGTGTGACTTTGCAGTTTGTTTTCATGAAGGACTATGGCTCTGTGTGTTCATGAGTGTGGCCACGAGCTCAGTGTTTCCACCAGTTTTCCTGTCTGTGGAGAATGTTTCCACGTTTGCCGACAGAATCAAGTCTGTGCTAAGATAGCAGCGTGTGTCCGTTAAAACATCAGCTAGAATCCTGTCACTTAGAGCCCAGTGTGCATCTGTGCGCAGAGACTCAGCTGAAAGCCCTGAACCTGTCCTTGCACTTGCAGGTTGCAGAGTAAGAACGGGAAGCAGCAGGTGCCGCTGTCCACGGCGACCGTGTCCATGGTGCACAGCGTGCCGGAGTTGATGGTGAGCTCCGAGGTGAGCCGGGCATCAGTGGCGGCGTGTTGGGGAAGCGTGGTGCTCTGAGGAGGGCGGCTGCAGGAGGAGGGTGGCTGCAGAAGCACGGACGTGTGGTTGTCATCGTCGTTACTGAAACAACCCCTCATCACACGGATGACTTATGGGACTGCGGCCTTCCTGAAGCAGGGACGGTTGCCCTTGGTTCTCCACAGACAAGTCTGCCTGCAAAAGCGACTCAGGGCCCCGAGGCTGTGTGACCTGCGTGTCGGGAACACCAGGTGCTGCCGCCGCAGCTGTGAACAGCCAGGCTCAGCCTGGGTTCCCTTGAGCCAAGTCCTAACTGGGGAGGGATGTGACAGCTGCTCATGGAGCTCAGGAGGTGGCCGCGCTGCCGAGGCATGTGCTGGATGACCCGGGAGGGCAAAGCGCATATTGGGGCAGATAATGGCGAGGAGTCGGTGGCCGGGGGTAGGGGCGGGGGGACGTGGTTGGTAGCACCTTGTTGGCTACAGGAGCGGCTGCTGCTGGCACCATTGGGAAGCTGGCTCGGGAGAGTGGGCACATGCAGGGGCGGGTTGGGGGTCCCAGGAGTGTTTGCCTTGTAGCCGACAGGAGAGCCCATGGGGGGTACGCAGGGTGGAGAGGACGGGCAGGTGTTCACGTGCCCAGTTAAGAGTGAGATGGGTTTTTATCTTCGAGTGCTACGCCTCGTTTATGTATTTCAGGAGTTGCTGGGGCACTGTGGGTCAGCGGCTCCGGGCACCTCCTGTGCTTGAGGCAGACACCGTCTCCCCGACCTCGCTTCACCCCGTGGGTGAAAATGCTCTGGGAGCTGAGAAAAACTAGTTTGTGATCTTACAGACTTTCAGGGCTGCACAGTTTTGTAAATAGGTAAAACACTTTCCAGTGTTACGATTTTAGTAAATTCGTGCTTTTAAATGATGGACACCAATTTCAGTCTATCTTTTTATGGGAAAAGCAAAATGCCAGATACAGGATTCTGGGTTTTCTGAATTACCAAACTTTAAACAAATGTAAAATGTGTATGCGTAAACCAAAGCTGGCAAGTTTGAGGGTGAAGGGAGGAGGAAGTACCCCCCATCTTTCTGGCACCTGCCAGCCCTTCCGTGCGTTTCCCTTCGGGGATGGGCACGGGAGGAGGTCCCCCCTGAGCGGGACCAGGATTTTGTTGTGAAGAGTGAGGGCCAGTTACAGTGAGAAAGGCAGCGTGGTGCGTCACATCCCGTGTCCCATGCCGGGCTCCTGATGCCGGGGTGACCGGGCCCTTGTTAGGAGCTCCACTCTGGGCCCCGCGTGGAGGGACACCCCGATGCGCTGTTGCCAGGCCCCCGGGTCTCTTCGAGGCACAAGAATAGGCTGAGCGTGGAAGGTTCTGAGCGCGGGAGATTCTGAGCGCATTGCCCTTACCAGTCTCTGCTGCCCAGCTTGGGCCACCCAGCGTCTCCCAGCCGGCCGACTTGGTTTCTTCATTAATTTTGCAGTTCACTTTTATTGAGCACTCCATACTGTTGAATCCAGCTTTTATAGAAACAACCAGTTTCCCTTCCCCCTCCGTTTTCATTGGCTCATGTATTTAACTGAATTATAAAATTGTGGTCACAAGCGAGGTTGCCGTGACCAGGTTGGTGACCCAGCCCTGCCTCTCGGCCTGTACGGCGCAGTCCATGGAGCGTGGGGGGCTGGAGGGGAACACATTGATATAGTTTTGTGTTTCTCGATGAAATGGAGTTTTACCTTGGATGCAAACATACTGACTTTGTCATTTCTTGTTTCTTTTTAATTGTAGCAAGCTGAACAGCTGGGAAGAGAAGACCAGCAGCGACTGCACCGAAACCGGAAGCTGGTGCTCATGGTGGACTTGGACCAGACGTTGATTCACACAACCGAGCAGCACTGTCAGCAGATGTCGAATAAAGTGAGTGCAGTCAGCATCTACGGACAGTTTCCCAGGAACCGCGGGTCCTAGAATTTTGATTCAGAAGTGTGTTCTCTTGTTTTTTAGATGATTTCCCGTAGGTCAGCCTGGGTTTGGAAAGCAGACTTGCTAGTTCTGGGCGTGGGCCGTGTGTCTGCTGGGCTGTTGGGGAGCATCCGCGGCTCCCGGGCAGACATCCCGACGCCCACTGTGTCTCACGCTTCCTTCCGTGTGTGTGGGAACCCTTTGTGTGCCTGCCCGGCACGATGTCGGAGAAGGCAGAAACGTCCCGAGCCTGTGAGGATGGTGTGGTGGATGGTGCGAGGCGTGTCCTGAGAGGGGCAGTCTTGGTGGGGAGGACGTTGGTGTTGGATGCCTTTATGTTGCTAGGATGTCAAGGGCAGGTGGACGCCTGGGTTTGTGCTTGGGAGAACTGGGCTGGAGGAAAAGCCTGGGTGGGAGGTGACCAGCGTACATTCTCCAGGGGAAACACGGGGAAATGCAGGGTGAGGGCAGAACCCTGTTTAATGCACACGAAACCCTTCCTGTGCCTCAGCTGTGTCCTCAGGATGGAACCAGAGAAGCTGAATTTCTAGACCGAAGGCTTTGAATGTCTGTGCCCAGAGGCTTGCGCAGAGGCTTGTGTCGGCCTAGACGGTGGCCATCAGGGAGGCCCTCACCAACACTGAGTTGTTTTTTAAGTGTTTGCTATTGAACAGTATGTGGACTCTGGCGTTAGATTTGGGATTTCAGAGGCCCATCAGTTCTGACCTTACCAGTTCTAAAGGTTCCTGGGGATCCTGCAGGTCCCAATAGCAGACACCCAGCAGGCTGGAGGATGCACCACGGAGCCGGGCATCCTCCGCTGCTGAATGCCGGGGCGTGGTACCAACAGCTGGGACAGATTGATGACAGTTACACATAAGTCAAATTTGTGACAAGCTTCATCTGGAAGAAGTTTGGTTAAGTTTGGCCTTGTAAGTCAGTCAGGTGGTCAGGGTGAGCTGCACAGACCCCCCAGGTGGCACAAACTCTCGCGTTTTATGCTGTTTGCAGAATGGAGAGAATCGAGTAACTGCCGTGCTGCACAGGAGTTTGTTTAGGGCCGGAATTCAGGTCTAACCCACAAAACAGCTTCTATTTCTGGCTGTGTTAGTCATTTGTGTGTCTCGTGGCATCTTACACAGCAGTCTATTCTTCTGTGCAGTATAAACTGTGACTAGATATTTTCAGATTGCTTCGTTCATACCCGCTACTCTACTCACTAAGGTTTTTTGTTTGTTTGTTTTTGAGACAGAGCCTCACTCTGTCACCCAGGCTGGAGTGCAGTGGCAGGATCTTGGCTCACTGCAAGCTCTACCTCCCGAGTTCACGCCATTCTCCTCCCTCAGACTCCCAAGTAGCTGGGACTACAGGTGCCCGCCACCACACCTGGCTAATTTTTTGTATTTTTTTTAGTAGAGACGGGGTTTCACCGTGTTAGCCAGGATGGTCTCAATCTCCTGACTTTGTGATCCGCCTGCCTCGGCCTCCCAAAGTGCTGGGATTACAGGCATGAGCCACCGCGCCCGCCCAAGGTTTTTTTTTTAATGCCTATTTTCTGACAAACTAGGTATTTTGAAGGATGTAAGGACTTTATGAAAATACATTCTGCACACATATACCTTCATGAGTTGCTGTGGCTGTTTCCTGCTTTTATTGTGCCTTTGAAGTTGGGCATTGAGTGAGTTTTACAGGCACACCTCATTTTATGGTGCTTCACTGATACTGTGTTCACAGGGAGGAGGCTCGGAGCAACCTGGCGAGCACGTCTGCAGGTGCCATTTTCCAGCAGCATGTGCCCCCAGGTGTTGTGCCACGCTCTGGAAATTTCCCGTGTACTTCAGCCTCCTCGTTAGTGCTCTGCTGTTACAGGGAGCTGTAGTCAGTGATCTTTGAGGTCACTGTTGTCATAGTTGCTTCATCAGTGTTCTGTCAGCTATAGGGATTTGTGGTCAGTGATCTTTGAGGTCACTGTTGTCATTGTTTTGGGGTGCCACGAACCACACCCACATAAGACGGCAAACGTAATGGGTAGATGTGTGTGTCCTGACTGCTCCACCAACTGGCCATTCCCTGTCTCTGTCCCGGTGCTCAGGCCTCCCTATTCCCTGAGACATAACAGTATTGAAATTAGGCCAGCGTAGTAACCCTACAGTGACCTCTGAGTGTTCAAGTGGGAGGAAGGCTCACCAGTCTCTCACTTTAAATCAAAAGGTAGACGTGATTATGCTTAGTGAGGAATGCACGCCAGAAGCCAGGAAAGGCTGCAAGCTGGTCCTCTTGCACTAAACAGCCAAGGTGTGAATGCAAAGGAAAAGTTCTTGAAGCAAACTAAAAATACTACTTCAGTGAACACACAGATGATGAGACAGTGAAACAGCCTTATTGCTGAGAAAGAGAAAGTTTTAGTGGTCTGAGTAGAAGATCAAACCAGTCACAACATTCCCTTAAGCCAAAGCCTAATCCAGAGCAAGGCCCCAACTGTCTTCAATTCTGTGAAGGTTGAGAGGGGTGAGGAAGCTGCAGAAGAAAAGCTGGAAACCAGCACAGGTTGGTTCATGAGGGTGAAGGAAGAAGCCGTCTCCGTAACACAAAAGTGAAGGTGAAGCAGCAGGTGCTGTTGGAGAAACTGCGGCAAGTTCCCCTGGAGATAGGCTGAGATCACTGATGAAACTAAACACGCTAAACAACAGATTTTCAGTGCAGACAAAACAGCCTTCTGTTGGAAGAAGATGCCGTCTAGGACTTTCATAGCTGGAGAGGAGAAGTCAGTGTCTGGCTTCAAAGGACAGGCTGACTCTCTCGTTGGAGACTAACTAATGCAGCTGGTGACTTTAAGTTGAAGCCAGTGCTCATTTGCCATTCTGAAAATCCCAGGGCCCTTAAGAATGATGCTAAATCTCCTCTGCCTGTGCTCCATCCATGGAACAACAAAGGCTGGATGACAGCACCTCTGTTCACAGCATGGTTTACTGACCATTCTAAGCCCGCTCTTGAGACCTGTTACTCAGAAAGAGAGATTCTTCTAAGAAATATTCCTGCTCATTGACCATGCACCTGGTCACCCAAGAGCTCTGATGGAGACGTACAGGAGAGGAATGTTGTTTTCATGCTGCTGACACCACATCCACCCTGCAGCCCAGGGCTCAAGAAATGATTTCCAGCTTCAAGTCTTATTATTTAAGAACTACATCTCCTGGCCAGGCGCGGTGGCTCACACCTATAATTCCAGCACTTTGGGAGGACAAGGCGGGTGGATCACGAGGTCAGGAGATCAAGACCATCCTGGCTAATGCGGTGAAACCCTGTCTCTACTAAAAATACAAAAAATTAGCCGGGTGTGGTGGCGGGTGCCTGTAGTCCCAGCTACTCGGGAGGCTGAGGCAGGAGAATGGCGTGAACCCGGGAGGCGGAGCTTGCAGTGAGCCACGATCGCACCACTGCACTCCAGCCTGGGTGACAGAGCAAGACTCCATCTCAAAAAAAATAATAAATAAATTAAATAAATAAATAAATAAATAAATAAATAAATAAATAAATAAAAGAGCTACATCTCCTAAGGCTGGAGCTGCCTTAGAGAGCAATTCTGATGAATCTGGGAAAATCAAACAGAAAATCCTTCTGGAAAGGATTCACCATTGTGACATTGCAAGTGCCACCAGGAACATTTGTGATTCATGGGAAGAGGTCAGAGTATCTGCATCAACCAGGAGTTGGGAAGATGTCGATTCCAACCCTCAGTTCGGAAGATGTTGATTCTGACCTTCATGGATGACTTCCAGGGCTTCGAGACCCCAGCGGAGGAAGGAGCTGCAGGTGTGGTGGAAATAGCGAGAGAATTAGGAGTGGAGCCTGAAGATGACTGAACTGCGGCAACTTCAGGATGAAACTCGAACAGATGAGGAGTTGCTTCTTACGGATGAGCAAAGAAAGTAGTTTCTTGAAATGGAATCTGCTCCTGGAGAAGATGCTGCGAATGTTGTTGAAATGACCAAAAAGGATTTGGAAGATTCCATCAACTTAGTTGGTAAACCAGCGGCAGGGTCTACGAGGATTGCTCCTAGTTTTGAAAGCAGTTCTTCTGTGGGTAAAACGCTGTCAAACAGCATTGCATGCTACAGAGAAACCTTTTGTGAAAGGAAGAGTTGATTGATGGGACAAACTTCATTGTCATCTTATTTCAAGAAATCATCACAGCCACCCCCAGCCTTCAGTAAACACCCCTCTGATCAGTCAGCAGCCATCAGCATCAAGGTGAGACCCTGCGCCGACAGAAAGACTATGACTTGCTGAAGGTTCAGATGGTTGTTAGCATTTTTTAATCATAAAATTATTTTTTATTTTTTATTTTTTAATTTTTTGAGACGGAGTCTTGCTGGGTTGCCCAGGCTGGAGTGCAGTGACACGATCTCTCTATCCTGCAACCTCCACCTCCCGGGTTCAAGCCATTCTTGTGCCTCAGCCTCCCGAGTAGCTGGGACTACAGGCGTGTACCACCACACCCAGTTAATTTTTATATTTTTAGTAGAGACGGGGTTGTGCCATATTGGCCAGGCTGGTCTCGAACTCCTGACCTCAAGTGATCCTCCCGCCTCGGCCTCCCAAAGTGTTGGGATTATAGGCATTGAGCCACCACGCCCGGTGATTTTTAATAATAAAGTATTTTTAAATTAAGTTAGGTACATTGTTCTTTTAGATATAATGCTATTGAATGTTTAATAAGCTGCAGTAGAGTGTCAGCATGGATTATATTCACTGGGAAACCAAAAAATTCATGTGATTCTCAGTATCTCCAGGATAGGCCTGCTGAAGACAGTGGAGTCTAGTTATAATGTGGCTGTTTCTCAGTTGTGTGGTCTGGAAGGTGACAGTGTCCTGATGTAGTGGGGAGGGGGGTCTAAGCATGAACGGTCTGTCCTCTGCCTCCTCAGTAGCAGTAGTGTGCCCCACTTGACATCCAGAGGAGACCCTGAGGCTGGTGCCTGGCCCTACTGCTGGCCCCTCTGAAAGCAATTTCAGGGATCAGAAGTGGTGCTGGCCACAGCTCCCGAAGCCTGGACAGCTGCTGGACTTTTTACTGTTGAGTAATGGGAAAGTTGTTACTAGAACTTCTCACTCCTAAATATTTGACAGAGTAGCTTCTTCATGACGGTCGTGACTAACTTAGAGCTAGAAAAATGTAACTGGGAAAGTTGTTACTAGAACTTCTCACTCCTAAACCTTGAACAGAGTAGCTTCTTCATGAGGGTCGTAACTAACTTAGAACTAGAAAAATGTAACTGAGCTTAAGTCATCTACCTTTTTTTAAAGCCATTAAGAGTAAATATTTTACTGAGAAAATAACAGGATTTAAAGGATCGAAGTTTAGCTTCCTAAGGAAAGCAGACTCATTTGCATGTCGATCATATGTAAGCGAGTCGGTGTTGCTCATTTCACTGTCTACTAAATATGACTTAGAATACTTTCAGCTTTTATGTTGTATATGTAGATGAAAGAAACTGTCTGAAAATCACCCATGCGTTATACCAGGTTACCCGGGAATGTTGATTTCCTTTATTCAGTAGCTCAGGAAAACACTGTCAGCACGTGATGTTGGTGGAGGTCTGTTCCGAGCAGCTGCGGTGGCCTTGCTGTGTAACACGTATCAGCGAGGAAACAAAGGCAGAAGTGACATCAGTGGTTAGCTCATAGTTAGTGTAGGTTGTTACTGTTGGCGTGGTTATCAGGGGTGGTTATGTCCTAGGCGGTCGTTGCAGGTAGGTAGTTACCAGGAGTAGTTAGTGTAGCTATCATCGGTGGTTATGTAGTTATCATAGGTGGTGACTGTTGGCGTGGTTATTGGGGATGGTTATCGTGTAGTTATCACAGGCTGTTACTCTTGGCTGGTTATCGGGGGTGGTTATCCTAGGCGGGTCGTTGCAGGCAGGTAGCTATTGTGAGTAGTTAGTGTAGCTGTCATCGGTGGTTATCATGTAGTTACCGTAGGCTGTTACTGTTAACGTGGTACCCAGGGTGGTTATCTTGAACAGTTGTTGCAGGTAGGTGGTTATCCTAGTTACCACGGGCAGTCAGTATTCACACTCACTGAGGGCATTCCCGCAGCAGAGAAGGCCGCACTCACTCACTCGTACCGCGTGCATGGAAACTACTTACACAGTGGGTTTTAAATGCCACGGGTAGCCCCTTGCACCAGTTAGGGTCACGTCCTTATTTGGAGGGTCAGGCGGACATGCGTCCTCTGTCCCACGTGGAGAGGTGTGTGCACACTCCTATCCCCTGTCCCATGTGGAGGGGCGGGTGCAAACGCATCCTCTGTCCCACGTGGAGTGGTGTGTCCACACGCATGTCCTCTGTCCCATGCCCACGTGGAGGGGCGTGTACACACGCATGTCCTCTGTCCCGTGTGGAGGGGCGTGTACACGCACACGTGTCCTCTGTCCCGTGTGGAGGGGCGTGTACATGCTCACATGTGTCCTCTGTCCCGTGTGGAGGGGCGTGTACATGCAAACGTGTATCCTCTGTCCCATGTGGAGGGATGGGCACATGTGTGTCTTCAGGACGCCTGTCTCAGGCACCCGTGTGTCTTCAGGACGCCTGTCGGGCACACGCGTGTCTTCAGAACGCTTGTCTGGGGCACACGTGTGTTCTCAGGATGCCTGTCTCGGGCACACAGGTTGCGGGGGCGGCCGGGGCTCCTCAGGCCTTTTCTCCCGACTGTTGCTACTATTCTTTTTAGGGCATCTTTCACTTCCAGCTGGGCCGGGGTGAGCCCATGCTGCACACGCGCCTGCGTCCACACTGCAAGGACTTCCTGGAGAAGATCGCCAAGCTGTACGAGCTGCACGTCTTCACCTTCGGCAGCCGGCTGTACGCACACACCATCGCAGGTCAGTCAAGCCGCAGCCGAAGAGGCCGTGTGAACAGTGGGTTTCTTTCCTGTTTTCGGTGATGGTTTCTTAAAGATGAAGAAAGAAAAGAAGCTCTCCTGCAACTCAGTTGTAGTCTTAGGGTTGGCCGTTGTGCAGGGGGTTGTGAGAGGTAAGGGAATTCTGCCACCAGGGCTGTTGGGTGGGGCCGCGGCTGCTCTGGCCGGGTGCGGTACTGGGTGGGCCGCTTTGGGAGTTTGTCAGGACCACATGGGCACGTGGAAACTTCTGCGAGCGTCCTCCGACAGATACCTTCTTAAATCAGTTCACAGGGACTTTGGGCCGGGCTGCTTGTGTGTGCTCTTGCTGGGTGCTGTCACTGCACACAGCATGATTGTCCCCTGCCTACACATGGGTACCCTTAGGGTTTAGCGTTTGCTTCTGTCTCCCTGGGTGATAGCGTGAATGCCAGGCTACGGTGCCCTCTGGGAGGCAGCACCAGCAGGACGAATCGAGGGGACAGTGCCACGGGACGGTGACTGTCCCATGTGGATGCAGTGAGGGGACGCCACAGGATGGTGACCGTCTGTCCTTCATGGACAAAGCGAGGGGACAAAGTGGGACAGCGACCGTCTGTTCCACGTGGACGAAGCAACGTCTGTCCCACGTGGACGAAGCAAGGGGACAGTGCGGGACGGCGACCGTCTGTCCCACGTGGACAAAGCGAGGGGGCTGCCACGGGACGGCGACCGTCTGTCCCACATGGATGTAGGCGCCGAGTGGCAGTGTAGGCAAGCTCCTCCGTACTGGCTCCAGAGGTTGTTAGACTGAGCATTTTAAAATTCAAAGGTCTTTCTAGATTGGTCTTAGTCTTTTGTTGTTGTTGGGGAAATGAATTTTGAATCCTCCTTTAATATTTAGTGCCTTTATAGGAAATTGTGATCATGACCTTTAATTCCTCTTGTAATTGAAATTTGAAATATTCACCTGTAACATTATGGCTGCTGCTGCATAGCTGCCTGAGACAGATGATGTGAAGACGAGTAATTATGCACAAGGGTGATATTGCTCACTTCCTCGGGCCAGTGAAGAAATAATGCCTGCTATGATCTGAGGGTTTTACAGCCCCCAAGTCCATGTGTTAAAACCCAGTCCCAGGGCGAGGGTGTTAGGAGGGGCGTGGGAGGTGGTGAGGTCCTGTGGACTCCATCCTCGTGAATGGAATCAGGGCCCTTACCCAGGTGGGCCCTGGGAGCTGCGGGAAATGCAGCAAGCCGGCGCCCACTGACCTGCAGCCAAGTTGCTGGCGCCGTGGTCGGACGCCGGCCTCCAGAACTGTGAGGAAGGGACGTGTGTTCCTGAGTCACCCACACTATGGAGTTTCTTTAGAGCAGCCCAGGCCGACTAAGCTGCCCACTGTGTGGAAATAGACCCCCAAATCCCCATGTGTTCCAGCCCCAGATTGTGCCGTTGCAGCCAGTGCCAGGCACCTCCCAGAGGACAACCCATAAGTCACACAAACCGCAGGGACAGTGACGCCCACTCAAACCAGACAACTGAGCGGGGCATCACTCTCACAATAACAAATGTCAGGGAAAGACTAAAAACCAGAAAATTATTCCTCACGCTCATCATATCCATGGCTGTCCCCTATTCTCTGGTTTTTTTTTTGTATGTATAATTTTGCCTAGTTTGTCTTAATATATGTACAAGTTTACATACCGTTCTTTTCACATAAGATTTCATCACTAAGAATTTATCCATCACGTTGTTATAAATCTTCATCATTTTATGTAAGATTTTTTTCCCTCCTCTGTGGACTGGATCCTCTGGGTGAGTTCCTAAAACCAGGATTGTTCGGTGAGGGAGTGGTTCCTGACCCCCAGGACTGTGAGGACTGCACGCCGCATGGCCTGCTCCCTGGGAGGGTGACGGGTTTGCCTCCCGCCTCCCACACAAGGCGCACACCAGCGGGCACAGCCCGGTGACCTGCACGTCTGAGTCCAGGATGCCAGTGATGTTTCTTCTCCTCCTGTCCCGTCTTCCATACGTTGATCTGGTGCCCGTGCAAGTGTTTCTCATTTCGGATTTCCTTCTCCAGGTCTCTCTCTGAAGCTGGGCTTCTTTAGGTTCGCTGTTTCACACGTCTTGCTTATCCTTTCCTGAGGTGCATCGATGTTTGCTGGTCAGAGCACACAAGCCCCAGTGAGGAGGAGCATGTGGAAGGCTCGGATCTGTTTAAATGCTTGGCTGGAGGGGTTTGGGCTAAAAGCAGAGGGTCCCAGGTTTTAGCCGGGCTACACCCTTGCCACCCGTCACACCAGCAGGCAGGGTATGGGTCACCACAGTCTGATTCCACGTTCATGAGGCCTCGTGTGGTGAGAGATGAAGCAGGTGACGAGAACGCCATGTTTCTTTATCAGCCTGAAAGCTGGAGGGAGCCTGGGAGCTGCTCGCAGATTCAGCAGAGCATCCATGCAGACATCCGCAGGCCTCTGAGCCGCTTAGACAGCAGAGCAGGGAGCCTGCTGGTGGGCGCTTGGCTGCGGAGAGCCTCGAGCGCGGGTCCTCCTGCAGTGAGACCAGCTAGGTTTGTTGAGCGTCACCGGGCCGTCTGGTGCCTTCTCCGTTTCAAGCTCTGCTTTCTATGCTAAAGTTCCAGCATTCCAACGTGTCCAAGGGATGTCGGCCAAAACCAGACGAAGACATCACAAGAAAACTGCAGACCAGTATCCCTTTGAACATGGATGCAGAAATTCTCAACAGAACATGGGCCCTCGAGCCCAGCAACGCAGGAGGAAGACTGTGTCCAGGCTGTGGTTCAGGAAGGCCGAGCTTTGCTTCATTGTGGCTGGCGGGATCTGTAGAGATGACCTGGGTCAGCTTTTCTACAAGTGAGAAAGTGAGGTCCGGACTGAAGCCTGAGGTGGTCGCCGAGCATCTGCTTTTGATGCTTTTCATTTTGAAAGTGACCGTGTTGATAGCATGCGTGCTTTCAGTATGACTAGGACAGAGATGTTAAGAGTTTGCGATGCGTGTCTTTTATCTGATAGTAGAGACGCTAATAATTCTATTAACAGACTTTAGATCTAGCGACTTCATGGCCTCAGTGATCATCTGGAATTTACGCATAGTGAGAAACAATCGCATTTATTTCTCCTTTAAGCCCAAGTATCTTTTGGTTAATGAAATACTAACAAACCAGTGGTATCAGGGAACGGAAAGCTCCTGGCAGTACTGCATTTGAAACGTCTGGAGGTGGTGATGCTTCAGCCAGGAAGCAGGTTCATCTTCCCAGAAGATCTTACGGATCCCACAGTGCATTGTGCATAGTGCCGTGGGGCTGCAGGGTAACTGAGGTGGTGCACAGAGCAGCTCTTCTGTTTTAATTGTAATGTGTATGTTTTAACCTGTATCAAAAACAGCAAATGTGTTTCTCGCATTTGTGATCTCAGAGGTGGTGGTGCAGAGGTTGAGCCCAGTAGGGATGGGTGCAGGGAGTAGTTGATTAAAAGCCAGCGTGAAAACAATAGTGATTATGTGGAGTGCAGTCAGGGCACGTTCAGATCCGGAAGTGGACCCCGTGTGCCACGTGGGGACGTGGAGCCAGGCGTTCCGGGGTGCATTCGGATCCGGAAGTGGACCCCGTGTGCCATGCAGAGGCGTGGAGCCAGGCGTTCCAGTGAGACTTAAGTCTTGAGAGAATGTGGGCTGCGTGGTTGGACTTTGGGTTCACAGTGCTTTTGAGATGTCTCATCTACCTCCTTTGCTTCATGCATAACTAACGGTTATGCAGGGGACCTGCGTGCCATGACAAGACCACAGTCCCAGCTCCCGACTCTGGACCGGCTCACTCTTGTGCAATCCAGTCCCCGTTTTGTTCCACGGCACCTGCACGTGTCAGGCCAGATAGAGGTTGTGTGTTAATGTGTTCAATTTTCTTACAATTTCAGCCTCTTGGGAGAGTAATAATTATGTTGTATTCATTCCCGCACCTTATATTCCTAGCAAAATTCCAAGTAATGTTAAACTCAGTAAATGTTAAATGATCGAATACCCTTAAACACGTTATGTGGGTGCCATGGAATACCTATCTCTTGAGGTATGTGCAGATTTATGGCTTCAGCCACTTGTATGATGAGTAGCTGAAACATTTCTTTTTGAGGCTTCATAATTAACCGTAGCTTTTTCTCTCCAGAATGTTTTAAATGGCTGGTGAAATTAAATTGACATTGAACTTGATGCCTCCAACATATTTTACCAATGGAATAAATTACCTGAAAGGTTGTTTTGTTTTTGTTTAGTACCCCTACTTCTACAAACTGAAATATGTTTCCTATATACTCTGTGGTTCTTGTAAACTAACAAGAGATAACTTATTTTTAAATTATCTTTATTTAAAAATATGAGCACTTTACTGTAAATTGAAGACTTTGCAAACTTAGGAAGATAACACAGTAGGCTTAAAGTTCAGAAGATAAATTTATAGATCAAGAAACCCAGAGCAGAGGTGATCCCAAGAAACCTCTGCCTGATTTGTTGATTTTCACAGTGGTGCTTCCTGAAGTGTAGAAGGGATGTTTGCAGATAGCTTGGTTTTACTATCTTTAAGGAGTCGAAGCTGAGCATCAAGCATGTGAAGCTCTTTAGAAAATTACTGTTAAAAAGTTAAACTAGACTTGTAATTAACGGATGTCATGTGAAGTGCAAGTGTCAAATGTAGCCTAAGCGGATTCTTCGCTGTGGAAGCACCTTCTGCACTAGCTGGTCAAGGTGGTGTCCCGGATGTCCTTCCTTCCCAGTCTCCTCTGTCAGGCAGGCTTCCTCGATGTTGCCTAAATTACCATTATTAAAACGTGTATAATAGTTAGAAATAACCGGCCTTTCTGTGTATTTCTACAACACAGAGTGTGAGTTTGTATAATTCTACTAAAGTAACTTGGGAGAAGCAAACTTCCTTGATAACCTTTCCTCCACTAACCATTACAGATGAGAGCAGTGGGCCACCCGCCTGGGGTTAGGAAAGATCATATCCGAGGTGACGCAGAGTAATTTCAGCTTAGTGTCCAGACTCCATCACGTGAAGAACCACATGCAGAGTGTTTTGAGATCAAATGATGACTTACCTGTTTTACTTATGCAAGTGCCTTCCATAATTTTCATATCCATCTGGTTTAGATAGGCACTTCAGTAAGATATTACAAATTTTTCATGTTAGTAGAATTATAAACACTTATCAACATGGTTTGTGTTTGAGAAATAAGTTCACCATAAGAGAAAAGAAGCCCCACACGAGCCACGTCTTACCTCAAAAGGGATGAAGTGTTTGGTGCCAGTTCATCATGTTGTGTGTCTGCCACTTTAAAAAAAACATTCAAGGCTTCACCATGTGCCGTGTGACCGAAACGTGTCTCAGGTATGTAATCTTTGTCCTGTTTTCTTTTCCAAGGCTTTTTAGACCCCGAGAAGAAGCTTTTTTCTCACCGAATATTATCAAGGGATGAATGTATTGACCCATTTTCTAAAACGGGAAACCTTAGGTATGTACCCAGCCGCGCTCCTCACAAAGACCTCGCTGTTCATTTCCCATTTCAAAAATCGCATCTTGAAATTTAGAGCAGTATTTCTTTTTTTCTTTTTTTTTGAGACGGAGTCTTGCTGTTGCCCAGGCTAGAGTGCAGTGGCGCGATCTCGGCTCACTGCAAGCTCTGCTTCCAGAGTTCACGCCATTCTCCTGCCTCAGCCTCCTGAGTAGCTAGGACTACAGGCACCCACCACCTCGCCCGGCAATTTTTTTTTTTTTTTTTTTTTTTTTTTTTTTTGTATTTTTAGTACAGACGGTGGTTTCACTGTGTTAGCCAGGATGGCCTCGATCTCCTGACCTCGTGATCTTCCCGCCTCAGCCTCCCAAAGTGTTGGGATTACAGGCATGAGCCACTGCACCCGGCCTAGAGCAGTATTTCTGTATTGATGTTTTTTAGGAATTTAACATCCCCTTTCCAGTTTTCATTGTTAGCCTCAGAATACTTAGAAAGTTCCTTTCTAACCTGTACTCCCACTGTCTCCCAGGTGCCTGAGCCCTGGTGCTTGTGCAGGGCCCCCAATCCAGGCTCTGCCCCATCCCAATAGCCCTGTCCTGCCCTGAAACTGCCCTTGAGCTGGGCTTTTGTGTCTGTGGAGGCGGGGACTGTCATCCTCTCTGCCTCGTCTCTGTTAGACAGCACAATTCGATGTCAGCCCGCCACCTGACGTTGTGTATCTGTCATCCTCTCTGCCTCATCTCTGTCAGACGGCACTGATTCGATGTCAGCCCGCCACCTGACGTTGTGTATCTGTTTGCTTAACCAACCCTGGCATATGTGATCATTCTAGTCCCTTGACCTCCAAATTTTCATTCCTATGCGAAGACCTGGCATCGAGATTTGTGGTTGGAGAGGCAGGAGGCAGGCGTGTGTCCCCACAGTAGCCAGCTGTGAAGGATTTGGCCCTTTTGCCTCTGAGTATCCAGGGAATGGCCAGGGCTCCTGGGGAACTCAGCGACTGGACTTTCGGGCCCAGAACCCAGGAGGGCAGGCGTAGGGACGGGATGGCATCAGGGAGGTGGCAGTCGAAAGGACCCGAGTGGGCAGAGGAATGTGAATAGCCCCACCCCACGCACAAGCTCAGCAGCTCTGCGGGGCCACTGGTTTAGCGGCAGTTCTTGACATCAGCGTCAGCATCTGAGGTTGATAATTTTCTTAGGAGCTTGCTTGTGTTAATCCTACTAATAATTTACAAAATCCTAAGTCACTTGACTATTATGCCCATATTTTTGCCTTTTGCCATTTCTTCCTTTCCATCAGCTCCAGAGCCCCTTCCTGTCAGCTCCTCTGAGCCTTTTTGACAGGGCAGGCCGCTCCCCGCCCCTCCGCAAAGACTTTTTAATATTCTTTTATATGCTTTGACGTTTCTTGCCCACTGTATTCGAGGAGTTTCCCCATTTCCACCCGGAAGTCCGTCCTTGCTGATGTAACACCATGTCAGGTGTGGCTTGTTTTCCCGAGGAGCCTGGTGGCCACAGCCTCAGCTTCAGCCACTTCCTGGTTCTCGGTGGCCAGTCCCCACAGACTGTGAGACCTATGCTTGCTAATGTTAACTAAGAAGAGAATCTGAAAGTATTTACTTCAGAAACCTCCTTTTTGCTAGTTAGCGCCAGAGTGAGTAGATTAATCAGGGCAAAAGAGAATGAGAGGTGCTGTTAGTGTGTTACAGGGAAAAGTCACCCGAAGGCAGAATGATAGGATCGAATGGGGACATGCCCAGGATAGGCCCCAGTGGTGGGTACTGTGGTTTGCATGGAGGTAGCTGGAGGTCCGCTTAGAAATTCTGCATCAGCACTGGGTCTGGTTTTTGTTTTTTTGTTTTTGAGACGGTCTGGCTCGGTCGCCCAGGCTTAAGTGCAGTAGTGTGGTCTCAGCTCACCACAGTCTTGACTTCCTGGGCTCAAGCTATCCTCCCACTTCAGCCTTCTGAGTAGCCGGGACTACGGGCGCACACCCCCACACCTGTCTAACTTTTGTATGTTTTGTAGAGACAGGGTCTTCCTATGTTGCCCAGGCTGGTGTCAGACTCCTAGGCTCAAGAGACCCTCCTGCCAAGACCTCCCGAAGTGCTGGAATTGCAGGCATTAGCCACACAGCGCCTAGCCTGGTCTGTTTACAGAGTCAGCAAATTCTGGCCTTTAGGCTACCCAGCCTTGTTTGTACATGAAGTTTTATTGAAACATGGTCACGCCCACACGGTCAGAGTTGGGTTTCGTCCCCGTGGCCCGTAATGCCTAAAATAGTGACTCTGGCGCTTTAAGAAACAGTTTGGGAACTCCTGCCTGAAGGAGAATCGGAAACAGCACTGAAGATGTTACTGAGGTTTAAATGCGACCCAAACAGAAAGGGCTTCGGGGCGGTTGGTGTCCGTCTGATTAACCTGCTGTCTGCTGGTTACATGTGGATTAGAATCTTAAACTGTTACGCTTGGCAAGATGAATGACTACAACTTTTCATTATTATTTTTTGTAAATTATGCATTTTCACTTGTAGAAATCTCTTTCCTTGTGGAGACTCAATGGTTTGCATTATTGATGATCGAGAAGATGTCTGGAAGTTTGCCCCCAATCTGATAACTGTGAAGAAATATGTATACTTCCAGGGCACGGGTGATATGAATGCGCCCCCTGGGTCCCGAGAATCTCAGACGAGAAAGAAAGGTGGGTAACCTCCTTCCTGATTCTCTAGAAGAATTCACATTTGCTTATTGTTTAGCTCTTCTTATTTCTTATCTCTGTTTTGACTGCTATAAATTCAAGATACACTTTTTTTATTTGTGTTTCAGTAGAGATTATTGGATTTATTTATAGAGTACTGAAAAACAGGATATTAGGTTGTTTCAATTTGGGCTTTAAAAAAAATGGCCCTCACTTAAGCGTTTTCCCAGTTGAATAAAAACTAGAGGATGCTGTTTAACCTAACACATCCGAATAACTCCCTTCATCCCAGTTTTCCTTAAACACATCCCTGGGTATTGGGCCATAGTGTTCTGTAGAGAGAGTGAATGTGGGGGCGGTGGCTCTGCGGGGAATAACCGTTCCCCATGCGCAGTGGTCAGGCTGGGCGCTGGCTGGGGCCCCAGAGAGCAGCGTGGTTTAACTTGTCAGTCAGGCATGCAGCTGACGTCCACCCTACGAAAGTTAAGTGTTTTTTGATCTTTAGTTTTTTGAAAAATATTTTGAGGCACACGTTTATTGCTGTAGTCACTAAAATGGAACTTGGAGGTTAGGACCAGGGGAGGGTGAAACTAGGGGCATTCCTGTAGAAGGTAGAGACTTTCACCAGATGGGTGGGGTCAGCGTGGAGTTGCTGACTTCCTCCAGACCGTGGCTTGGGAAACCGTGGCCATGGTGGTGCCAGGTCATCCGGGGCTTACAGTCACGGTGGCGCCAGGTCTGCAGGGGCTTACGGCCACGGTGGCGCCAGGTCTGCAGGGGCTTACGGCCACGGTGGCGCCAGGTCTGCAGGGGCTTACGGCCACGGTGGCGCCAGGTCTGCAGGGGCTTACGGCCACGGTGGTGCCAGGTCTGCAGGGGCTTACGGCCACGGTGGCGCCAGGTCGTCAGGGGCTTACGGCCACGGTGGCGCCAGGTCTGCAGGGGCTTACGGTCACGGTGGCGCCAGGTCTGCAGCCCGGAAACCTCTAGTTGTCCTTACAGGTGGAGGATCCCTCCTCCCCCAAATCCAAAGCTTTTTGAGTGCCCACATGGTGCTTAAAGGAAATACTCATTAGGGTATTTTGGATTTTTTGGATTGGGGATGTTCAGCTGGTAAGTTTAACGCAAATACTCCAAACTCAGAAAAAAATTCAATATCCAAAACGTCCCTGGTCCCACGCACTTCAGGTAAGGGGTGCTCACCCTGTCCGGCCTCTTCACAGCAAGGTTGCCAAGGCCTGGTCTAGAGGGTGGTGGACTTCACAGCCATGGAGAAGGGTGCTGCTTTAACTTGGAACGTTATTTAATGTTTAATGCTAAATTGCGGTAACTTTTCCTTTTGCATGCATATTTAGTAAATCATTCTCGAGGCACTGAGGTCTCAGAGCCATCTCCGCCCGTGAGAGACCCTGAGGGGGTAACGCAGGCCCCTGGAGTGGAGCCCAGCAATGGCCTGGAGAAGCCTGCACGGGAGCTGAACGGCAGCGAGGCCGCCACCCCGCGGGACTCACCCCGCCCCGGGAAGCCAGACGAGAGGGACATCTGGCCCCCTGCCCAGGCCCCCACCAGCAGCCAAGAGCTGGCAGGCGCTCCTGAGCCCCAGGGATCCTGTGCGCAGGGTGGCCGGGTGGCACCGGGACAGCGGCCTGCCCAGGGTGCCACGGGCACTGACCTGGACTTTGACTTATCCAGCGACAGCGAGAGCAGCAGTGAGTCCGAGGGCACGAAGTCCTCCTCCTCCGCCTCTGATGGCGAAAGCGAGGGGAAAAGAGGCCGGCAGAAGCCGAAGGCTGCCCCAGAGGGAGCCGGGGCGCTGGCACAGGGCAGTTCCCTGGAGCCGGGGCGGCCTGCAGCACCGAGTCTCCCCGGAGAGGCCGAGCCTGGCGCGCATGCCCCGGACAAGGAGCCTGAGCTGGGTGGGCAGGAGGAGGGCGAGCGGGATGGCCTCTGCGGCCTGGGCAACGGCTGTGCCGACAGGAAGGAGGCGGAGACCGAGTCACAGAACAGCGAGCTGTCGGGGGTCACTGCGGGTGAGTCCCTGGACCAGAGCATGGAGGAGGAGGAGGAGGAGGACACGGATGAGGATGACCACCTCATCTACCTGGAGGAGATCCTGGTCCGTGTACACACTGACTACTATGCCAAGTATGACCGCTACCTCAACAAGGAGATCGAGGAGGCGCCGGACATCCGCAAGATCGTGCCGGAGCTCAAGAGCAAGGTGCTGGCAGACGTGGCCATAATTTTCAGTGGGCTACACCCGACAAACTTCCCGATAGAGAAGACGCGGGAGCATTACCACGCCACGGCGCTGGGAGCGAAGATCCTCACTCGGCTGGTGCTGAGCCCCGACGCCCCTGACAGGGCCACGCACCTGATCGCCGCGCGAGCTGGTGAGTGCTGCCTCCCTGTGCCCTGGGCATGGTCAGGCCCGCGGGCTCCTTGCAGGCACTCCTTAGAGTTGGCATTGCTGTTTATCTCACTTTCAATTTTCAGAAACATTTCCCAGAATCACCATCTTTTAAGAATAGATCATGACAGTGGGTGAAATTGGAGTTTGGGCACGTTCATGCTTTCAGACCGCAGTCATCGCACACACCATTCAGGGGTGGGAGTTACTCGTGTGTAGAAAGTTCAACCTTCTCCCTGGAGTAAGCCATGGCCGGGTTGGAAAACAGGGAATCAGCGATAGGGACGTAGTGGAGAAATTCGAGGCAGGAACAGGAGTTCGCAGGTAAAAGATTGACAAACCCTCTGAGTTAGAAAACTAAATGCAAGGTTTCAGCTGAAACGTGCACAGAAGGACACGTTGTGGCTGGGAGGGCGGAGGACAGGCCTGCTGTCTCCCGACGGTGAAACCTGTCCCGGACGGGGCAGGCTGCTCTGACATGTTGAAACTTCCGCCGAATAAAACAACCTTTCAGCAATAGGTGATTCTTGAAGGAAGACTTAACACCCCGGTGCTTAAAAAACCCAAATACCTCGTTATTCTAGTTATTCTGTGAAAATGCTCCCATAAGCACCTGGATTTTCCGCGAATGAAGATTGCGGTTTTTCTCCTCCAATCTGCTTCCTGTCCTGGCGGCGTTTCCTGAGAGGGCTTCTCAGTGCGTGGCCCCGCCTCCGGGGCTCAGGAAAGCCTTGTGGGGTGAGCTCATCCCTGTCCACGCACGCTCCCTGACAGCAGGTGTGGTCTTATTTGAGGCCACGGCTCTGGCACGTATCATGGGGCGTTGGACACGCATGTGCTCAGTAAAGCATTTGAATCAAGGGTAAATGGAAGGTTCCATCTCAGTGTGAAATAGCCAGGTGCTAGCTGCAGGGCAGAGGCGGGCTTTCCGTGGAGCCCAGCGAGACCCTTGATCCCAGGAGAAAGCCAAGCCCTGGCCTCCTGTGGGCAGTCAGACCCTTCTCTCCTGAGCGTGGAGCCGGGCCAGGCCGGGGTCCTCCTTGGCCCCTCAGGTGCCTGTCTGCCCTGCCGCGTGTCTGCCCAGCTCCTGACCCTTCTCTCCTGAGCATGGAGCTGGGCCAGGCCAGGGTCCTCCTTGGCCCCTCAGGTGCCCGCCTGCCCTGTCCTGTGAGTGCCCAAGCTCCTGGCCCTTCTCTCGCATTCCTTCCTTCCCCCTGAATTGTGCTCACGTTTCCTTTTTGCTTCTGTGTACGTGGCCTCACTGTTGAGAGGCTTTGCTGAACACATGCTAAGAGAGGTCCTCCTGCTGCTCAGGTCACCCGCTGTGCCCGGCTCCCCGTCTGAGATCCACCCCTTCCCACCATGGCTGCCTATCCCTGGCCTGGCAGATGGGAACCTGCAGTGGGCAGCCCTGGTGGGGTGCAGCCGGGTGAGGGCCCTGGTGGGGTGCAGCCGAGTGAGGGCCCTGAGCCCTAGTGGGGTACAGCTGGGTAAAGGCCCTGAGTCCTGGTGGGTACAGCCGGGTGAGGGCCCTGAGCCCTGGTGGGCTGCAGCCGAGTGAGGGCCCTGAGCCCTGGTGGGGTACAGCTGGGTGAAGGCCCTGAGTCCTGGTGGGTACTGCCAGGTGAGGGCCCTGGGCCCTGGTGGGGTGTAGCCGGGTGGGGGCCCTGGTGGGGTGCAGCCGAGTGAGGGCCCTGAGCCCTGGTGGGGTACAGCTGGGTGAAGGCCCTGAGTCCTGGAGAGGTGCAGCCGAGTGAGGGCCTTGGTGGGGTGCAGCCGGGTGAGGGCCCTGGTGGGGTACAGCTGGGTGAGGGCCCTGAGCCCTGCAGGGGTGCAGTCAGGTGAAGGCCCTGGTGGGATGCAGCCGAGTGAGGGCCCTGAGCCCTGGTGGGGTACAGCCAGGTGAGGGCCCTGGTGGGTGCAGCCGGATGTGGGCCCTGAGCCTCCAGTGCTGGCCGGAACAGCCTGACGCAGCCGGGTCTCCTGCAGGCACAGAGAAGGTGCTGCAGGCACAGGAGTGCGGACACCTGCACGTGGTCAACCCTGACTGGCTGTGGAGCTGCCTGGAGCGCTGGGACAAGGTGGAGGAGCAGCTCTTCCCGCTCAGGGACGATCACACCAAGGCACAGAGGTGGGTCCTCGCTGCACCCAGCAGGTCCGTGCCAGGCGTTCCCTTGCTGGACAGCTGTTGGTTCATGCACCTGGGCAGTGCCCCTCATCACCCGGACGCCCCGCTCATGGCCCTCGTTCTCTTCCTCCGACAGGGAGAACAGCCCTGCGGCCTTTCCCGACCGGGAGGGTGTGCCCCCCACCGCCTTGTTCCACCCGATGCCGGTTCTTCCCAAGGCCCAGCCTGGCCCCGAGGTTCGGATCTACGACTCCAACACGGGGAAGCTCATCAGGACGGGCGCCCGGGGGCCCCCAGCACCCTCCAGCTCCCTACCCATCCGCCAGGAGCCCTCTTCCTTCAGGTACGTGGCGGCCCAGCCACTGTCCCCAGCTAATGAGGGCTCTTCAAGCTTGCTGCTCCAGTCTGTTGGGGGGATGGCGTCAGTTGCCCGAAGTGAGGGCGGGTGGAGGCTGCAGACGGTGACTCCTGCTTCCACCTTGTGGGAGCGCCGCCCCCGCTTGCAGTCTTGGGTCCTTTTGTTTTTCTCTCCTGTCTTGGGTCCCAAAACTAAAACAAAACCCCGACCATCAGCTTCTCAGATGTTGTCCAGGCACCCGCATGTGCCCACCTGTGGCCGCCCCGCAGAGCACTCGGTCCTGGGAACACTCAGCAGAGAACGAGCAGAGCCGGGCTGGTTCTGAGCCCCCCTCCCCACTCGCCTCACCATCTGCTCTCCGCCGGCTCCACGTTTGCTGCTCTGCCAACCCCAGGCTGCCCTCTTCGTTTCCACACAGAGCAGATGCAGGGGTTGGTGGCAGTGGCGGCTGGTAAACAGCACTGTGAGGAAGGGAAACTTGATTGGACTGGAAGGCGTTGGTAGCCGGGATCTGTGCTGCCCTGGAGTGGGGAGATTGCAGGCCCTGAGGGATGCTTCCTGAGCATGTGGCCTCTGTGCCTGTTTGCCCGCGTGGACCCGAGATCAGCCCTCAGCCTAAGGTTGTGGCCCCTGGAGACCCCATGTAAATGGCTGTGGGACATTGTTGGAGATTTAAGTGAGGAGTCTTTGTTTGTACCGTGGTTGTTGCTTTGAAATTCAACCAAAAGTTCAACTCAATTAAACTTGACCCAGGCAAGGAGCACCCACCAAGACCTGGTGTGCGTTTGCCCCTGGAAGCCGTCTGACAGGTCACAACACCTCAGATCCTGTGACGGGTACAGAATGCAGGCTGCTAGAGGGAGACGGGTGCTCACGGTTAATGGGGAGATGGAGAGGTACGGCTTGATGTCCTTTTCGAGCCTTTGCAGGATCCAGCACTGTCCCTGCGTGGGGATGCTGAGGCCTGGAGTGCATGGCCCTCCCAAGTCAGGAGCAGGGGTGGCCAGGGCGTGGCCTTCGCACAGTGGGTGGCAGCTCCCGAACCTGGGTGGACAGGTGAGAAGGCCCCGCCAGGCACCGCGGCAAAGCCCAGCCGGCTTTCGGGAGAGGCCGCTCCCTCTGGAAACGCGCTCTAGTTCCTCCCCGGTTTTCTGTTTCATAGATTGTGTTTTGTCTTTTACGATTCTGGAGAGCAGCGTGTGCCCCTCTCGGCTGATTTCACGGCCCTTGAGGTCATGGTGGAGAGTGTTGCTAAGAGGAGGAGTCGGGTCGGGTGACTGGGATGTGGGCAGGTGCAGGGTGGCTGCGGGCAGCTGGGCCGGTGCGGGTGGCTTCCCGTGCGGCAGCCTGGCGACGCTCTGGGACCTAGGGGGTGGGGGGTTTGGGATGAATCTGAGGTCCTCCATTCTGATGACAGGGAAGAGGATCCCCAGCCACAGAGATGATGTCATCCCTGATGGATAGGAAGGTGTCCTCGTGATGATGTCACCTCCCGTTGTTAGGAAGGCATCCTGGTGATGTCACCTCCAGTTGTTAGGAAGGTGTCCTGGTGATGTCACTTCCCATTAGGAAGGCGTCCTGGTGATGATGTCACCTCCCATTAGGAAGGCGTCCTGGTGTTGATGTCACCTCCCATCATTAGGAAAGCGTCCTGGTGATGATGTCACCTCCCATTAGGAAGGCGTCCTGGTGATGATGTCACCTCCCATCGTGTCCTGGTGATGCTGTCACCTCCCATCATTAGGAAGGCATCCTGGTGATGATGTCACCTCCCATTGTGTCCTGGTGATGATGTCATCTCCTGCTGTTAGGAAGGCGTCCTGGTGATGCTGTCACCTCCCATTAGGAAGGTGTCCTGGTGATGATGTCACCTCCCATCGTGTCCTGGTGATGATGTCACCTCCCATCATTAGGAAGGCATCCTGGTGATGATGTCACCTCCCATTGTGTCCTGGTGACGATGTCATCTCCTGTCGTTAGGAAGGCGTCCTGGTGATGCTGTCACCTCCCATTAGGAAGGCGTCCTGGTGATGATGTCACCTCCCATCGTGTCCTGGTGATGATGTCACCTCCCATCATTAGGAAGGCATCCTGGTGATGATGTCACCTCCCACTGTGTCCTGGTGATGATGTCACCTGTTGTGTCCTGGTGACGATGTCATCTCCTGTCGTTAGGAAGGCGTCCTGGTGATGCTGTCACCTCCCATTGTGTCCTGGTGATGTCACCTCCCATCATTAGGAGGGCATCCTGGTGATGATGTCACCTCCTATTGTGTCCTGGTGATGCTGTCACCTCCCGTCATTAGGAGGGCGTCCTGGTGATGATGTCACCTCCTATTGTGTCCTGGTGATGCTGTCACCTCCCGTCATTAGGAAGGCGTCCTGGTGATGATGTCACCTCCCATCGTGTCCTGGTGATGCTGTCACCTCCTGTCATTAGGAGGGCGTCCTCGTGATGATGTCACCTCCCATCGTGTCCTAGTGATGATGTCACCACCCGTCATTAGCGCATTCTGGTGATGATGTCACCTCCCATCGTGTCCTGGTGATGTCACTTCCCATCGTGTTCTGGTGACGATGTCATCTCCTGTTAAGGCATCCTCGTGGTGATGTCGTTTCAGGTCTTTAGAAGGGCTTCCTGTTGCGGGCTGGTTGGGTTTTTAATACAAGGTGTCTTTCCAACACTGCTTCTCTAGCTCTTCGAGGCCAGCAGGTGCCTAAAGTTCAGTTTGTTTCTGACGCTGACGACCCACGGTTGTCATCAGGCCTTGAGTCTAGGGGCTCAGTCCCACCAGGCTGCCCTCATCTCGGACCCCCAGGCCACCTCACTGTCCAGCTTGGCCACAGTGTTGGGGGTCCCCACACACAGACTTGTGCAGTTTTGATAATCTGCTGAATCGGCTCACAAAATTCTGGAAAACGTTTCACTCAGCAATACCAGTTTATTTTAAAGGCTCAAGAACAGCCGAATGAGGGGGCGCCTGGGGCAGGGTCCAGAAGGGCCCTGAGCATGGCACGTGCCCTCTGGAAGCTCTCCGTCCTTTCATCTGTGGCGAAGGCATAGCTGATCCCACACGCTGCCCACTTGCTCCTGCGAAGCCTCCTACCCTGGAGCCGCTCAGGCCCAGCCCACAGCCACTCTCACCACTGCGGTGATCCCAGGGACTGGGAACAGGTCTCTTTCTGTAACACCAGGGCTTAGTGCTTTGGTGCTACTCTTACTTCTTTATTTGACTTAATTAATTCCAACTCTCCAGCCAGTTGACAAAGCTCCTGGACACTTCTGAGAACAGCAGGGCGGAACCTGGCCTATGGGATTGCTGTGGGCCAGTCAGTGAACGGGCCAGCACCACCTAGAGCAGAAGGATGTGGAGACCCCCCGTCTAGGAAGTCAGGGTCTGTTCTGTACTGTCATTCTAATCAGTAGAAGCACGATGGCAGGACAGATACGTGCACTGAAGTGATACTGCTGAGATTTGGTTTCGAAATTATGTGATAATTTAAAGCAGCCACACGATCAGTACTGCGAACAGCACCTGTTCTTTAGACGCTGCTTTTCATACTGTTGAATAAAATATCCAGGGGGGTGGCTCGCACTGTAGTCCCAGTGCTTTGGGAGGTGGACCCGCAAGGATCTCTCGAGCTCAGGAGTTCAAGGCTGCAGTGAGCTGTGATCGCACCCCTGCGCTTCATCCTGGGCCACAGGGTGAGAGCCTGTCTCAAAAAAAAATTTTTCTTAATAATTTAAAATAAAATCACAAACCTTTGACTTATTTTTTCTTCAGTATTTTTATTTATTTTTTTTTTTTTGAGACGGAATCTTGCTCCATCGTCCAGGCTGGAGTGCAGTGGTGCAATCTTGGCTCACTGCAACCTCCGCCTCCCAGGTTCAAGCAATTCTCATGCCTCAGCCTCTTGAGCAGCTGGAATTACAGGCACGTGCCACCACGCCTGGCTAATCTGTGTATTTTTAGCAGAGATGGGGTTTCATCATGTTGCTGAGGTTGGTCTCAAGCTCCTGTCCTCATTGTCTTAAACTACATAAAGTGGTTAAAGATTAGATACAAAACTGGTGTTTTAATAATTCAGCCTTGCTTGAAGTGAGCTAGGAATTTCTAAGATCAATGAGAAAAAAATAATTGTTATCTGAAAACAGACTTGCAGATGGTAAGCTGGATTTGAATGAAGTCAAACACTTTTACTTGAATGACACTAATAACATGGCAGCCGATAACTGTGTATGTGTGTTCTGAAATGTGTATAATTTACGTGAACAGCAGCAGTTCAGTTTCGAATGGCACGTCATAAACAACTGTTTAGCTGTGCCTTCCGTGAGGAAGATGCACGCTGGGCTGTAGTTCATTTGAATAAGTCGACTTTTGATGAAATTTTCTTCTGTTTTTAATGTGAAAGTGTAATTTGCACCAAAATATCAATATTACTTCAGTTAATACCAGCTCATTTATACGAAAGGATGTTAATGTGATTTGTTAGGTTGCGATAATCGTCAGTTTGGTGGCGGGAAGCAGCGTTGTTGTGGCTGCAGCAGCGGGCCCCCTGGTCTGGGTGATTGCAGGCTGGATGCATCTTTGTCACGTTAAGGAAATGTCTCTCCCTTCACTTGTACGTGTTGGAAACTGAGTTCTCCTAAAATGAGCCTGGGTTCTGCTTTTTGATAGTTTTCAAAATTGATGAAACGACCTACTTACATCAGAAAAAAGGAATCCCTGTTTGAATGTCTCCCTCCCCAGGCTAGACATAGTGCTGGAAGTCTGAGGAAACGGGACCAGCCGGCAGGAGTTCTGCGGGGCCTTCGTGCTGCGGTGAGGACCTGGGCCTGTGTGGATTGGCCACGCCTCTGGTCCCACCCTCCCTTTTCTCCGTAGGCCTCCATCTTGGAGGAACAGTAGAGTGTTTTCTTCTGGTTTAATCCAAGAGTCCCCCCTGCTTGTCTGAGTTCATGTGGCGCCTGCCCAGTTCCCTGCACTAAATAGACCTGTGTCCGCAATGCCACTCCACGTGTGGACCCCTAGTGCCTGCAGGACCACTCCACCTGTATAAACGGGTCCAGCGTGGTCTCCTGCAGCCACCCTCACACGCTTGCAACAGCACTGGTGCCCTGCAGCCCAGTTCCCCCATGGCACTCCTGTCTCACGGAGGGTCCCACACCTGAGCAGCCCCAGGCCTCATCTGTCACGGGCATTGGTTGCCCGATTCCCCCATGGCATCCCGTCTCACAGTGGGTCCCGTGCCTGAGTGGCCCCAGGCCTCATATGTTGTGTGCATTGGTTGTGCTGCTGTGGAGGTGGCCCCGTCTCCCCACCCTCCTGAGAGTGGTGGTTCCTCATTCTGTTCTCGGAACCCCGTGCAGACCCCATTGTGACAGGACGCTTGGCAGTGAGGGCAGTTGGCCCTTCGTCCCTGGACTGGTCCTCATCTAAGTCTTTGAACGTTGTACGTTTTTTCTAATTCTGGCTTTGACCTTTTTGGTGCTGGGCTGGCAGGCTGGCTCACTGGGGACCTGGGGGTGAGTGGGAACATTCAGTTTTTTGGTTAGACTTTTTGAGATATTTGTAGATATATATGCAGTGATAATGCAGAGAGGCCCTTTGGACCCTTTATCCTGTTTCCCCTGTGGTTGCCTCTTGTGAAAGTGGGGAACAGGCTCACCACTAGGACCCACACAGACTCATCCAGACACAGAACCCTCACACCAGCTCCCCTGCGGCCCTTCATGGCCTCAGCCGCTTCCCCTTCCCTGACCCTTGGCCCTCCACCTGCTGTCCCTCCCTGCACCGCGCCCTCTCCGGAGTGCTGTGTACGGCAAGTCGGCAACCTTCTGGAGTTGGCCCTCCTCCCTCAGCCAGTTCCTGGAGCACCTCCGTGCCCCTCATTCATGTCCTTCTCTTGCGGAGCCGGGTCTCATGGTGTGTGGTGGAGCCAACTGTGGTTTCACCGTTCACCCTTTGAGGGATATTTGGGTTGTTTCCAGCCTTTGCTCTAAATGTTTGCACAGGTTGAGCCTCTCATCCGAAAATCCAAAATTGGGAATGCTCCAAGGTTCGCATCTTTCTGAGCACGAAGATTCGCACCTTTCTGAGCACTGACGTGGCCCTGGAAGGAAGTGCTCATCAGAGCATTCGGATTTGGGGTCACCGGTTGCAGATGCTCAGCCCGTAAGTGTAACACAGATATTTCAAAATTCAAAAATCCAAAATCGGAAACACTTTTGGTCTCAAGCATGTTGGATATGGGATGCTTAACCTATCTAAGTTTTTATTTCTTTGGGATAAATGTCCAGTGGTAGATACAGTTGCTAAATTGGATGGTGAGTGTGTGTTTAGCTTTTTAAAGAAACTGCCAGACCTTTTTCTGGAATACCTGCATCATCATTTCATGTTTTCAGCAGCGGTGAGTGACCCAGGTGGCGTGGCCAGTGCTGTTTATTGCAGCCATTCTGATAGGTGTGTCCTGAGCTGGTTGTGGCTGTAACCTGCATTTCCGTGGTGAATAATTACCCATCACTCCTGTGTTTGTTCCATCTGCTAGTCCTTGGTTGGATGTGTGGCTTACAAATCCTTTCCTCCCAGTCAGCAACTTGAGTTTTCATCCTCTAGAGGGTCTTTGGCAGAGCAAAAGTTATTAATTTTCACGAGATTCTATTTATCACTTCTTTCTTTTAGGAATCGTGCTTTTGCTGTGAAGTTAACTAGTAGCCCAGTCCCAGATCCCAGAGATTTTCTTGATGTTTTATCCTAAAAGTTCTATAGTCTTTCATGCGACACCTCAGCCCCAGATGCTCTTGAGGGTGGTTTTCTGGCCCCAGCCGCATTGTCGCCGGCGCCGTCCTCCCTCCATGGCTGCTTCTGCCGCAGCGTCTCGAGGGCACTCAGGTGCACCTGTGTGGTCTGTTTCTGGGTTTTCTGCCCGTAGATGCCCTTGATCAAGTTGGATTTCCTGTTTTCTGTGTGTTGTTATCACCAGTGGGTGTTGAATTTTTTAGGAGTTTGTTGATTGATATGATGGTGTGTGTGGTTTTTCTTCTTTTGCCTGTCAGTATGTGGTGGTCACATTGACTGATTTTTGGACATGAAAACAACCTTGCACCCCAGAAACAATTCCCGTTGGTTGTGGTGTATAGTAACCTTGATGCGCTTCTGTGAAGTGTCTTTATGTTGACGTTGAGGGGCCTGTGGGGCTGCACTTGTCACGTTGTGTGCCGTCTGCCCCCAGGTTTGCTGTGGCTCCCGTGATGAGGTGGGAAGCGCCCCACCCTCCAGCATCACTGGTGAGACTGCGGACTTGCCCCTTCCTTTCACATATTCGGGAGAATTCTCCAGTGAGACCGTCTGGTCCTGGAGATTTTATTTTTGCAAGGTTTAAAATTTCATATTCATTTTCCTTAACAGTTACAGGGCTTTTCACAGGACCTGCTGCGTTTGGGTGAGTTGTGGTTGTGTTTTTGAAGGAATTGCTCCGCTTACCTTCTCTATTTTTTTTTTGTTTGTTTTTCAGCCTCCTTATTTCGTACTTTCCTTCTGCTTGCTTTGGGATTATTTCTTATGACTTTTGTTTTGACAGTCAAGTGTGGTCTAGAGAACTCGAGCGGAGTCTCCGGTGCTTGCCCGGATTCCTGCTTCCGTCCTCACGGGAGGTTCCCTCGGGGTCCCTTCCCTCCCGACCTGACCTGGAGTGTCCATCATGCTCTCGGGGCAGGCCTGGGCCCTCTCCAGTCCCTCCCTTGCTGGGGGACGTTTTCACAGGACAAGACTCTGGGTTGATCTTCCTTTTTCTCGGGGCCTGAAAAACATCCGGCTTCCTTCTGGGCTCCGTGGTTCTGATGAGTGATCTTCTGTCTTTGACCGTTTTTCCTGTAGGTAAGCTGTGTTTTCTCTTTCACTGCCTTCCACGTTTTTCTCTGTCTTTAGCTGAGGTTTGATGACGAGGTGTCCTGGTGTAGATTTGGAGGGTTTACCTTGTTTATGTTTGACTCTGCTTTTTGAGTTGGAAGGTTTATGTCTTTTGACGTCTTTGGGACATTTCCAGCCATTGCTTTTCAGGGCCATCTCTGCCATGCTGGGACAGCAGGGACACGGATGCTGAGGCTTTTTGTATCTCGTGCATCTCTAAGCTGTGTTCTTTTTCCTGTTCAGCTCGTTTTCTCTGTTGTCCAGGTTGGGTGACTTCTGTTAGATTTTCGGGTTCACAGCCTTCCTCTGTCTCCTTCATTTGTTGCTAGTCTGTCCAGGACATTTTTTGGTTTTAGTTTTTATTTTCTGTTTATAAAATGTCTGTATCTTCTATTTCTTTGCCAATCCTTTCTGTGTTTTTCAGTTGTTTCAAGCATACTTGCAATTGCCTCTTGAAGCATTTTTATCATGGATGCTATAAAATCATTGTGAATTTTAGCATCTCTGCCCTCTCAGCTTGGCCCTTGTTGATTGTCCTTTTCTCCATAGTTTGAGATCTTCCTGGTTCTTGCTGTGGCAAGTGATACTGGATTGAAACCTGGACCTGTCACATCATGTTAGGAGACTCTGGATCTTATTTAAACCTTCTCCCATCACTGATTTTTTTTTTTTGGGCCATGCTCCAGCAGCAGGAGTGGAGGCCCCCTTGTTCCTGCCATTTGGGATAGGAGTCCAGTTCCCCACACGGCCTCTTTTTGATGCCTGAGAGTGGGGGATGGAGGTGACGAGGCCATTGCTGGTGGACGGCTGTGGGGGATGGGGGTGACACCATTGCTGGTGGACGGCTGTGGGGGAAGGGGGTGACGCTGTTGCTGGTGGACGGCTGTGGGGGATGGGGGTGACGCCATTGCTGGTGGACTGCTGTGGGGGTGGGGTGACGCCGTTGCTGGTGGATGGCTGTCGGGGTGGGATGACGCCGTTGCTGGTGGACGTCTGTGGGGTATGGGGTTGATGCCGTTGCTGGTGGACTGCTGTGGGGGTGGGGTGACGCCGTTGCTGGTGGACAGCTGTGGGGTATGGGGGTGACGCCCTTGCTGGTGGACGGCTGTGGGGGCTGGTGAGAATCCTGACCTTCCCGCGTGGGTGTGTGGGGCCTCATTGCTGCCGGTGGGGTTGGATGTCAGGCTCCTCCATGGCCTTCTCTGAGACCCCAGAGGTGGGGTGTTTGGCGGGAGTAGAGCAGTTATCATAGGTTTTTAACATTTAGTTGAAACATTTAATTCAGTTTAAAATAACAGTGCAGTTGGCCCTTTGAACAACACTGCTTTGGACTGCGTGTGTCCAGTTGTACGTACATGGGTGTTTCAGCCAAATGCAGGTGGGAAGCACAGCGTTCGCGGTGTTCGCGGGATGGGAAGCGTGGCGTTCACGGGATGGAAAGCGCAGCGTTCACGGTGTTCACGGGATGGGAAGCGCAGCGTTCGTGGGGTGGGAAGCCTGGCATTCACGGTGTTCGTGGGATGGGAAGCGCGGCTTTCGCGGGGTGGGAAGCGTGGCGTTTGCGGCGTTCGTGGGATGGGAAGCGCGTGTTCACAGAGGGCCGCCGTGAAGAGTGGACTTTGACAAGGCTTGGGAAGTCCTGAATTCCAAACAGCGCAGATCAGCACTTTCAGATTTCTGGGCAGAAAATCTTCTCTCCATTAGTAAATAGCCTAACATGGTTGTGTCTTTTTAGTTTTGTGACTTTGACTTAGTGCCCGTTTTCCTTCACCAGGATGGGTTTTATCACCTTCATCCTCGTGCCTGTCCCGAGCGAGTTGGTATCTGGGACGCACGCTTAGTGCCTCCTGGTCTCATCCTTTGGTCATCCAGGGAAGAACCAGCAGCTAGAAACAGCCGCCTCTCAGGAGGGCCGCACCACCCCTTTCCCAGAGGCTTGCCTTAAATTCCAGCAGTCAGAGGCATGCATCAGAATATATTAATAAGATTGACATATCCAGATCGAGAAAGATGTGTACAGAGGAGAGAAACTATTTCAAACGGAGCTGCGGTTTGAACATAGCAGAAAGATCCTTGAAACAGAAGATTGGCCCTTTCTAGTTGATTTATTACATTAATATTTAACTATACAAGCACAAGATTTACCTTTTTCTGTTTTTTCGTGAATTTTTTTTTTAAGGTGGAGTCTTGCTCTGTTGCCCAGGCTGGAGTGCAGTGGCGCAATCTCGGCTCACTGCAACCTCTGCCTCCCAGGTTCAAGCGATTCTCCTGCCTCAGCCTCCTGAGTAGCTGGGATTACAGGCGTGCACCACCACACCGGGCTAATTTTTGTATTTTTAGTAGAGATGGGGTTTAGCCATGTTGGCCAGGCTGGTCTCGAACTCCTCACCTGAAGTGATCCACCTGCCTCGGCCTCCCAAAGTGCTGGCTTTACAAGCATGAGCCACCGTGCTGACCTGTGAAATGATTTTAATTTCAGCCCACTGACGTCTGTTTTGTCACTTGGCCGTTTTTTGTGTCTGTTTTCGTAGCCTGGAGATGTTGCATTTTCTTGTTTTGTGTTTTGCCGTGTAGCTCTCCGGACCCTATTTTGAGGGTGAATGACATGTCCTGGGGGTTCCCAGAACACGCTTCATCTCCCGTCTCTCTTTGCCCTTTATTCTAAGATGCCAGAGCCTGGCAGATGCTCTCTGCCCCACGGGGGTTTTGTGGATAAAAGAAGATGGGTGTTATTTTTCCACAGGATAGTCAGAAACGTGTTTTGCCAGTCACCCTGGCTCAGTTAGCAAATTCTGATCCATTAACCTCTGAAAAGTGTATTGGCGAAACATCACGTTTTTCATACGTGTTCCCTGTTGGGGTGTGTGAGTGTTTACCTAGTCCGAGAGCCAGGAGTCTGATTCGGTGCGGAAAAGTGCCATTCGAACTGACCTTCCTCATGTGGGACCTATGAAATTCCTTTCAGAGCGGTTCCGCCACCCCAGCCGCAGATGTTTGGTGAAGAGCTGCCTGACGCTCAGGACGGAGAGCAGCCTGGCCCTTCTAGAAGAAAGCGACAGCCCAGTATGTCTGAGACAATGCCGCTGTACACTCTTTGTAAGGAGGATTTAGAGAGTATGGACAAAGAGGTGAGCCAACCCCACGCCCCGGTGCCCGCGCCAGCGCTCGTGCTGGGGCCGCAGAGCTCTGGTGTGCGGGCGGATTGCTGAGCTGTGCACCTGGAGGCCGAGCTAGAGTCCTGCACTTGTGTAGTTGTGTCTGGTTTGGGACGAGCACTTGTGTTTTTCACGCAACTTCCTATTCAAGGAGACCTAGAACAGCATTAAGCAATGTGTCCGCAGTGTGTGGCATGAGAACACGTGGAAGTTGTGGCTTAGGATTCGTGCCTGCGTCTTCACCAGGACCGATGCCGCCCAGCCCCTCCGGCTCTCCCGGCTCACCCCAAGGACATGGGACGGGGTCTGGAGGCACTCATGGTCATGACAAGGGGTGACCCTGGGGCCGGTCAACACCCCCTGCCTGACGCCGACCGGCCCCCATTGAGAAACGCTGGAGGGCTGTGTGTTGCACGTGGGCCTTAAACACACGCACACAGAGTGACTGGTGATTCTCACAGCATCTCGTTATCACAGCGCGAAACAACTTTAGGCAGCATCGGTGGAGCTGGGGTTTTCTCAGCCGGGTCCTGCTTGGCCCCTGTGTCCTGGGCCCCTTGGCCCGTGTGCTTCTCCTCTTGGGTCCCAGGCCGCCCCCTGATAGAAGGTTCCACAACAGTCCGGATGTTAGGGATGGGCGATCTGCGCAGCACCGTCCTTCGGAGACTGTTCTTTAGGAGGACTGTCCTGGAAAACCACATCCCATGTCCTCCTGTAAGGTGCCCTCATGGGTGGCGCCTGTGTGGGGTGCTCACCTGCAGCTGGTCAGGGCACAGGCCGTCCCCTTCCCTCAGGTCTTCATGTTCCCACCAGAGCCTATCCTCCCTGCCCGCCTGGCACCGCTGTCCTCTGGAGAGAGCCACCATTCTGTTTGCATCCAGAAGGCAGCAGAGGTTCTTGAGGAGGAAAACAGCTCCTGTGTATCTTCAACAGTAGCAGAAAAATGCAGATAGTTCTATTCAGGACAGACTCGTCTCAGTAACTCAGGTCATCACCTTTAGACGCCAGTTTATCTTGTGAGGATCAGACCCTTTTTTGAGGTGTGCTGAATTTCTCTGCCATTTTTCTGTCTTTTTGAACATTAGCTGTTTTTTGTTTCACAAAAATGTTTTCTCTAAAAAAAATTTTTCTCAGCCACTACCTGTAAGCCCAGACCACTTTATTTAAGATTCCAGAAGGTTCTGTATAAGGAACAGTCACCTGCCTAGGACCAGGGGTGGGAGGAGAGGAGGGAGGGACGCTGCCTCTTCCTGCCTGGAAGCTGCTGACACGTCCCGTCTCCCTCCTGGTTTCCTGGTCGGGCGTGGAGGACTCGGGGTCTGTTCCCCACGCAGTCCTGTTTCAGGCAGTGGTGACAACTGGTTCTTAATGGTTGAATTCTCAATGGGAGACAGATGTCTTGAACGCACTCAGCAGCTTTCAGCCACCCCAAAACCTAATCCTTTCTCTCAGAAATAAAAAGTAATCGTAACCCCCCAGATGTAGCTCTTTGGGAACAAATGGTATTGAAAGCAGAAGGCTGCAGCCGTGGATTGTTCTGTGCATGGGAGAGAGGCCAGAGGGTTTTATGTTCGTGAATTTTTAAAGCCTCCTTGATTCTCTGTGAGTCCTGGGCCCTTAAGACAATCAGCGCCTGCAGGCAGGAGAAGGGGTCAGAGGAGCCCCGGCGCCAAGGACCCGAGGCCTCTGGAAGCTGGAAGATGTGAGGAAGGGATTCTCCCAGTGGACACCTGGATTTTGGTCCTGTGAGGCTCATGTTGGACTTCTGACCTGCACAGCTGTGAGGTTGTGAATTTGGATCTTTTGAGCCGTGGCGCCTGGTTATTACAGCAGCCTCAGGAAGCTCCTCGTGGCCTGGCCCTGGCCTGACAGCCTCGTCTCACATGTGTCCCTCTTCCACTCCATGTGCTTGGGGCAGATGAGGCAGCTTCACCCCAGATAAGCCTGTCTCTCGGGCCCATTGCCTGCACCCCCCCGTGGGCCTGTGAGACGGACTAGGTACCTGCCCCCGGGTGCTCCCTGGAGGCTGCCGTGGCCCCTCTTCATCCTGGGGACACATGGGGTGGGGCTGCTGCTCGTTTTGGGGCACAGACGATGGGGAGTCAAGAGGATCTGGAACCAGGGTCAAGTGCAGCCCGTCAGGGGGCCTTTGAGTGAGGGGTGTCGAGATCTCTGGCCATTTCCGGCGCGTCAGTGTGTTAGGTGGGCATTGGCTGCTCCAGTGGTAGAGGAAGGGTCTCCACGTCGACAGAGGAGAGGCAAAGTTGCTGACCCAAGAGTAGCACCTGCCGTGGGGGATGCTGCTCCCACCCACACTGACAAGGGCTTCCCCGCCCCTCATGTGAGGAGCAGCTTTGGGAACTCGCGCCTGGTCAGTGCTGTGGGAATGTGTGCCCAGTTCCTTGAGACCCAGTAGGCATCTGGATTTCTTCTCGGGTTTAAACCACGGAGGCTTCTACAGCTAGGAGACCACTCACTTGATGTCACTGCTTTCAAGGAAAACCCGTCCCCGTGTAGCACATGCTTCTGACCTCCACGTCCAGAACATGCCTAAGCAGAGCGAGGCATGGCGTCAGTAAGCGTTCACCTGCAACGGCTTTGAAGAAACCTGAAAGCCATGAAAATTAACGTTGTAATTTTATCTTAACCATTTTTAAATTCTGCATTTAATATACGTGGAAGCCAAGAAATATGATGACCCTGATAAAATGCCTCAAGAACAGAGGCCGGGTGTGGGGCCACCATCACCAGGAGTGCTCCCAAGATCACATGAGATGTAAGAACTCACTAACATCAGGAGTGCTCCCAAAATCACGTGAGATGTAAGAACTCACATTAGGAGTGCTCCCCAAATCAGGTGAGACATGAGAACTCACTAACATGAGGAATGCTCCCAAAATCCCATGAGATGTAAGAACTCACTAACATCAGGAGTGCTCCCAAAATCACATAGACATGAGAACTCGCTAACATCAGGAGTGCTCCCAAATCACATGAGATGTAAGAACTTGCTGACATCAGGAGTGCTCCCAAAATCACGTGAGACATAAGAACTAACATCAGGAGTGCTCCCAAAATCACCAGACGTAAGAACTCGCTGTCATCAGGAGTGCTCCCAAAATCACATGAGACTTGAGAACTCACTAACATGAGAAGTGCTCCCAAAATCACAGACATGAGAACTCGCTAACATCAGGAGTGCTCCCAAAATCACTTGAGACATGAGAACTAACATCAGGAGTGCTCCCAAAATCACGTGAGACATGAGAACTCACATCAGGAGTGCTCCCAAAATCACGCGAGACATGAGAACTCAGGAGTGCTCCCAAAATCACGTGAGACATGAGAACTCACATCAGGAGTGCTCCCAAAATCACGTGAGACATGAGAACTCACATCAGGAGTGCTCCCAAAATCACGTGAGACATGAGAACTCACATCAGGAGTGCTCCCAAAATCACGTGAGACATGAGAACTCACATCAGGAGTGCTCCCAAAATCACGTGAGACATGAGAACTAACATCAGGAGTGCTCCCAAAATCACGTGAGACGTAAGAACTCACTGTCATCAGGAGTGCTCCCAAAATCACTTGAGACTTGAGAACTCGCTGACATCAGGAGTGCTCCCAAAATCACGAGACATAAGAACTCACTGTCACCAGGAGTGCTCCCAAAATCATGTGAGACGTAAGAACTCCCTAACAGGAGTGCTCCCAAAATCATGAGATGTAAGAACTCAGCTGTCACCAGGAGCGCTCCCAAAATCATGTGAGACGTAAGAACTCGCTAACATCAGGAGTGCTCCCAAAATCACCTGAGACATGAAAACTCGCTCTCACCATGAGTGCTCCCAAAATCACAGGAGATGTGAGAACTCGCTAACGTGGATTTTTCTTCTGGAAGCGACTCTAAAGCATGCACCCCCACACAGTCCCTGAGTCTCCTCGTGGTGGGCGTGGCCAAAGCACTGTGCCTGGTGACTGTGTGTGAATAGCACTCAGTCCTCGTGCTGTGGCCTCAGCACAGGACGAATGTGTGTTGTGTGTGTGGATCCTCACGCCACGGCCTCGGCACAGGACGGGTGTGCGTTTGTCGTGTGTGGATCCTCACGCTGCGGCCTCAGCAGAGGACAGGTGTGCGTTTGGCGTGTGTGGATCCTCGCGCCGCAGCCTCGGCACAGGACGGGTGTGCGTTTGGTGTGTTTGTGCACAAACACCCGCCTGTCTCAGCCAGCTCACAAAGAGACTCACACCCATGTGTCGGTCCCCCTGCAGGTTCCTGTGTGATCATGGAACTGCGGGGAAGGGAAGGTGCCGGAACCAGGGCTGGGAGATCACTGAGGGTTGAGGTGGGGCCCGTCTCCTGTACACCCCTGCGGAAAAGCCTGCTGGGCCCCAGAGCCGGCGTCCGCTGCCTCTGCAGCTGCGTTACCTCGTTCCTGCCTGTTCTGCTGGGCCCCAAAGCCGGCGTCCGCTGCCTCTCCAGCTGCGTTACCTCGTTTCTGCGTGTTCTGCTGGGCCCCAAAGCTGGCGTCCGCTGCCTCTCCAGCTGCGTTACCTCGTTTCAGCCTGTTCTGCTTCTCATGCTCAGGATGCTTTCCCGACCTTGCTCTGTGTCTCTTCTTGTTTCCCGTCCTCTCTCTTGAAGCCGTCCCACCTCACTCCAGCGCAGAGCTGGGGAGAGTTTTATTCTGTGATCCAGGGTCGTGCAAGGAGGTTGGTAGAAACATTTCATTTCCGTGCATTGACAGGATACCGTAGCATCTGCTGTTATCTGTATTTGCTCTTTGGTAGAAATTCCAACACTTAGGTATGAATTCACTTGTGTTTTTTCTCTTTACATACTTTTAAATTTTCCTTAAGATTAAAAAAAATTATGTTAGCATGTTTTAAGTGAAGTAAATACAAACGACCCTCAACTTTACAATAGTTCGCTTAACAATTTTCTAACTTTACAATGATGTGCAAGTGACGTGTGTTTGGTAGAAACCACACTTTGAATTAGAAGTCTTGGCTCAGAATTCTGTAGAACAGCTTGTTCCAAGTCGGCCTTGTGCTGGACGACTTTGCCAGCGATGGGGTAATGTCTGAGCGTGGAAGGCGGCTGGGCCGGGTGTGCTGACACGTTTTCAGCCTGTGATGGGCTCATCTGGACGTGACCCCATCCTGAGTCAAGGAGCCTCTGTAATGAAGAAAACTGTTTTTCAGAAAGCGCAGTCACCTTTTTTGTAAAAACAAGCCCAGGAAAGGTAGGTGTCGTTCCCACATCAGTGTGTTTACACGAGTCAGGCAGAAAGAGGGAGAGGAGATCGGAGGAGCATGATGTAGGCGAGGTCAGGTTTTAATGTGAATGTGTGCCCACGTTTCTGGCTTGGCTGTGCAAAACGTACCTCCAGATCTTCCAGATAGCAGCACGGGGGCACGTGCCGGGCTGCCCTGCCTCACCAGCGTTGGCACGGACGTCTGAGGCCCTCCCAGGTGGGGCGCCACACTAGCGAGGGTCCCTCGGGTCCGTGGGCTGCCGTGCTGGCCGGCCCGCCTGCCCTTGGCTGTCAAGTGTAAAATAACAGATTTTAACAGTGCCTTGTTTTTCTCTCTTGACAAGGTATGATGCCGTGTTAAAGGCCCTAAGTATTTCAGAATAGAATTTAGTAGAATTATTCCCGTAGGAGATTTGCCATCGAAACAGTAAATTCAGTGATGTAAGCATTCTGGTGAAGTGTGAATATTAGTAACCTTGTCGAGTAACCAGATGCTCTTATTAAATACCATTCCATGCCAGCGTCCCTGGGAACATGTTACTTTTAGAGATCATTATAATGACCTGATGATAAAGCCGCTGCCTTAGCTAATTAACCATTGGTTAAAATGTTTCTGCCTTTTAATGATTCAGGCCAGGGCACATGTGCTGTGACTAGCTGGACACGTGGCGATGAGTTTGAAATTGCAGAGTGGACGGGGTGGATGCGTCGGCCTCCATGTGGGCTCGGGGGCTGAGCTGTGATTTCTGATCGAAGCGGCTTCACACCGAGTCTCTGTGACTCTGGACTCGGCCTCGACTGCTCCGAACCGCGCCTGTCTCGGGAGTTGTGCTCCGTCCTCTGTGGCCGTTTCTCGTACCTGCTGCGGGGGTGGGGTTAGGTCGGCGTCGGTGAGTGCCCCTCAAGGCCCCAGCCAGGTGTGCACCCCCAGATCCCTCCTGGGAAACAGCCTGCGCTGGGGGACTGTGGTCAGGCCGCCCCGCCTCACCTGCCTGTCTCAGGGACCACGGGGCTGTGCCGTCGCACACAGACGCCCTCAACGTCGGAGAGCTGTGAGCGGGGCCGTGCTCTTGGGATGGGAGCCCCCGGGAGAGCTGCCCGCCAACACCACTCCGACGTGATCCATGCTGGACATAAAGTGCTCTTCCCTCCGCTAGTCATCGGCCGAGCGGGCCCCTCGCTCCTGGGTGTAAGTTCTTTCTGTGCGTCCTTCTCCCATCTCCGTGCAGTTCAGGAGAGGAGGGGAGAACTTGAGTTCACCTCCCGGCACTGGGCTCAGCCTCTCCCGCCGCCACATCGAGGCACTGACGGTACCCACCTCCCGCCTGCTGAGGTTCGGGGAGGCTGAGGTTTGGATGCGGTACTCCCATCACCTGCTCACTTGCCTGCCGCCTCTGTTGCCACTCCCGTCCGCGTCACACGTGTCAGGCGTGGGGCCGGCTGAGCTCACCCCAGGTGTTCAGGAGTCGCCCTCTCTGCATGTTTCCCAAATTGGAGGCGTGCCCAGAGCGAGCGGGTGGACATCTTAGCGAGCGTCCCTGTGGCACGGCCACGTCTCCACCCCCAGGTGGCTGCTCTCCCAGATTCCAGGATGGGAAGGACTGGGACGCCTCCCTGAAAGCCCTGCCACTCAGGAGTCTTGCTGTGAATCTCATTGATCTTGAAAATTTCAAGCAAATATTCTGATTATTCACCATAAAATCCAACAGTGCACCAGGAATAAAGTCCCTGTTCACATAAGGGACAGAAGGAATTTAAACCCAATCTTTGCCTGCGAACCGACTGGGTTTGCTCTGTGGATTTCCAAGCGTCTTTTGCCCGGGGCTTTGTTAAGGATTGGTTGAGTTTCAAGCCCCAGGGCTCAGGTAGAAAGCAGAGTGCTACCTCCAGCCCCCACCCTGCTGCACTCAGAGCCCTGGACTCTGCCGGGAGAAGCCTGTTGCGGAGGAACGGGGCCCGGGAAGGAGGTCTGTCGCTGACTCTTGGCTGTTTGTCAGGTGGACGACATCCTTGGAGAAGGCAGCGACGACAGCGACAGCGAGAAGAGGAGGCCTGAGGAGCAGGAGGAGGAGCCCCAGCCCCGGAAGCCAGGGACCCGCAGGGAGCGGACGCTCGGGGCACCTGCGTCCAGCGAGAGGAGCGCGGCAGGGGGCCGGGGGCCCAGGTGAGTGCGGGGTCTGAGGTGGGAGGGGCCTGACACGGGCTCCCGGAGGTGACTCTGCAGTTGGTGGGCCGCCTACCTGCATCTCATTCTTCACGCCCTCCACCATTCTGTGTGTGACACCAGCAGCTTCCAAACTCAGCAGCCCCTGGTGATGGCCACTTGGTTGTCTCCATGCTGATCCATGTCATCTTACATGTGTGCAGGCGTGTGAGGTGTGTGCAGGTGTGGGGGGGGATCTGTACATCTGCGCAGGCGTGTGTGGGGTGTCTACACGTGCACAGGCGTGTGGTGGGGGTATGCACGTGTGCGCAGGCATGTGTGAGGTGTCTACAGGCGTGTGTGAGGTATCTACACGTGCGCACAGGCGTGTGTGGGTTCTGCAGGTGGGGGGTCTGCACGTGTGCACGCAGGCATGTACGGGGTCTGTATGTGTGCACAGGCGTGTGCAGGGTCTGCACATGGCACTGCTGGTCAGGAGCCAGCGTCCTGCATGTCGAGGGTGGTGCCTGATGTGGGTCCCCCGCCGGTGACAGTGGTCCCCGCCTCCAGCGTGCGGTCTGTGGGTGGGAAGAGCTGAGCACCGTGGTTTGCTTTGCGCTTCCTTCGCCATGAATGAGGCCTGTTTTCGGGCGTTTGGCCGCAACAGCGCACTCTAAACGCTGCTCACCTGCTCCTTGTGACTGGTCAGTGTTTTCTGCATTGCCGTGAAAGGTATCTTTTTGTCACCTTTAACTTGGATGACATTTCTGCCATGCAGAGATGTTACTATTGTGCAGATCTTACAGCTGCTTGGTTCTGAATCTTGTCCGAGAATCTTAACCCTGTGTCTTTTCCTTGGATGCGTTTACGTTTGACCTTTTCTACATATGAATCTTTGTAAATTAAGATTTATTTTTTAGTAAGGGGGGGATTTAGCTTTTTTCCCAGATGATTAGCTCACGGTCCCATCGCAGTTTCTGACATCATCTTTCTCCACTAATCGGCTTTGTTCTCTGGATCTCTGTGCTGCTGTCGAATGGTGGGGAGGAGCCGGTTTGCTTTGAGACATCTTTTCTCAGGTTGGTCGATGAACAGGCATGAAACCCAGGGTGTGGAGAGGTCCCCGTCCCGCATCCCCCATGCATGTCCTTGTGTGAAAGGCAGCCACCTCACTGCCCGGTTCTGGGTGGTGGCGGAGACCTGCCGTGCCGTTAGGCATTTTGGGTGCCGTCTGTTGATTCTTAGCGTTCAACATACAGACTGCGTCTCTTCTTGCCTCCGCCCTGCCAATATCAACACGCCAGGATTTGGGGGTGTGGAATGACGCAGTGTTTCCTATGACCGTAAATTGCTTTTACCAAATAGAATAGGACACGGTGATGCTGTTCCCTTTCTTAAACATCTGTTTTACCTGGATTTGATAATCACCTCACTTTTGTTAGCTTTCTTCCTTTTTGCCTGTTTCTGAATCCCTGGCTGCCTCTCCGCTCCACTCCCCCGGCCTCCCCCGCAGGTCCCCGCCTCCCCCCGCCCGCCCTGCTCACCGCCCCCGGGAGTTGCCTTCCCCACTCTCTGGGGTGTTCTCTGTCTCTGCATTTTGGTGGAGTACATCTCCCAGAAGCTTCCTGAGAAAGCGTCTGTCCTGTCCATACGTCCGCAGTCAGCGGGCTGCGTAACCCCAGGTGGCAGCATCTCCTTGAGGATTTAGAAGCACGGCTCCCGTCTTCAGCTCCGGGGCTGCTCCGAGGCCGTCCGAGGTAACCTCGGAGGCTTTGTCTTGCCCGCCTGTTAGACAGGATGTGGCCCTCCAGGTCCTGCCGACATCCTCAGTACAGACTTGTGTCCCGAGGATTTGCCCTGAGAACTTGGTCTCCAGAGCCTTCTTGCATCTGCTGCGGGGCCGTGGGCCGGTATTTGGACCTCTGCATCCTGGTTTCCTCACCTGTGAAATGAGGTAGGAGCAGCGCCAGCCTCGGAGGAGCTGCTCCCAGCTTCAGCAGGCTAGCAGGGGGCACTCCAGGTACACGTCTGGTGTCTGTGGTGAAGAAGACAGTGCAGACTGCTTTCTTTCTCCCCACGTCTGGTCTTACTCTTAGGCTCTCCTGTAGGTGAATAAACAGCATTTCAAGAAAAGAGCGTAACTCATTCAGGCAATCCAGTTACAAAATTGGGCCAGAAATTCCAGCAACAGATGCAGACAAGACAAGATAGTCATTGTTCCGTTTGCAGGAATTACTTACAGAAAATCACTTGATTTGCAGCTCTGTGGTTTAGCAGGGAAATGAGTGCAGCTTCTCTCCTGGCAACCCACTCTGTGTTTACCACGTAGAAAGCAGCATTTTCCAGCTGTGTTGAAATGATATGAAGTTGTTTTAGGAGAGATTTTGAAATTCCGTATTGGGTGATAACAAGCCTTGGTTCTTCCCACATGAATTACGGGGTGGTTTTGCCTGGCCGTACCTTCCTTCACTTTTCGGTGTAGACCCATTGGGTCTGTCATGAAGCTCTGGGGTCAGGCCTGGGGAAGGCGGTGCACTGGGGGCCTCTGGGAGGGTTCCACTGCCCTCCCCTGAAGACCCTCTAGCCCGGGGCTGAGCTGAGCCAGCTCCAAGGAGTCTGTCTGCCGTGGCCATGTTAGTATCTGCGGATTTGCAGCGTGCTCTTTGTATGAACATAGGTGGTTTAACCTGATAGTTTTTTTTTCTAATTAAAAGAAGAAACCCAAAGTGCTTTTCCACTAAGACCAGTCAGGGTGTTGCTGGCGGCCAGCCACGTCATCCAGGATACGTGCTGCATCCGTGTCTCCCCCTGTGGGCAACTGGATGTGGCGCTCAGCGGGTCGGGACCCAGAGCTGCTGAAGACTTGGGGGCCAGGACTGGAGTTAGCACCCCTGGGTTTTTGTGGTTTTTTTTTTTTTGCTAAATGACCTGCGCACGGCAGAACTGACCCTCACGGGTGAAACCACGCAAGCACGATTAGAGAACCACGCAAGCACGGAACTGACCCTCCCTGGTGAAACCACACGAGCATGATTAGAAAACCCCTCGGCTCTGGCGCGGCTTCCATGCTGCCCTCCCAGCTGCAGGAGGTGGTTGGGGTTCTGCCTCTCCATTCTGGCTCCTCGGGCAAGGACCAGATCAGTACTGTAATTGCCGTTTCACTCTATGTCTTACAGACTCGGTGGGCTTGGGTGATTTCAGAATTTGAGATCAGGAGAATAAAGTGTCCTGGGAGTCTGTTCAGGTTCTGCTGCGCAGCCTTCATACCCGCCGCCAGGACGGGTGGGACTCTCATACCCACGGCCGGGACGGGTGGGACTCTCATACCCACGGCCGGGACGGGTGGGACTCTCATACCCACGGCCGGGACGGGTGGGACTCTCATACCCACGGCCGGGACGGGTGGGACTCTCATACCCACGGCCGGGACGGGTGGGACTCTCATACCCACGGCCGGGACGGGTGGGACTCTCATACCCACGGCCGGGACGGGTGGGACTCTCATACCCACGGCCGGGACGGGTGGGACTCTCATACCCACGGCCGGGACGGGTGGGACTCTCATACCCACGGCCGGGACGGGTGGGACTCTCATACCCACGGCCGGGACGGGTGGGACTCTCATACCCACGGCCGGGACGGGTGGGACTCTCATACCCACGGCCGGGACGGGTGGGACTCTCATACCCACGGCCGGGACGGGTGGGACTCGGCGCTTGCTCCCTGCCTGCACCACGCCTGCCGTTTGCGGATCGCTGTGGACGTGTGGCCGCGATAGCAGCCTGACTGCTGGGGGCCGTGTGTGCCCCTCAAAAGGGTGGGGCGGTGGGGTCTTTTCAGCTTCCTGTCCAGCTGGGTTTTTGTGACTCTTGGACTTTGGGGACCTCACTTCTTCCTTAAAGACCAGGGACTTCCAGTTTTATTTCATTCCTGTTTATGGGGTATTCAGTGAGATGTGAATGTTTTGAAATTTTTCACATGAAATTTTTGCTTGTAACGAAGTAAATGTGGTTTGAGTTTTTTATTTTTGCATGTTGAACATGTAGGTTTCATCATGATTCTTTCCCATGCGTGGCAATGCGTTTCGTACAGAAGCTGGAGGTCACTCTGCTCTTTCCTGTCAGTGCTCTAGCTGGTGGTACGTCTTGCTAATTTCGCATGGCCAAGCTGTTCCACAGAATCTTAATGTCAGTTGAACTTGAAAATGAGTTTTAACATAAGGGGGAAGGTTGTGTTTTTTACTTGTCTACCAAGAGTGATTCATTCTTCTCTCAAGTCAACAAACATCAGATGCCTGTTCTATATGCAGCCGCCTGCCGGGCACTTTCACTCCTTAAAATAAATCCTCAAAATAAAAAACCAAACAAGTCATCTTCAGAATGTTTAAGGATCTCACAGACACATCGTCCCAACACCAGTTCCAGGTACCGAAAAGAACAGGCGCCCAGGTGAGGTGAGGTCTCCTGCACAGGTTGGGTGAGGTCCCCCGTGCGGTTGATCTGTCCCTGAGTCCCTGAGGTCCCCCGTGCGGTTGATCTGTCCCTGAGTCCCTGAGGTCCCCCGTACGGTTGATCTGTCCCTTAGCCCATGGTTGGGTGAGGTCCCCGTGTGGTTGATCTGTCCCTGAGTCCCCGAGGTCCCCTTGCGGTTGATCTGTCCCTGAGCCCGTGGTTGGGTGAGGTCCCCGTGCGGTTGATCTGTCCCTGAGTCCCTGAGGTCCCCCGTGTGGTTGATCTGTCCCTGAGCCTGTGGTTGGGTGAGGTCCCCCGTGCGGTTGATCTCTCCCTGAGCCTATCCTTTTATGCTTTTGGTGGCCGGAGGTGAATCATCACTCACAAAGGCAACTTTAAAATATACCATAGCCTCTTTCTTCAGATCATTCCTAGAGTTCGCGGAGAAGTGAAAACGACATTGAGTTAACTGCCAAGAAACATAGCACAGCATGGTGGGAGCTGTTATGTTACTGGCAAGAAGATGAGCTGGTCGTTCCCATGATCTGTTGACAGAGACAACAGCTGATGATGGCTCCCTAAGTACTTGGAGATTTTAGTCCTGGTGCCCCCGTTTCCTGTCCCATCTGGTGCAGTGATAAACAGGAAAGGAAAACAGCACCACGTTTTAAAGGCTTAGTTTCCTGACACGAGTACCCAGATCCCAACACTCAGCTCTTCTCCACAGGGGTGTGTGGTCAGCCTGCGTGGGAGACACAGGGCGGCAGGCAGGGTCCTTCTGAGGTTCACCTCCTCTTGTCCGTTTGGGAGGGTTGCGTGAGCTCCCACTCTTAGACAACAGGGAATAGTGCTCCACCAGAAACACTCACACATCAAAGTTGTTTTTAATCTTGGATAATTAACTAAGAAAGATAATCTTTAGGAGAGAGAGGAGCAGAAAAACTATTCAAAGACATAATGACTGAAAACTCCCCAAATGTAATGGAAAACATTAATTTATACATCCCAGAAGCACAACAAACTCCAAATAGGATGAACACAAAGATCTTTACCTAGGCACATCCCAGTGGAAGAGGAAATGCCGGGAGCAGGGCTGGGGGCCCAGAGGAAGCATGAGGCGTCGTGGGAGAGAGGCCTGGGGGCAGCAGAGGAGGCATGAGGTGGAGGCCTGGGGGCAGCAGAGGAGGCATGAGGTGGAGGCCTGGGGGCAGCAGAGGAAGCATGAAGCATGAGAGAGAGAGAGAGAGAGAGAGAGAGGCCTGGCACCAGAGGAAGCGTGAGGGGTTGGTGGAGAGAGGCCTGAGGGCAGCAGAGGAGGTGTGAGGTGTCCACGAGAGAGAGGCCTGAGGGCAGCAGAGGAGGCATGAGGCGTCCATGGGAGAGAGGCCTGAGGGTGGGAGAACCCATCACACCACAGCCGCTTCTCCTCAGAGATGGCACCACCACACCCAGGCCCCTGTATCCAGCAAAACAACCTTTCAAAAACAAAGGCAGGGTTTTCCCAGACAAAGTGGGAATTCACTAGCAGACGCACCTTACAAGAAGTTCTAAAGGAAGCTCTTCAGGCTGAAAGCAGGTGACTTAGATGAAATCTGAATCCACACAAACAAGCAAGCACGAGGAATGCAGATTATGTAACTCTGTAAGGTAGCGTGTTGCTTCTCCTTTATTCTCTTGATTTAAAAAGCAGTATAGTTTTATAGTATAAGACTCTATGCCTGGACATGTGGTGGCTGTGGCTCACGCCTGTAATCCTAGCACTTTAGGATGCCGAGGTGGGCAGATGACTTGAGGTCAGGAGTTCAAGACCAACCTGGCCAACATGGTGAAACCCTGTCTCTACTGAAAATACAAAAATTAGCTGGGCATGGTGGTGCACGCCTGTAATTTCAGCTACTCAGGAGGCTGAGGCACAAGAATCACTAGAACCCAGAGGGGAGGTTGCAGTGAGCCAAGATCATGCCACTGCACTCCCGCCTGGGCCACAGAGCAAGACCCTGTCACAAAACGAAATAAAACAACTCTTTGTACCTAATTGTATTGTTGGGCCCATACCATGTGGAGATGTAACATTTGCCAGTAGCCGCGCCGAGGAGGGGCCTAGGATTAAATGACAGCAGATGGTGACTGGAATTTACAGCAAGAGCTGAAGAGACCCAGGAGTGCTGAACAAGAAGGTTGGTCTCACCGTGCTCCGAGTGTGCACCTGTTCCCTGTCCTGCTGTAAATAATTACAACGATGCATTGTTGGGTTTGTAGCATGCATGGATGTGGTATCGTACAGTGAAGCAAGGCCGAGCACGGTGGCTCATGCTTGTAATCCCAGCACTCTAGGAAGCTGAGGCGGGCGGATTGCCTGAGTTCAGGAGTTCGAGAACAGCCTGGGCAACATGGTGAAACCCCATCTCTACTAAAATACAAAAAATTAGCTGGACATGGCAGCATGCGCCTGTAGTCCCAGCTACTCAGGAGGCTGAGGCAGGAGAATTGCTTGAACCCAGGAGGTGGAGGTTGCGGTGAGCCGAGATCGTGCCACTACACTCCACCCTGGACAACGGAGTGAGACTCCGTCTCCAAAAAAAAAAAAAAAAAACAGTGAAGCACAAAGTGAGGAGTCTGAGTGTGCACCTGCTCTCACTCCTGCTGTAAATAATTACAACGATGCATTGTTGGGTTCATGGCGTGCATGGATGTGGTATTGTACAGTGAAGCACAAAGTGAGGAGGGGCTGAGCTGTGCAGCAGCCATGTCTCCGTATCGAATTGGAATTAGGCCAGCATGAGTCCAAAATTGATTCTGATCAAGCGAGATATACGTATGCTAAACCCAAGAGCAGAAGCTAAGGAAGTAACTCAAAATACATCGTGAAACAGATCATACAAGTGTGAAAGGAGGATAAACCTTGGGCCCCACCATCATGAAACTGAAGGGAAAAGTCACACTGGGAACTGCTCAGGGCCAGCCTGCCTCCCGTTCTATCCAACCTCCCGCCCATTCTATCCAAAGCCACCCTCCGCTCACTGAGACAGATGCAGCTCAGGGCAAACCCGCCACCCATTCTATCCAAAGCCACCTTCTGCTCACTGAGACAGGTGCAGATCTGATGGCCTCCTTTGGAGAGGCTGATCAGAAACTCAGGAGGATGCAGCCATTTGTCTCTTGTCTACCTGTGACCTGGAAGTCCCTCCCTGGTTCCAGCTGTCCCACCTTTCCAGAGTGAACCAGTGTTCATCTTACATATGTTCTTTCATGTCTCATGTCTCCCTAAAATGTGTAAAACAGAGCCGTGCCCCGACCACCTCAGGCACATGTCAGGCCCTCCTGAGGCCGTGTCACAGGCAGGTGACCCCAACCTTGGCAAAATAAACTTTTTAAGTTAAGTGAGACCTGACACAGATACTTGGAGTTCACAAAAGGAACCAAAATGTTACATTAGACAGTATTCACTTAATGCAAAAGAAAACAGAAAAGGGAAGACAGGAACTAAAACTACATGAGGCATGAGAAACAAAGCAGAGTGGCGGTGTGAACGTGAGGGGATTCAGAGCTTTAACTATGAGTGGATGGACAACTGGGTCAGAGGCCATCACCGTAGGAAAGCTGGAGTGTTCCGCTAATATCAGAGAAGACTGAATTTAAACAAAGAATGCTTCTACAGGTAAAGAAGGACGCTTTATAATGATAACGGATGGAATTACGATGCTAAGAGCTGGATCCATCGGGAAGAGTGACAGTTGCTAGCACATGTGCACCGGAAGTGAGAACCAACTCACCAGTGGCAGAAACTGACAAGCAAAGGGAGAGGCGGCCATGGCGAGACCTTGGAGGTTCCCCCGCCACTCAGTCATGGGGGGCGTCGTGGGAGGATGCTGCCCCTGGAGGGGCCACAGACCAGTCCTGAAGCTCTTACAGGAACGCAGGAGACCCTGGAGGGTCTTGAGGAAGAGCAGGCCAGAGGACGCACATCGTGCTTCAGAGTAACGGAGGCTGGTGTGATGACAGTGTGCTGGGCCGTGGAGCAGGAGTGTCCATCCCAGAACAGCCCCATGTCCATGGCCAGCTGGCTCTCAGCAGGGGTACCAGGCCACTCCATGGGAAAGACTTGTGGGTCCTGAGAGTGGGGTGGGGAATCAGAAGGTGCTCCTGGGATTAGGAGGTGTCCCCACGACATGTAAGTTCATGTGAGTTTCAGGCTTTTCCAAAGCAGTTGTAATGACTGTGGCATGGATAATTTTTGTGGGGAAGATGAGTGGTCAGCACACATACGTGTTTGACTGGATTGTGCGTCCCTCCCATGCGCGTTCTGTCCCTGCGTCCCTCCCGTGCGCGTTCTGTCCCTGCGTCCCTCCCGTGCGCGTTCTGTCCCTGCGTCCCTCCCGTGCGCGTTCTGTGCCCGCGTCCCTCCCGTGCGCGTTCTGTGCCCGCGTCCCTCCCGTGCGCGTTCTGTCCCCGCGTCCCTCCCGTGCGCGTTCTGTCCCCGCGTCCCTCCCGTGCGCGTTCTGTCCCCGCGTCCCTCCCGTGCGCGTTCTGTCCCCGCGTCCCTCCCGTGCGCGTTCTGTCCCCGCGTCCCTCCCGTGCGGGTTCTGTCCCCGCGTCCCTCCCGTGCGCGTTCTGTCCCCGCGTCCCTCCCGTGCGCGTTCTGTGCCCGCGTCCCTCCCGTGCGCGTTCTGTGCCCGCGTCCCTCCCGTGCGCGTTCTGTGCCCGCGTCCCTCCCGTGCGCGTTCTGTGCCCGCGTCCCTCCCGTGCGCGTTCTGTGCCCGCGTCCCTCCCGTGCGCGTTCTGTGCCCGCGTCCCTCCCGTGCGCGTTCTGTCCCCGCGTCCCTCCCGTGCGCGTTCTGTCCCCGCGTCCCTCCCGTGCGCGTTCTGTCCCCGCGTCCCTCCCGTGCGCGTTCTGTCCCCGCGTCCCTCCCGTGCGGGTTCTGTCCCCGCGTCCCTCCCGTGCGCGTTCTGTCCCCGCGTCCCTCCCGTGCGCGTTCTGTGCCCGCGTCCCTCCCGTGCGCGTTCTGTGCCCGCGTCCCTCCCGTGCGCGTTCTGTGCCCGCGTCCCTCCCGTGCGCGTTCTGTGCCCGCGTCCCTCCCGTGCGCGTTCTGTGCCCGCGTCCCTCCCGTGCGCGTTCTGTGCCCGCGTCCCTCCCGTGCGCGTTCTGTCCCCGCGTCCCTCCCGTGCGCGTTCTGTCCCCGCGTCCCTCCCGTGCGCGTTCTGTCCCCGCGTCCCTCCCGTGCGCGTTCTGTCCCCGCGTCCCTCCCGTGCGGGTTCTGTCCCCGCGTCCCTCCCGTGCGCGTTCTGACCCCGCGTCCCTCCCGTGCGCGTTCTGTGCCCGCGTCCCTCCCGTGCGCGTTCTGTCCCTGCGTCCCTCCCGTGCGCGTTCTGTCCCCGCGTCCCTCCCGTGCGCGTTCTGACCCTGCGTCCCTCCCATGCGCGTTCTGTCCGTGCGTCCCTCCCATGCGTGTTCTGACTCTGCGGTCTCTTCAGGGTTTGCCACTCGAGGGTGTCGGAGGTGGAGGTTGTGTTCGTTCTCCCTTCACATAGCACGCGGAGTTTTGGTTTGTGAAAGTTTGCTTTTTCGTGTTTTCATAGCTACACAAACTGCATCTCTTGGAAAAGTGAGAGCGTTTTGACAACTGCTGTCACTGTGAACAGGTCAGGAGGCCCTGCCTTGCCCACCCCATACTTAGGGGCTTAAGAAACAAGGTCTCACTCTGTTGCCTGGGCTGGAGTGCAGTGGCACGATCATGGCTCACTGGAAGCTTGAACTCCTGGGCTCAAGGGATCGTCCCGCCTCAACCTTCCAAGTAGGTAGGACCACAGGTGCGCACCACCATGCCTGGCTAATGTTTTTAAAATTTTTTTGTAGAGATGGGGACTTCCTTTGTTGCCCATTGAGACCAGCCTGGCCTCAAACTCCTGGCCTCCAGCGATCCTCCCGCCTCAGCCTCCCAAAGTGCTGGACCTACAGGTGTGAACACCGTGCCCACTGTGCCTACCGTGCCTAGGGGTGTTAAAGTGGTCCTTGGTGCACAGGGCTAAAGGCTCCTGGTCGCGTGACTTGACCGTGTGCTGCCAGCCACTCTGGTGCCTGCAGTTTAGAATTTGGGTACAAAGCTGCTGAATCAAATAGTGTTTTTTAATGATTGCCCAATTTTAAATGAGAGACATTAATTTTTTTCCAGTCCTTTCATACCAATACACGAAGCAGCAATTCTTACCCTAAAATAGGTCACTGAACTTCCCACTTTAAAGAGCCCCGGCCTGGCAGCAGGCTCTCGGAGGGGAGGGTCAGGTGTGGTGAGCGCCCGGCCAGCTCCCTGCTGGGAAGGGCCCCTGCCCCTCTTCCACCTGTAACACACACAGGTTCATTCTAATGCCATGAGATTGCTGAGGAGAGCATGACAATGTTCACACCCAGAGCTGTGGCATCCCCGCTGGGGCCCTGCGGGAACTGGGACTCAGGTGCAGACGCCACGGAGGGAGGGCACCGCTGGCTCTCCCTGGGCCCGGGCCCACTCTCAGCAGCAGACCAGCTCTTGCCGCCTGCTTTCCTTGGCAGAGCCCAGCCCTGTGTTGTAGGTGGTTGGACTGTTGGGTCCCGCTGACGTCATCTGGTGGGTTCCTTCCAGGTCCCCGCGGAGCCCCCCACGCTTGTGTGAGGCTTCACCTGCTTTGGGCAGCCCCAACGCCGCTCTCACGCCACGTTCCACTCCAGGGTGCACTGGGGAAATTATCCGCCATGCGCAGCGCCTCCTGCAGGTGTCCGGTGCGTGCAGACCTGGCCACGCCGGCACGGGTTTTTTAGTGACGTGGCGGCCTCACGGTGAGCAGCACTGGTCTTCCCTTTTGTTCCCGCGGCCACGCTGGCAGTGGCCACGGGAACCCTGTGCCTGTGGATTGTTCCATCCCCTTTGGATTAGATGCTGGTGTGACACAATTGTGCATTTGCCGCACTGACGGATATCTTTCCGGTGCCAAATCGTGTGCACTGTGACAGCCCAGTGTGTTTGGAAAACTGAAATATGGGGGTGGGGTATACATATATATTATTCTGTTTGTATTCTTGCCTTATTCAATGTTGAATTTGAGATAAATGTTAAAGCTGTAAATTTTCCCCAAATTCTATCTGTTAACATTTCTCTATGGAGCTGTGCAGCTGGTTGTATGAACAAAATACAAATATTGCATGTTATGCTGAGGAAGTGAAGCTAGTATCAGTTGCGGACATTTACTAACCATAGTCTGCAGCTGTGTCTAATGTTCGAGGTAATTTTTAATGACTAAAGTCCATTCATCTCGTATTTTTAAATCCCATGCTCCAAACATCGTTTAACTAAGAGCAAAGGTTTTGTGCCACCTTAGTGAGGCGCTCCCTGTACTTCATCACGGAGCGAGACCGAGGGTGCAGCATTCGCAGCACCAGGAGGGACCGCGCAGGGCCTGGGGGGACCCATGGAGGGAGGGCCGCCCCAGCCCGGGCTCTGTGACCCCTCAGGGTGGAAGCCGTTGACCTGGTCCCAGACACTCAGCCTCATGGAAGCCCTGACCCTGTCTCCCGAGTCAGCTACGTTTTTCCAAAGTGCGTGGAGGACGTTTCTCAGCATTCTTACCAGCATCGTGAGGTCCAGGCCCCTGCTGTGAGATGGGGATGGTGGCGCCTGCCCGCAGGTTTCTTGTGAAAATCTAAGGAAGAAGCACTTAGCACAGCCCCAGACCACAGCGTCCCCAGCTGTGGATCCACAAGAAACTGTTCCCAGCGAATGCCATGAGCGCCTGCGGCCGCCTCATCTCACACAACAGCGACAGAGTCATGATCAGAGGCCTTTAGAGTCATCATTATCATGTCTGTGTGTGAGCCGTGACTGCCTGGGAGCCGTGTCTGCCTGGGAGCCGTGACTGCACATGAGCCGTGTCTGTGTGTGAGCCGTTCTGTGTGTTTGCCGTGTCTGTGTGTTTGCCGTGTCTGTGTGTGAGCCGTGTCTGTGTGTGAGCCGTGTTGGTGCATGTGCACAGGGCTCTCCAGCGGGAGCTGAGGTGGTCCCTTCCGTGGGCTCGGTTCAGGTCCTGTGGCACCCTGCCAAGTTATGCTGGCGTTTCTGAAGGTGTGTCCTGCTGTCAACAGCACTCTGGGTGTTTTTGTCGGCCTTGTGAGGGGAACATATTTCTAAACCTCAAACAGAGAGTCACAGCTGGCATTTCCCATTCTTTGCCATCCTCTTGCTGCCATTAGAACTCTGCCACGGATGGCTTCCTCGCTTGATTTTAGAAAGAAAAGAATTGTTGGAACTGGTTCTTGCACCTCTCGCCCTCCCCCTCCTCTCCCTGCTTGCCCCAGGGTCCCGCCTGGCTCTCGTCTGCCCCGTCTTCACTTTCGGTCGGGGCCCCTGCCCCTGCCCCTGCTCTGCTCAGTGCCCCTGATACGTCCAACCCAGCGTCGCTGTGAGGGAGTCAACCACACCTGCCAGCACCCCCGAGTCTGGCCCCACTAGGAGGGGCCAGGGCTCCCTTGAGCAAGGCATCAGCACACAGGCAGGGAGCCGGGCACCAGACTGTGAGGGTCGCGCCCCGTGCACACGAGATCCAGGCCCGCCCCCTCCTGGACTTGGTGACCGTCCCGAGCTCGACCTGAGAGGGCACTTCGGCTCTCCTGTTCACAGTCATGACTGCCCCCTCCCCGAGGTCAGCGCCATGCACTGCTCTGGGGGCCTGAAACACCGCCTCTGTTCGCAAGGGTCTCCTGTCCCGTCCACCTGCCAGTGGGTTGAGCTCTTCCAGGGGTTCGGGACACCCCTCACGGCAGCACCTTCACGTTTACGAGAACTGTCTCTGTCTTGTTTTGTTTCAAGTTCTCAAAACGGAGTGAGGTGGAGGAAGCCTAATGGGAGGATGGGAGCCGGGTTTTCCCGGAACAGCCGTCAGCGTGTATGCGGAGGAAAAGAGATGACTGATGAATTTGTTAATTGCCAAAAGCTTGTTGCTGTAGCAACCGGAGGCCAGACTCGTGGCCCTGACAGCGTCGTTAGTGTCAGCAGAGACTGGAAATAAAGGAAACTCGTGTATGATACGCCTGGCGTCCTCAAAGCAAACAGCAGGCGGTGCCCAGCCCAACACAGGCACGGGCACAAGATCTGCAGATGAGGCATGGAGGGGAAGCGGGCGGTGCCCAGCCCAACACAGGCACGGGCACAAGATCTGCAGACGAGGTGTGCAGAGGGGAAGCAGGTGCACAGAAAAGGTGCGCGGAGATTTTTTTTTTTTAAGACAGGGTCTTGCTCTGTCGCCCAGGCTGGAGTGCAGTGTTGCGGTCATGGCCCAGGCTCACTGCAGCCTCCATTTCCTGGGCTCAGAGGATCCTTTTTCCTCAGCCTCCCAAATAGCTGGGACTCCAGGCATGCACCGACACTCCCAGCTAATTTGCAACCCCTCACTCTCATGTAGCAATTAAAAGTAAGCCTTTATTTCTCAGTAGAAAATATTCATTCCAGTTGACATAAAAATAAATTCGTTTAAAACTTGGACGGCAGGTATTAGGGCGTGCACTTCCCGCTACTCTGCCTTTTTTTTTCCCCCCCGAGACAGAGTCTCGCTCTGTCACCCAGGCTGGAGTGCAGTGGCGTGATCTCAGCTCACTGCAACTTCCGCCTCCCGGGTTCAAACAATTCTCGTGCCCCGGCTTCCCGAGTAGCTGGGACTACAGGTGCCCACCACCACACCTGGCTAATTTTTTGCTTTTTTTTTTTTTTTTTTTTTTTAATGTGGAGATGGGGTTTCACCATGTTGGTCAGGCTGGTCTTGAACTCCTGACCTCAGGTGATCCGCCTGACTTGGCCTCCCAAAGTGCTGGTATTACAGGTGTGAGCCGCCACGCCCTGCCTACTCCGCTTTTAAATGATGGGATGCATTGCTTTTTAAGAAAGGATCTCATGGATCCAGGGGTCCCAGTATGTGATGAAAGATGGCAGTTCCCATCTTACAGAGCGGGCTGGACTCAGAGGCAGGCCGGGGAGGGAGGGGCTGGGTACAGAGGGCAGGCTTGGGAGGGAGGGGCTGGGCACAGAGGACAGGCTGGGGAAGGAGGCACTGGGCGCCGAGGGCAGGTCAGGGAGGGAGGGAGGCTGGGCACACAGAGGGCAGGTCAGGGAGGGAGGGAGGCTGGGCACACAGAGGGCAGGCCAGGGAGGGAGGGGCTGGACTCAGAGGCAGGCCGGGGAGGGAGGGGCTGGGTACAGAGGGCAGGCTTGGGAGGGAGGGGCTGGGCACAGAAGACAGGCTAGGGAGGGAGGGGCTGGGCGCAGAGGACAGGCCGGGGAGGGAGGGAGGCTGGGCACACAGGGCAGGCCAGGGAAGGAGGGGCTGGGCACACAGAGGGCAGGCCAGGGAGGGAGGGGCTGGGCACAGAGGCAGGTCCAGGAGGGAAGGAGGGAGCGGGGGAGGGGCTGTCATCCTACGGCCCAGTGCCTGCCACCTGGACAGGACTTGGAGTTCTGGGGCCCTTGTGTTTCTCTCATGCGGTATTTCCTGGACCACGAACAGTTGGGTTCTCTGAACGAGCTTGTCGTGACTGATCGGCTGTGTGTGCCAGCCCACGGGGTTCTCTTGTCTTCTGTTGGTTCCATCTGATCAGCTGATTTTATTCCTTTTGTCTCTTATAAATGAACTGTGATTCTTCTAATACCAGCAAGAATGGTTTCAAGTTATTTCTGCGCTATAGTTTGTGTATATTAGCCTCGAGTGCATGTGTGTTACATGCGTGCTGTGTGTGCGTGCAGGTGTATCACATTACCGTGCTATAGTTTGTGTGTGAGCCTCGAGTGCATGTGTGTTATATGCCTGCTGTGTGTGTGTGTGGCTGTATCACACATAATGTGTCACATAGGTGTGTATGTTAGCTACATTGTATCTACGTTAGCTAAGAAAATATTCTTAGGGTACTCACATATGGTGACTGTCCCTAGTTTCTCTCAGTGACTTTTCGGGATTGTAACTGAAGGCTAGTATGGCTCAGTTGCCCCTAATCAGGGTAAAATCAAAACAGGCTGTGCACATTTAACCAGGCTTCCACCTCTAAGGTTGTAGCTGAGGTTCCTTGGCGCAGTGGGACGTCCCAGCACGGCACCAGGAGGGAGGGTGTCTGGCAGGACATCAGGTGGTTGGAATTTCAGGGCTCTGGGGATCTCCTGGGTGTGCCCCGATCAAGTCGGCTCACGTCACAGAAACCAGGTGCACCTGCAGCGGCTCCTAAGGAAAACCTAGTGGCACTGGCTGGTTATGCAGAGGCTCGTAAGGAAAGCCTAGTGGCACCGGCTGGTTATGCAGAGGCTCCTAAGGAAAGCCTAGTGGCACCGGCTGGTTATGCAGAGGCTCCTAAGGAAAGCCTAGTGGCACCGGCTGGTTATGCAGAGGCTCCTAAGGAAAGCCTAGTGGCACCCGCTGGTTATGCAGAGGCTCGTAAGGAAAGCCTAGTGGCACCGGCTGGTTATGCAGAGGCTCGTAAGGAAAGCCTAGTGGCACCCGCTGGTTATGCAGAGGCTCCTAAGGAAAGCCTAGTGGCACCGGCTGGTTATGCAGAGGCTCGTAAGGAAAGCCTAGTGGCACCGGCTGGTTATGCAGAGGCTCCTAAGGAAAGCCTAGTGGCACCGGCTGGTTATGCAGAGGCTCGTAAGGAAAGCCTAGTGGCACCGGCTGGTTATGCAGAGGCTCGTAAGGAAAGCCTAGTGGCACCGGCTGGTTATGCAGAGGCTCGTAAGGAAAGCCTAGTGGCACCGGCTGGTTATGCAGAGGCTCCTAAGGAAAGCCTAGTGGCACCCGCTGGTTATGCAGAGGCTCCTAAGGAAAGCCTAGTGGCACCGGCTGGTTATGCAGAGGCTCGTAAGGAAAGCCTAGTGGCACCGGCTGGTTATGCAGAGGCTCCTAAGGAAAGCCTAGTGGCACCGGCTGGTTATGCAGAGGCTCGTAAGGAAAGCCTAGTGGCACCGGCTGGTTATGCAGAGGCTCGTAAGGAAAGCCTAGTGGCACCGGCTGGTTATGCAGAGGCTCCTAAGGAAAGCCTAGTGGCACCGGCTGGTTATGCAGAGGCTCCTAAGGAAAGCCTAGTGGCACCGGCTGGTTATGCAGAGGCTCCTAAGGAAAGCCTAGTGGCACCGGCTGGTTATGCAGAGGCTCGTAAGGAAAGCCTAGTGGTACTGGCTGGTTATGCAGAGGCTCGTAAGGAAAGCCTAGTGGCACCGGCTGGTTATGCAGAGGGCTGGTGTTCTCTTTGTTTATTAAGAGTCATTTTAGCAGTGGCCTGAGGAAATGAGAATTTCCAGACCGTGGCCCACTTGATGAGCTGGGAGGTGCTTGTTCACATAACACTAATAGTTACTCTGACAGATGATCTTAACTTCCCTGTCCTGTTTTCCTGTTCTGATGTCTTCTGGCATCACAGGTGTTCATGAGCGGCCGGAACGTGCATTTGCAGCAGGTGAACACCTGCTTTGTCAGTGGTGTCCTGGTGTGTAACAGGGCTGGGGCCTCTTCTCCTGCGCTGGGGCTCTGCTGTCCACACGTGTGTGACGTGGCCCTGGGTCGGTGGCCTGTGTGTGTCCTTGACCAGAGAATTGTGCCGTCTTGTGTTAAAACCACGGAAGCCACTTCCCAAATGCAGACCAGGCGGTGACCCGGCGTTGTGCGTTTGCCACAAGCATCTCACACCATGTTTGCTTCTCTGCAGAGGCCACAAGAGGAAGCTGAATGAAGAGGACGCCGCCAGCGAGTCCAGCAGGGAGTCCAGCAACGAGGATGAGGGCAGCAGCTCCGAGGCCGACGAGATGGCCAAGGCGCTGGAGGCGGAGCTCAACGACCTCATGTGAGCGCGGGCAGCGGGCAGGGACTGAAGCCTGACCGACCTCCAGCAGCACTCGGACGTCCCCGGACCAGCCCTCAGTCTCGGTCCACGCTGCTTTCTTCCCAAAGGACATGTATATTTGCAGAGCTCCACATACAGAAACACATTATTTTGCAGAAATAGGTGTTTTTAAGAAGTTTTACTACAGGAATGTCTACTTTTGTAAGTGACAGGTGTTAAAGGCCCAGGTGTGCTGTGCCAAAGAGCTCAGCAGAGGCTCACGTGGCCCAGGCTGGTGCGCCCGCTGTCTCGGTAAGGGGCGGGTTGGTGTGTTTTCCCCTTGTGTACCAGAGCACATTCCTTAGGGGACGGCTTTGGGGGTCCCACGAGACATGGACTAGGAGTTTAAGCAGGACAGTGTGCGTGCACGAGCTCCGAGCCCAGCACAGACATGCCTGGAACCCCCGCCGCCTGCTGCTCCCTCCTAGGGAACCCATTTCCGGGGAACGCCGTGACTGTCGGGCAGCCTGGAGCTTCCTGCAGCCTCCTACGCAGGGTCCACGCCACGTGGCCTGGGCTGCCATCCTGCCGTCCTCCCACTGGCATCCTGGCAAGGGGGCGTTGCTTTTCCTGGGCGGCCTTTTATGTCTTGGAGACACCTGATGTAAAGTTTCTGTAAATCTATTTCATATCTGACCCACCAAACAGATTTCTCTTTAATAAAAATCCTTTTTGTAAGTTCTCTTCTCGTGGGTGTGTGGCAGCGGTGAGCACCCGCCTCCTCCCTCGCTGGGATCCAGCTCCTTAGCTGTGAAACAGAAACGAAAAAATTCCCACGGACAGGACCGTGTGGAACGGCAGAAATGGAAACCGCAGAACTGCGAGCGTGATGATCTCAGGGTTTCGCCTCTGAGCATAAGAACCAGGCTTGTAGCTGGTATTTTAAAACGGTTAAGTGTGAAGAATTACTCTCTTGCATTATTTTCATCCTTCCCTTTTGTTTGTTTGGGATGCGGGGGCCCGAGAGCTACAGGTAGGTGCTGGGCTATGGCCGCCGCCAGGACCCCTCCCGGCCAGCAGCCTCGGCTCACGTCCCCTCCTCCTCCCAGCATCAGTCCCGCAGCGTGGCGGTGGGAGGCTGCACCTCGAGGCCACGGCCCTTCTCCAAAAGCACACACTCCTGCTTTCCGACGGCACCCTCCCCTGACCACAGCTCGGGAGGTGGCACGTGTGAGAACTCTCCATCCACAGGATGTGGCTCTCGCGGGACCTCCAGGCTCAGGCTGTCTCCGCTGGGTGTGGGACCTTTCCTGTGGGGTTTTCGATGGAGGTTGGCTGGGGAGGGAGGCATCCTCAGTGGGTAGAGGACCCCAGGGTCCTGGTGCTGCTGTCGTCAAGATGCGGCGACATGGTGGCAGAGGAAAGGCACCGTTACCCAGCAGCACGCCAGCCCCGGGTGACTGTTTCCTGTACTAACTAGGTTATTTGCAGCGCCGAGTGAAGAGGCAGCTTCACCACCCAACCCACCTGTGGGTTCTCCGGGGTCTGCAGTCTGAGGAGGCTGCAGGATGACCAGACGCCGGTCAGGGAGTTCCTCCTGTCCAGAGAAGCAGGAGGTGAACTGGGCCCACCTCAGGTCCGATTTCGCCACGAGCAAGAATGTAAGATGAATTGGACAGAAAACAAAAATAGATGTACAAGTTGATACCCAAAGAAAGCAGAAGATTCTACAGTTTATAGGGAGGGGCACAAAACGTGCAGGGAGTAATGTGCCGGGGGGTGGGGGCAGGGGCCGATGAACGAGGCCTTGATGCTGTGTGGAGACCTCTGGGAAAGGCTGGGAGACCTTCCCTCCTTCCACAGTGGTTTCTCCCTGAAGGCGATTCTGCGTGTGGTTGGTCCTGCTGGGACCAAGGTGGCCCCTTGTTCTGCTCTTGGCCGAGTCCCCTCTGGCTTCATGGGGGTGTTAATGAGGCTCTGCAAGGCCTCCTTAAACACAGTGTGGAAATACAGGTGGTGCTGCAGGGGCAGCGAGAACGGGGACCTCTGCTGCTGGGTCTGGCCTAGGGGTGAAGAGGACGGGAGGAGGGTGGCGTGGTAGCTGGCTGCGCGGGGCCTGGTGACGGGAGGGGCCGGACCGCATGCAGCATTCAGGACCAGCGTGGCCCTGGGTGTTCGCCTGTTCTGACCGTGTGGTCGAGTGAACAGAGCATGCAGGGGAGATGCAGCAGGTTCTCCCCGACGCGGAAGAGCAAGGGGTCCCCGGTTCCTGGAGGAGCAGCGGGATTGCCCCAGGCTCTGGGATCGCCCACGGGGGCAGCGGGCCAGCACCCCCAGCCGCATCTCTGCACAGCCGTGCTGCACACCTTCTCCGTCACGTGTTGGAGGTGGGTCTCAGCACCAGCACATCCACATTGATAGCTTAAAATGGGACTTTTCTCCCGCCTGTCTCACTGTTGGCCCGCCCCCATGCAGCGGTGGGGACCCCACTGCAGGGACTCCAAGAGCCCCATCCTGTCCTCGGCTCCAGCCTCCATCAGCACCAGCCGTGTCCTTGCAGCCCTGACTGGAGCAACTCCCAAACTCTGCTGCCCGGCAGGTCTTCTGACCCTGCCCGCGGTGATGGCACCCTCTGGAAGGCTGGCCCAGGACGGCACCTCCATGCTGGCAGCCCCTGAGTGTAGTGTGTGTTCTACACAAAAGAGCCAGGAAGTCATCTGTGATCATTGTTTAAGGGACTGTGATTAACGTTTATGAAATGTTCTGTGCTATGCGAAGAAACCACTGAATGTTAGGGAAAATATTAAATACTGAATAATTATACAACTGTTCCAAATAAAGTCTTAAGAAGAAACTTGAACTTGCTTCCCTTAGTATAAATTTCATGTCAGGTTTTAAGCTTAAACTGGCTGTAAGGAAATTTGTGATTTAAAATTTGAAGAGGTGACTCCTTAAATTTCGAGATAGTCGTTGCATAAATAGATGATAAATTTTAGACCATTCAAAAATCTGTAACAGTTAAATTTAATGAAATTTCCTTCCTTTTCTCTTTTGAGAAATGGAAAGTTGAAATTTTGTATAACAGCATGCACAGATTTCATATCTGATCAGTTTTTCATATTAAGTTTTCAAAACAACCATGAAGCTCTAATCTGCACGTGCGCTTGCTGTGAGACGGTGCCTGGCAGACGTGGAGATCGGGAGGTAGTGGTTCTCCACCTGGTGCCCACCCAGTGATCACTTTTAGCGCCAGACATGCCATAGGTTTTGACAAATGTCTGATGGTGTATCCACCACTGTGGTGTCGCACAGAATCGTGTCCCCGTGTATCCACCACCGTGGTGTGGCACATAATCGTGTTATATGACTGGAATTAGTATGTAGCCTTTTCAGATTGGCATCTTCCACCCAGTAATATGCATTTAAGTTTCCTCCATGTCTTTTCATGACTTGAGAGCTCATTTCTTTTTACCACGGAATCACACAATTCATTTATCCATTCACCTACTGGAAGATAATCTTGGTTGTCTCCAAGTTTGGGCAGTGATGAACAAAGCTGCTCTAAATATCCATATACATGTTTTTGCCAGGACATAACTTCTTAATCCCTTAGGGTAATGCCAAGGCATGTGACTGCCGGATCCTACGGTCACAGTGCATTTAGAAACTCAGATTGTCTCCCAAAGCAGCTGTGCCATTTTGCATTCCCACCCACAGTGAATGAGAGTTCCTGTTGCTCTATGTCCTCACTGGCGTTCGACGCAACGCAGAGCATCTTTTCATGTGATTATTTGCCATCTCTGTATTCATATCTTCTTTGACGAGGTTTTAAAATCTTTAGCCCATTTTGAAATCAGTTCGTTTCTAATTGTTGACTTTCTCTGTTGTTTTTTTTTGTTTGTTTGTTTTTTGAGAGGCTGAGTTTCACCATATTGCCCAGGCTGGTCTCAAACTCCTGAGCTCAAACAATCTGCTCGCCTCAGCCTCCCAAGGTGCTGAGATTGCAGGCATGAGCCACCACGCCCGGCGAGTTTTGATTTCTGTTAGGAAAGAGTTTTGTATGCATTCTGGAGAACAATCCTTTCTCACACATGTCTCTTGCAAGTCCTGTCTCCTAGTCTGCCTTGTCTTCTAATTCTCTTGACAGTGTCTTTGAGAGGGCAGAATTTTTTCATTTTCATGAAGTTCAGCTCATCAGTTACTTCTGTCATAGACTGTGCCTTTGCTGTTGTGTGAAAAGGTTCACCATCATACCTAGATCATGTAGGTATTCCCTAGGGGTTTCATAGTTTTGCATTTTATAGTTAGGTCTCTGATCTATTTTCAGCCAATTTTTGTGAAAGGTGTAATGTGTGTGTCAACATTCATTTCTTTGCTTATGGACATCCAGTTGTTCCAGAACCATTTGTTAAAAAGACTCTTTTCTCCACTGTATTCCCTTTGCTCACTTGTGAAAGATCAGCCGACTGTATCTTTGTGGGTCTGTTTCATCAATCCATTTGTCTTTCTTTCACCAGTACCTCAGTGTCTTAATTACTGTCGCTTTAGTTAAGTCTTGAGGTCGGGTACTGTCCATCCTCCAGCTTCTTTCTTCTCCTTCAGTATTTTGTTGGGTATTCGGGGTCATTGCCTCTCCATATAAACTTTAAAGTCAGTTTGTCAGTATCCACAAGATAACTTGCTAGGATTTTGATTAGGATTGCATTGAATGTGTAGATCAAATTGGGAAGAACTGACACCTTGAAAGACTTGATTCTTCCTATCCATGTACATAGAATATCTCTCTGTTTCATTCTTCCTTGACTTTGTTGATCAGAATTTTGTAGTTTTCCTGATAGAGATCTTATCTATATATAGTTAGATTTATACAAAAGTATTTTATTTGGCACAGGTAATGTAAGTGATACTATGTTTTTAATTCCAAATTCCACTTGTTCATTGCTGGTATATAGGAAAGCAGTTGACTTTGTGTATTAACCTTGCATGCTGAAAACTTGCTGTAGTTCCAGGAGGCACTTGGTCGGGGCAGTCCAATTCTTTTGGATTTTCTACACAGACAATTATGTCATCTGCAAAGAGTTTTATTTCTTCGCTCCCAATCAGTATACTTTTTATTTCCTTTTCTTACTGCATTAGTTGAGACTTCCAGTATGATGTTGAAAAGGAGTGGTGAGAGGATGTCCTTGCCTTGTTCCTGATCTTAATGGGAAAGCTTTGCATTTCTCACCATTATTATAGATTTTCTGTGTCAAGTTGAAGTTCCCCTTTATTCCTAGTTTGCTGAGTTTTATCATGAATAAGTATTGAATTTTTGTCAGATGCTTTTTCTGCATCTGTTGATACGCTCACGTAATTTTTTTGTTGTTGCTGTGATGGGTTACATTGATTTTCAAATCCCAGTAGTCTGGGGTAAATCCCAATAGTCTTGCTGTAGAATTCTTTTTATGCATTGTAGCTTTCAGTTGGATAAGATTTGGTTGACGATTTTGCATCTGTGTTCATGAGAGATATTGGTCTATAGTTTTCTTATTTTCATCTGGTTTGTGTAATAGAGTGATGCTGGTCTCATAGAATGAGCTTGGAAGTATTCCCTCTGCTTCTGTCTTCTGAAGGAGATGATAGAAATTTCATATAATTTCTTCCTTAAATATTTGGCAAAATTCACCAGTAAACTCATCTGGGCTTGATGCTTTCTGCTTTGGAAAGTTGTTTATTATTGATTCAATTTCTTCAATAGATATTGGCCTATTTAGACAAACTGGTTCTTATATGAGTTTCAGCAGATTGTGTCTTTGAAGGAATTGGTCCATTTCATCTGGGTTATCACATTTGTGGGCATAGAGTTGTTCATAGTATTCCCTTATTATCCTTTTAATGTCTATGGGATCTGTAGTGATGTCCCCTCTCATTTTTTGATATTAGCAGTTTGTGTCCTTTTTTTTTTTTTCTTACCCTGGCTAAAGAGATATCAATTTTCTTTCTTTTCAAAGAACTAGCTTCTGGCTTCCTTACTTTTCTGTATTGATTTCCTATTTTCAATTTCATTGTTTTCATCTCTAATTTTTTTTATCACTTCTACTTAGTGATTGTTGTTTTTTGAGATGGAATCTCACTCTGTCACCCAGGCTAGAGTGCAGTGGTGCAATCTTGGCTCACTGCACCCTCCACCTTCTGGGTTCAAGTGATTCTCCTGCCTCAGCCTCCTGAGTAGCTGGGACTACAGGCATGCACCACCACGCCCAGCTAATTTTTGTATTTTTAGTAGAGACGGGGTTTCACCACATTGGCCAGTCTGGTCTCAAACTCCTGACTTCAGGTGATCTGCCTGCCTTGGCCTCCTAAAGTGCTGGGGATTACAGGCGTGAGCCACCGCACCCAGCCTATTACTTCTACTTTGAATTTAATTTGTTATTCTTGTCTTATTCAGGTGGAAGCTTCAGTTATTGATTTTAGATCTTTTCTAATATATGCATTCAGTACTCTGAATTTCTCTGCAGTACTGCTTTTGCTGCATCCCACAAATTTTGGTAACTTGTGTTTTCATTTTCATTTACTTCAAAATATTTTTAAATTTCTCTTGGTATTACTTCTTTGTCCTGTATGTTATTTAGAAATGTGTTGTTTAATTGCTGCATGTTTTTGTGATTTTTCAGTTATCTTTCTATTACTGATTTTTGCTGTAATTTCACTGTGATCTGAGAGCAGACACTGCATGATTTCTCCTCTTTTAAGTTTGCTGAGGTGTGATTGATGGCCTGTCTGCATGAATGTTCCTGTGAGCCTGAGAAGAACGTTACTGTGCTGCTGGTGGATAACATTGTCTGTAGATGTTAATGATATCCAGTTGATTGATGGTAGTGTTGAGTTTGACCATATGCTTACTGATTTTATACCTACTGACCACCCTGTCTCCTCCCCTCCTTATAGCCCTTGCTGAATTTGGGGTTGTTTTGATTTTTGCCTTTTTGTTTTGTTTTTTTGGCTGACTGCACCATGACAGCAGGAATGCAGTCTGGTTGGTTGATGTAGCTTCTACTCTCAACACAGAACTGGCTCATAATATCTGTTCAACAAAAGTTTGTTGAATGAATAAATGCAGGTTCTCAATTCCCAGTATCTTGCAGGCATCCACCTAATGTGGCTCAGTCTCCAGGACTTTGTATTTTCCTTTGATCTACTTCCCATTCCACGCTGCCCACTGAGTTTGTTTTTTCTCTGCCTCCAATAACATTTTACTTGCTAAGATCACACTTGCCCAGTTCTGATTGCCTGTGCCAGTTAGGAAGGCAGTGGTGAGGAAGAGTGCACAGGTGCCTGCCTGTGGTTTGTGAAAATCCCTTTTAGATCCTGGCAGTGGGTTGTGGGCTTTGGTCTTGGTGTTACTCTTTTTTCCTTTGCCTGTGTCTTTGTAACTACTTTAGAGGGGAGATTGTGGAGGCTGTATCAGGAACTGTTAGCCAGAAGTCTTTTAAAAAATACTTACCATTTTTACTTTTTAATGGAAAATGGAGGCTGGATATCCCAAGAATCAGAGGTTATATAAAATATATGAAACGTGATTTTTAAAGAATGAAAATGAATAAAATAGGACAGTTAGGCAAGAAAAAGAAATAAAAGGCATTCATATTGGAAAGGAAGAAGTAAAACAATCTTCACAGGTGGCATTGTCTTGTATATTTAAAAAGCCTAAAGAACCTACTAAAAAACAATTAGATACAGTAAGTTCAGCAAGGGTACAGGATACAAGATCAGTATACAAAAATCAATTGTATTTCTATACACTAGCAGTGAACAACCCAGAAAAGAAAGGAAACAATTCCATCTGCATGCAAAAGAATGAAATTAGACCGTTACCTCACACCATATACAAAAACTAATTCAAAATGAATCAAAGACCTAAATGTAACAGCTAAAAACTCCTAGAGAAAAACAGACATAACTCTGTCTCTTGGGTCAGTCAAGGATTTCTCAGGTTTAACAACTAAAGCACAGGAACTAAAGAAAAAATAGATAACTTGGACTTTATGAAAATTACCAGCTGTTATGCTACAAAGAAAACTGTCGAGAAAATGAAAATACAAGAATTGGAAAAAATATTTGCAAATTATCTATCTGATAAGGGTCTAGTGTCTGCAGTATATAAAAACTCTTACAACTCAACAATAAAAAGACAATCAGATGTAAAAATGGGCAAGAGATCGAGACATTCCCAGAGAAGATGCCCAGACGTCCTGCAGGTGCATGAAAAGCTTCCCATTTCATTCCCACTTCTTTGGGCAGGAGGATGTGCAGTGAGGAGTCAAAGCAGATGAGTGTGGGGTTTCCTTCAGGGGTGGTGCAGGTGTTGTGGAATTAGGCTGTGGTAATGTTTACACAACTGAGAATATACTGAAATTCCACTGAATTGTACACATTAAAGGGGTGAACTCATGGTATGTGAATTAAAATAGTTTTTAAGAGTAAGTAAAACCCAGCCAGGCGCTGTGGCTCACACCTGTAATCCCAGCACTTTGGGAGGCCGAGGCGGGCGGATCACGAGGTCAGGAGATCGAGACCATCCTGGCTAACACGGTGAAACCCCGTCTCTACTAAAAATACAAAAAATTAGCCAGGTGCGGTGGTGGGCACCTGTAGTCCCAGCTACTCGGGAGGCTGAGGCAGGAGAATGGCATGAACCCGGGAGGCGGAGCTTGCAGTGAGCCGAGATAGCGCCACTGCAGTCTGGCCTGGACAAAAGAGCAAGACTCCGTCTCAAAAAAAAAAAAAAAAAAAAAAGTAAAACAACCACCTGTTAACCCAGCACCCTGTGTAAGAAACAGGATTCTCGGAGCCCTTCCTGTCTGGGTACTCTCCTCCCCCGCCATACCCTTAGACAAATCCTGAATTTCATATTAATCGCTGATTTTTTTTCTGCGTAATTTTACCACATGTATATTTATGCTTAAGACTGTATGTTTGGTTTTGCCCATTTTTGTACTCAATACGGTCTTCAGCTTACCATGGTTTGACAACAGTTTTTTGACTTTAGACTGGTTCCAAAGGGATACACATTCACTAGAATCTGTGCTCCAAGTATGCACACAGCCATTCTGCTTACCAGTTTCAGTTCAGTAGTCAGTACATCACGAGATATTCAGCACTTCATTATAACATAGGCTTTGTGTCAGACAAGTTTGCCCAACTGTCGGCTAACATAGGGTTCTGACACGTTTAATCTGGGCTGGGCTAAGCCATGATGTTTGGAGAGTTAGTTAAGTGTTCAAATGCATTTCCAACTTGGGACACTTGGGTTTATCAGGACAGGACCCCATGGTAAGTAGGGAGGGAACCTGTTCTTTCTGACTTCTCGTGTGCTTCAGGGTTTTGTCCGTGCACACAGCCGTGGTCCATCACTGCCCTCCGTGCTCAGCGATGTTTCTGTTCCACAGCTTGTCCTCCTTTTGCCGGACGTTTGTGTTGCTTATGGCTCTTTTTATGCAAATGCAGCTGCCTGAGCATTCTTTACCTATGTCCTGATCCATTCGTGAATGAGCCTCTGGGGTTAAATACCCACAAGTAGAGTTACTGGGACTGGGGGGCACCCCAGTGCAGTTTTCCTGGATAGTGTGGAATTAGTTTCTCAGTCATTGATGCTGGTTTGCACTCCCTCCCAGTCAGTGATGCTGCTTCACACTCCCAGTCAGTGATGCTGGTTCACACTCCCTGCCAGAGATGCTGGTTCACACTCCCAGTCAGTGATGCTGGTTCACACTCACTCCCAGTCATTGATGCTGGTTCACACTCTCTCCTAGTCAGTGATGCTGCTTCACACTCCCTCCCAGTCAGTGATACTGGTTCACACTCACTCCCAGTCATTGATGCTGGTTCACACTCTCTCCCAGTCAGTGATGCTACTTCACACTCCCTCCCAGTCAGTGATGCTGGTTCACACTCCCAGTCAGTGATGCTGGTTCACACTCCCAGTCAGAGATGCTGGTTCACACTCACTCCCAGTCATTGATGCTGGTTCACACTCCCTCCCAGTCAGTGATGCTGCTTCACACTCCTGCCCAGTCAGTGATGCTGGTTGACACTCCCTCCCAGTCAGTGATGCTGGTTCACACTCCCCACACCTGGTCAGCCAAAAACGGCTTTTCCAACAACAGAAGGACCTGAAGGGAAACCTCACAGCAAGCCCCTCCCAGGTGGGCAAAGTTATGTCTTCAGAGAGAATATTCTAAACCCTCGGAGCTGCAGAGCCAGAAAGCTGGGGCCCAGGCAGTGTCGTCAGCCTTCCCAAAGTGTCTGCACGAGCTCATTCCCACAGTTGATGGAATGACATTTAACTGTCACCTTTCTCTAGAAGTGACTGCAAAGCACAGAGATTGGTCTTCAGGCTCCTGGACAGTTCCCTGCAGGGCCTGGTGGGTGGTGACCGTGTGGCTGGCAGCTCGCAGTTGATGGAGACTGTGTAGCCATCAGATATGATGTCAACACAAGACACCAGTTTTTAGGAAACAGCCTCCAAGGTACTGCTTGATGCATTCACCATGGGTCGTGTGCCTGGCCAGCCTCTACCTGCCTGGGAAGCTCCTTCACCTGGGGATGCCTCTGCTGGTTTTCCTGAGACACAGCCCTTGGGGGCACTGATGGTCCCCGGGTGACCAGGGTCACCAGCAGCGTAGTCCCAACCCCATGTGTGAGTGACCAGGGTCACCAGCAGCGTAGCCCCAACCCCATGTGTGAGTGACCAGGGTCACCAGCAGCATAGCCCCAACCCCATGTGTGAGTGACCAGGGTCACCAGCAGCATAGCCCCAACCCCATGTGTGAGTGACCAGGGTCACCAGCAGCGTAGCCCCAACCCCATGTGTGAGTGACCAGGGTCACCAGCAGCGTAGTCCCAACCCCATGTGTGAGTGACCAGGGTCACCAGCAGCGTAGTCCCAACCCCATGTGTGAGTGACCAGGGTCACCAGCAGCGTAGCCCCAACCCCATGTGTGAGTGACCAGGGTCACCAGCAGCGTAGTCCCAACCCCATGTGTGAGTGACCAGGGTCACCAGCAGCGTAGCCCCAACCCCATGTGTGAGTGACCACGGTCACCAGCAGTGTAGCCCCAACCCCATGTGTGAGTGACCAGGGTCACCAGCAGCATAGCCCCAACCCCATGTGTGAGTGACCAGGGTCACCAGCAGCGTAGTCCCAACCCCATGTGTGAGTGACCAGGGTCACCAGCAGCGTAGTCCCAACCCCATGTGTGAGTGACCAGGGTCACCAGCAGCATAGCCCCAACCCCATGTATGAGTGACCAGGGTCACCAGCAGCGTAGTCCCAACCCCATGTGTGAGTGACCAGGGTCACCAGCAGCGTAGTCCCAACCCCATGTGTGAGTGACCAGGGTCACCAGCAGCGTAGCCCCAACCCCATGTGTGAGTGACCAGGGTCACCAGCAGCATAGCCCCAACCCCATGTGTGAGTGACCAGGGTCACCAGCAGCGTAGTCCCAACCCCATGTGTGAGTGACCAGGGTCACCAGCAGCATAGCCCCAACCCCATGTGTGAGTGACCAGGGTCACCAGCAGCGTAGTCCCAACCCCATGTGTGAGTGACCAGGGTCACCAGCAGCGTAGCCCCAACCCCATGTGTGAGTGACCAGGGTCACCAGCAGCGTAGCCCCAACCCCATGTGTGAGTGACCAGGGTCACCAGCAGCGTAGCCCCAACCCCATGTGTGAGTGACCAGGGTCACCAGCAGCATAGCCCCAACCCCATGTGTGAGTGACCAGGGTCACCAGCAGCATAGCCCCAACCCCATGTGTGAGTGACCAGGGTCACCAGCAGCGTACCCTGGCCCCATGTGTGAAAGTGTGGTTTTGTCCTAGGTCCAGGAAACCCATTTCCAGCCCCGTAGGGTGGATCCCAGGGCTCTCTGAGTCAGAGCTGCCCAGATGGCCAGGACTGCTTCTTTGGAAAAGCAACAATGATTAGTGAGATGATGCAGAGGGCAGATGCCACGTCTGCCTTCAGCCCTGGTGTTGGGAACGTGGCTGCTGTGCCCACACCCCAGGCTTCTGAAGAGAGGAGAGCTGGGCGTTGGCACCATTTGAGCCCCTAGGATTATTTTTTGTTGTTAGAACTAGTTTCTAAAGATTCATTTTTAACATTTTGCAGTGAAGAAGGAAGGAAAGATGTCAGTGAGCGCCCCGTGAACAGTCAGCTCGTGACACCTGCCGGGGATAACGAAGACGCTGTCAGCAGCTGGAGGCTGAGCTCTAAGCAGTGCTTTCCCAAGGAGGCCTGGAAAGGCAGTTGTCTGAAAGTCAGAAACTGGCTCAGCCCGAACTGACAGAATGACTTACAGATGAGCTGCCTTGGCCAGAGATAAACATCCCTGTGGTTGGGTTATGTATTTGTCAAGGACAATTAAGAGGCACTTTCTTTAAAAAGCACAATTCTCCAGCAACCTCGAGATCTTTGGAAGAGTCGGGAAAGTGCAGTGATGAGTTCTGCTGCACCCTGAGACAGACAGAAGGCGACGACCGGACAGAAAATGCCTTGAAAGTCATTCAGATGTCACCTCAAACCTCCCTTCATTCCAGGCAGTTCCCGGAAGATGCATTTTGATCATCGAAGGCGTGAGTCTGCTGCATGCGTTGCCTTGACACCTGGCGCCAACGCTGCTGTTTCTTTTCAGGTGAGAGCTCAATTAGGCTGAAAGCTGTACCCACCTCTCCTGCACTTCCCAGGCCTAGAGCAGCAGGGTGCCTGCAGCGGGGCCTCTCGTGCTTGAGGGAGGCACAGGTCCGGAAAAGGAGCCTGACCCGCCCCAGGAGGGCCCTGTGCTGCCCGAGCTGAGACCCCAGGACACCCCTCCCAGGCCCGGACCCTGCGGCCCTCATGGAACTCACCAGTGTGCACGCTGGGAATAAACGTGGATGTGCAGCCTGGAACCTTCGTCTCTAGGTCAAGAGGGAACCTAGGGTGTGTTTCCCTCCTCTTCCGGCTTAGCTGGGGGTTGGAAGGGGCTGTTGGTCCTTCTCTCTTCTCCCCATTGTTATCCTGTTGGTCCACTGCAGCCTGGGCTCCTGGAGAGAAGAGCGCAGCCCAGCCTCCTCTTCTGCTCCCGTTGCCCACCCATAAGAAGTGCTTGCACAAGCTTTGTTTCTCCCATGTTCCTCCTCCCGTCCATGCCTCCCACCCGCAGTCCTTCTCCTTCCAGCTGTTTCCCATCCTTGCTCTGCCCACCAGGAGAGCTCTGCTCATCGCAGGAGGCCAGACTCCTGGAATGTTTCTCCCAAAGTCCGCCACTTCCAGCCTTAATTCCATCTCACCTTTTTTATTAAAAAAAAAAAAAATGTTGATGGACTCCAGAATGGCTTGTTAGACACTGCTAGGAACCCCACAACTGAAAATCGCTCACTGTGTTGAATCATGTTTTTAGATGAGGGAAGCTCCCTTGAGGGACCCTGCAGAGCCCTGACCACCTTGAACTTTATTCTGACAGCTTTGCCCAGCATCCAGGTAAGGCTTCCAGCAGGAAACCTGCTGGCCACGAGCTCAGAGAGCTCTCCTCTCGGTGCAAGACTGAACAAGGACGAGGCCCTTCACGCCAAGGACATGAGTAAGGGAAATTGCCTGTTTTGGCCTCAGCTTGGGCAAAGGAAGGGGAAAAGTCCTCTGAGAATTAGTGACAACAAGCTGGTTCCTAAGCCGAGATTTATGCCATGTGCATAATCTGAGAAACCTCAAGTGGATAATGGGGTTGACGGGGGCGTCCTCAGTGGCCAGCAGAAGTGAGCACACATCCTTTCTAAAGGAACACAACTTAGATCTCAACTAATTCCCCAGATAAAATGATAGATAACTTGAATAATAAAGATCACAGAACACCACTAGGGAGAGGCAGGAAAACGGCAAACCACAGTGGCAGGTGTCGGATGCTTGATCGTCACAGAAGCTGAGACAAGCAGGTTTGATCTATGTAAGGAAATAAAGGAAAGGGGTGTGTGTGACAGAGACTATTAGAACATCATCACACGAGCCAGGTGCAGCAGCTCCGCCTGGAACCCCAGCACCCTGAAAGGCCAGTTTGTTTGAGCCCAGCAGTTTGAGACCAGCATGGGCAACGTGATGAGACCTTCTCTTTACAAAAAATAGTTTTTTAAAATTTTAAAATCATCACACATTTTTGGAGATGCTTTTTCACTTTAAAAATCCTATTTAGAGTTCATCTGAAATTTAAAACTCAATGGACAGATCAAAAAGCACATTAGACACAGCTGAAGAGAAAACCAGTGAACTGGAAGCCAAATCCAAAGAAATCATTCAGAAATCAACGTGGCAAGATGGGAAATATTGGAGAGAAGATAAAACACATGGCAGTCGGAATGGGAAGGTCCAGGGTGCATCTTGAAATCCAGGTTTCAGGAAGAATTGAAGATATGATGGCTTTGAATTTTCCAAAATTGCTTAAAGAACTCAAGCCTTAGATTCTAGAATCTCACTGAATCCAAAATAATATAATTAAAATGAAATCAGAACTTATAGTGGAATTCAGAACCAAAATCCTAAAATTTGCAGATAATTTAGATTCTCTGAAACATTCAATGGAAACAAATAGAAGACAGAAGACAGGGAAAACACATCTTCAAAGTACTTAGAGGAAATAACTATCAGTCTAGAACTGTGCCCAGTGAAATTATTGTTTGAGATCAAGGGTAGAGTAAAACACTTTCAGACAAAAGCTGTGAGTTTGCCACCAACAGACCCCCATGAAAGAAAATCCTAAAGGAGGTTGTCATGGCCCTGTGAACCCCACTGGAGTGCATTACCCTACTCAATATTGGAGATACATATCGCTAATAACAGAGATCCAAAAATAAAAGGTACCTACACATATTAGAGCTGTGCTGTTATGAGCAAAATCTGATGAGACCATAAAAAGAAATTGACAAATTCAGCAGCATTTTGGGAGATTTTAATACCTCTTTCAATAATTGATAAGACACACACAAATCAGAAAGAATACAGAAAAATGACCACCATAATACACAAGTTTGGTGTAATGGACATATATAGGGTATTTCCAGAGTTTTCTGATCGTTTAGAAACCAATGAAATGTTAACTAGAAAAACCTCTCACATTTGGAAATTTATATTAACTCGTGAGCCAAGAATCAGTCACAGTGGAAACTGAACAGACATCTGTGTGAACCGCATTTGAACTACATTTCAAAACTTGTGGCAATGCAGCCTAAGTGATATTTAAACATTTGGTTTTCTATTTTATAAAACTTAACATCCATTCATGTTTGAAAAGGGGTCTCTAAATTTACCAAGAATAGACTCTTCCTTAACCTAATGGGCAGCCTCATAAAAATCTACACAAACTTGTAGGGTTTTTTTTCTATAAGTAAACTTGCAGTATTTCTTAGACACAAGGTCTTGCTCTGTTGCCTAGGCTGGAGTGCAGTGGTCCAACCATAGCTCACTGCAGCCTCAAACTGCTGGGCTCAAGTGATCCTCCTGCCTCAGCCTGCCTAGTAACAGCCTACAGTGTGGACCGCCACACTCAGCTAACTTTGTAACTTTTAGTAAAGATGGGGTCTCACCATGTTGCCCAGTCTAGTCTCAAACTCCTGGCCTCAAGTGATCCTCCTGCCTCAGCCTCCCAAAGTGCTGGGATTATAGGCATGAGCCACTGAGCCTGGCCCCAAACTTGTAATTAATACTGAAATATTAAAGTATTTACTGTTAGGTTCAAGAAAAACCCTACGTTGTATTATTAGATTGCATGCTTGCCTCTAATGCCCCCAAATTATAAATGATTAGAATTAAAAAGCATTTATTTGGTATCTACACACAAAGTCAGTGTACATATGTCATTTCCACTTCTAGGAACTAGAACAAGCAAAATGTAATTTTAAAAAACTTACAGCATCAAAAAATTGAGTACTAAGACTATATCTAATTTAAAAACTGAAAGTTCTTTGAGAAAATTCTACAGGTTTACTGAAAGTACTAACATCTTAACTGGAGAGTGGCATGGTCATGGATAGACTTCGTATCTTAAAGGTGTCATCCAAGTGAATCCCGTTTCGTTACAAATGTCAGGTTTTCAGTGGAGAAGCCATAGTCAGCTTTCGCTAAGCTGCGCTGCAGTAACGAGCGATCCCAGAACGCCAGTGGCTTCCCACCGCAAAGGCTTTCTTCCTGGCTGAAGGTGCGCGCCATCCCCAAGCTGGCGGCCACTCTGCTCCTGCGTCCATTCCAGGCAGAGTCTGACATGGAGCCAGGGTGTGTGGGACCCAGGTGAGGCGGCTCCCACAGGGACACTGCACACCAATCAGTCTTGGCCAGCCCCGACGTGGACCGGAGGTGAGGAACAGTGGGTAGGAACCCTCCGACCATGGGCGCAGAACAACGCGGCATGATAATCCTGGAGATTGCTGTTCGTTTAAAGTGCAATGTGCAGACTTGGTGCTGGAGGCGGAGCTGGGAAGCAGGTGTCTGAACGTGAGATGGAAGCATTTTTTGGAAATTCACTTCCTCAAATGCTCGGACTGGCTGTGGGCAGCGGACAGTTAAGGATACCCAGTGAGGCCCCCAGATCCCCAGCCATCGGGCAGGGCCTGAGCCCACGGTGAGCCAGAAGAGGATGGGGGGAAGATCCCCAGGGTGAGCAGCTCTGGGGGCAGCAGGGAGGAGGGGGTGGCCCCGGAGCCGGCCCAGCACGGGGAGGGGGTGGTCCCTGCACGGGAGCCTCCGTGGGCTGCTGACCAGGTGGGATGTCCTTGTGGGAGCCGGTCCAGAGGGAGGAGGTGCGGGGCTGGGAGGCACAGGGAGCCCTGCAGCCTGGCCTCGGCACCACGTCCTTCCCCCACTGTGACAAGTTCACACTTTCCTCTGCAGCCTCTGTGACTCGCCTCAGTTCCCCAGGACACTGTGGCGCCATGGAGGTCTGTCCCCTCCCTCCTCCTCACAGCAGAGACCCGGGGGCATGAGGCAGCGTCTGCTCCAGAGTGGGCCCGATGGGCCTGTGGGCCGGGTGAAACCATGTGCACAGAAAGCTTGCAGCAGACAAGAAACATAGAAAATGTCTTTTATTCTCCACTGCTTTTCACACTCGATGTCAGCTTTCAGCTGGCGGGATCTGGAGTGAGCGTGTGAGATGTTTCCCAGCGTGAGGGGAGCAGGTGCTGCGGTGAGCTCCCCAGGGCTGGGGTCGGAATCCAAAGGCGCAGGGCGGCCTCCCCTCCACGCCGTCCTCCCCTCCACACAGGGCTCCCCTCCACACCGTCCTCCCCTCCACACAGGGCTCCCCTCCACGCCGTCCTCCCCTCCATGCCAGCCTCCCCTCCACGCCGTCCTCCCCTCCACGCCGTCCTCCCCTCCACGCCGTCCTCCCCTCCACGCCGTCCTCCCCTCCACAGCGGCCTCCCCTCCACAGCGGCCTCCCCTCCACGCCATCCTCCCCTCCACACCGTCCTCCCCTCCACGCCGTCCTCCCCTCCACGCCATCCTCCCCTCCACGCCGTCCTCCCCTCCACGGCGGCCTCCCCTCCACGCCGTCCTCCCCTCCACGCCGTCCTCCCCTCCACGCCATCCTCCCCTCCACGCCGTCCTCCCCTCCACGCCAGCCTCCCCTCCATGACATCCTCCCCTCCACGGCGGCCTCCCCTCCACGCCGTCCTCCCCTCCACGCCGTCCTCCCCTCCACGCCGGCCTCCCCTCCACGCCGTCCTCCCCTCCACGCCGTCCTCCCCTCCACACAGGGCTCCCCTCCACGCCGGCCTCCCCTCCATGCTGTCCTCCCATGGACCCGGCTCTCAGGCTGCCCTCAGTCCCCGGCGTCCCAAGCCCGTGGATGCCTGCAGCTTCCCAGCCCACAGGGAGGCCCCACCCGCCCATGCCTGGCCGCCTGCCTGCTTCACAGACACCCCGAGGAGCAGCAGGGGCACCTGGAGCCTTGGTTGTCTTGGGAGGCTGGTGCACAGCCCGTTCCCAGAGCAAGAAAGCGTGGAGCCAGCAGCCGGCCTGGCAGAGGCTGGAGCGTGGGAGAAAGACCCCAGGACGGGTGGCGTCCGGAAGAGAACACGGAATCAGGGTGGAGGGCGGTGCTTTGGGAAGAACGGCACTGGGGGCTTCGGCCTCCTCCTCCCTCCTGTTCCTGAGCCTTCTGTACTGACAGCAGCCACGTGGCTGCCCCCCTGCAGACTGGGGAGGGGAATCACTCCTTTCCCCGGGTGATAGGGACCCTGGAACCTTCTAGCACGTTGCCTTTAAAGGCTAATTATTCTGACGGTCATTTCTTTCCTAAATACCTGAGGGAGGGAGGGAGGTGTCGTTCCCGCAACGGAGTTCATGGCTCTGAACGCATGCAGTGGCCGCTGTGTCCTCGCCCCCGCACCAGGCCCCGAAGGCGGCAGCTCCCACGGCCTCGTCCATTTCTAAAAGCCCCACCTCCGAGAGGCACAGGAGGGCAATTCACGGAGGGTGTTTTCGAACCGGGACAGACGGCTTCAGGAAGCCTTTAGGAACTGTTCTGCCTGTGAGGGCCGTGAACAGGGGCAGTTAGGACCCTGCTGGGTGAGGGAGGTTTTGATGGGTGCATCTCGGCACCAGGACACCTGCACAGCACACACCACGGCTGTTGTTTCAGGCGTCTGGGGACGTCAGACCCCCAGGTCATCAGGCAGGCGATGCGTCCATGAGGGAGGTAAGGAGAGGAGGGTCGGGTGCAGGGCCGGGTCCTGTCCTGCTGCGTCCGTGAGGGAGGTGAGAGCCCGCCTGGGCACAGGGCCTGGGTCCTGTCCTGCTGCGTCCATGTGGGCGACGTGAGGAGAGGCGGGTTGAGTGTAGGGCCCAGGTGCTGTCCTGCTGGGTCCATGGGGGAAGTGAGGAGACGCTGCCGCCCGCTCACTGCCGGGAACCTCATCCTTGGCTGGGAAGGAAAGTGGAGTCAGGAGGCTGTGGCCACCAGCCCCAGAGACCCCCAGGCCCGAGCTCCCCTCCCCTGGACACCGGGCCGCCCACCCCTTGCCCAGGTAGGGGCACCGTTGACCAAGACTCCCAGGGCTGCCAGCTGGAAAGCAGCAGGAAGGGGCACATGACGCTGTCCAGCTACCACAGAGAGGAAGGCGCTGTGGGTGTAGGGCAGGTGCCACCCCCCCTGCACCTCACACATGACCCCTTCTTTCCCTGCTCCTGAGGGTGCAGGAGGAGCACCTTTCTCTACCGCACTGGCCCAGGCGGCTCTCAGTGTCTTCTGACCTTGCTGTGGCAGGGATGGCCTCTGAGTCACTGGGAGCTGGAGCTTCAGAGCCGGGGCACCCTCTTCCCGCTGACTGCAGGCCGGACCCCTCTCCCAAACCAGCACTCGGCCTGCCCAGCCAGGTCCTCCTGCCCAGGTGCTGCCCTGGCCACCCAACTATCCAGATGTCACAGTCTCCGACAGGCAGAACGTACCGCACTTGGAATTGTGTGGTTTCCGATCCTTCCAGTGGCTTCCCTGGTCTTGGTGTTAGAACACGTAAGCAAAGTGAATTTGGCAACCAAGGTTAGGACAGAGACAAGCTCCCCACACCCTTGCATTCCCCGAAGCACTTGCCTCATGTCCCAGGAAAGCCTGCTATCTGCAGGCGACATCACGTGTAAAACGCATTCGTTTTTGGTTTTGATGAACCCTTCGGCTGTCCTTTTCCTGCACGGACGCCCGACGCTACTGGAGGACCTCTGACTGTTGATCCTGTGGGAAGAGCCGCAGGCGGTGGACGCCTCGGAGGAACGAGCACTCTTTCTCCCCGAGCTCCTCGGCAAGGGTTTCATCACAGAGTGGAGGAGAAAGACCCACAGAATTTACCCATCTGAACAACCCAGAGAAAGCAGGCTGAGGAAAATGCGCAGATATTCGTATCCAACATGTGTATCTTCAGAGTCCCAGGGTAAGGGGAGGAACATGAGGCTGAAAGTCGGGGATGTCGTGGCCAAGACTCAGCACGTTTGGCAAAATACAGAAACCTGCAGATCCAAGGAGCTCACAGTGCCAAGTAGGACAAACCCAGACACACCAGAATTAAACATCTAAAAACTAAAGATGAAGATGAACGCTTCGCACAGCCTGGGGAAGGACTCACGGCCTGCAGGGAACCCCAGCTCAAGTGGTAGTGGGTTTTCCATCTGCATCGTGGGGCCCAAAGGAAGTGGGACTGTTTTTAGGCACCGAAAGAAAAGAAGCTCCAAGAGTCACATCTGGCAAAACTGTCCTCCCTGGAGCCCAGGGCAGCCACCCGCATTCCCGGGATGATGTTGGACGTGCACATGTTTCTGCAGGGGCTGCTGGGCCCCACTTTATGGACCTGGACGTTACTGTGAGTCAAAGAGGAAGATGCATTCACAGCAGGTCTGTGGCTCGAGAAGGTTTGCACCTTGGTAAAATGTTAAAGGAACAGCAGCAAACGGTGACTGAGGGTGAAGAGGCGAAGCTGCACCAGCAGTGGAGGTCACGGGCGAGGGTGCCAGGTGGGGCGGCGGCAGCAGTGAGCCCCAGGTACTGCCCACCTGCAGCAGGGACCTCACATACCTGTGGCCCGGCCAGTGGGCCCCCACCTGGGCGACCGGGTGAACGGACAAGCCCCCCGGGACCATGCAGGCACCCACCGTCAGCGGGTGTCGTGTGCACAAGGCTTCACACGGCCCAGCCCATCCTACCCAGACTGCAGATTCTGAGCGAATGATGCTGTTGCTTGTCAGCCACTACGTTTTAGGCTTTTGTGGGGGTTTTGTTTTGTTTGGGACAGGATCTTGCTGTGTCGCCCAGGCTAGAGTGCAGTGTTGTGATCACAGCTCACTGCAGCCTCCACCTCCTGGGCTCAAGTGATCCTCCTGCCTCAGCCTCCCAGCTGACTGGGACTACAGGTGCACGCACAACATGGCATCTGGCCCGAAGGGTTTTTTTGAACCCAGCCTGATACCATCATACTCGGAACACTTTTAAAGAAACCATGTTCCTCTAAAACGTACCAAGCGAGGGCAGCCCCCTCAACCCAGTCCCGGATAAATCAACCCAATGGTGTTTCGGAACCCCACAGAGGCAACATTAAACCCAAACCTTAAGGCCATTTCAGGTCACAAAGAAAGGGTCTTATTCCAGAGCGTGGAGTGTTCAGTCCGGCACATCAATCAACACCTGAATGTTCCTGTAAAGGGAGGTGTCCCGCACCGTTCCCGTCGCATGATCTCACGCGTGGAGTCAACAGAAGTCGAACTCAGGCAGGAGTGGGAGGGTGGGCTCCAGGGTGGGGAGGGGCTGGGGAGAGGGTTGGTGGAAGGACCCCATTTCTGCTACATGGGAGGGGATGCTTTGAGTCCGTAACATGGTGGCCCCTGTCCTCAGGGGACACATTCCGATCCCCTACACATGCCAGAAGCCCGATACGTGTGCTATGCACTGATTTCTTTATCCTTGTTAATAGTTTAACCAATAGAAGATTCCTTCTTTTGGTGGATTCTTAGCAACCTCAGCATGTGACTTTTTCCCTGTCTTTCCTGAGCCGAGAACTTTCACCTTTCCACGTAAAGACAGCACTTTAGGCTTCTCCTTGGCAGATCTGAATTGCCAGCATCATTGCTCTTGTGCTTTGGGGCCAAACATTATTAAGCAAAATGAGGGTCACTTTACACCAGCACTTTGGTACCGTGACAGTCAGACAACTGAGACGGCTCCTGAGCAACCAACAGCAAGGGGCGCCTGCAGCGTGGACGATGGGCGGGTCCCGTCCTGGGTGGGGCAGAGCGGGATGGATTCTATCGCCTGCTCAGAACGCTGCACGATGTAAAACTGGTACTTGCCAGGGACAAGAAGGACCATTCAGCTTTGGGACGTGACCAGGAGGTCTCAGAGAGAAGCAAACAGCTGCGTCCCTGTGCTGAGGCCGCTGGCGTGGGCGCCTGTCCTGGAGCCCGGGGTATTGGCAGCGCCCAGGGGGAGCCCAGCGACCCATTGTGGCTCCACATCCCACAGGTTCACCGGAGACAAGCCTTTGTTTTTGCAGCCACCGTCTTGGCGTAGCAGCTACAACTCCTCCCCTGAGGTTTCTGGCACTCCGTTCTCCCTGCGCACTCCCCAAGCACCTCACTGAAGCCCCCACTCCCGGCCCTTCCTGTCTCCGTCACGGGGCCCAGCACAGAGCGGGCACTCAGAGTCTACTCGCTGGTGCAGAAGAGACAGCAGCATTGAGAACGGGCGCTTCTGGCTCCAGGAGACAGCAGGGGAACCATCCAAGAGGGTCCTGCTGGGCTCCAGGCTCAGGACGAGGCCCTCGCAGGTGCCTGGGGGTGCAGAAAGACCAGGAAGATCAGGGGTGGCGCTCCAGTGCCCCCGGCACACCCATCTGTCGGTATCCAGGCTGGATCTCCATACAGGATTTGGATTGAGGAAGGGGTTCCCTGATAGATAAAAGTAGTAATAATGACAACATTGTTATAATAATGAGGACGTTTGAAATATCACTGGTCTAAGTGACTCACCAGGTACTTTTGGCACCAAAAAAGAAGAAAAAAAACACACGACATTGTCTTTTCTTTTTTTGCTGAAAAAGCCGATTGTTTCAAAACACAGGTGGAGAGCAGCCCAGCCTGGCCAGAGCTTCTGTGCAGCCTAGAAACGCACCGCTCAGCTCATTCATTCCCATCCAGGACGCAGCCGCCCCCCTTAGTGAAGAAGAGAGCACAGCCTGGCCAGGCGCGGTGGCTCACACCTGTAATCTCAGCATTTTGGGAGGCCGAGGTGGGCAGATCACAAGGTCAGGAGATTGAGACCATCCTGGCTAACACAGTGAAACCCCGTCTCTACTAAAAATACAAAAAACTATCCGGGCGTGGTGGCAGGTGTCTGTAGTCCCAGCTACTCGGGAGGCTGAGGCAGGAGGATGGCATGAACCCGGGAGGCAGACCTTGCAGTGAGCTGGAGAGAGCTCTAGGGTGGAGGACTGTCCTGGAGGATGAAGACAGCTCTAGGGTGGAGGACTGTCCTGGAGGATGGAGACAGCTCTAAGGTGAAGGACTGTCATGGAGGATGGAGACTGTTCTAGGGTGCACTGTTATGGAGGATGGAGACAGCTCTATGGTGGAGGACTGTAATGGATGACGGAGACAGCTCTAGGGTGCACTGTCATAGACAATGGAGACAGCTCTAGGGTGGAGGACTGTTCTGGAGGTTGGTGACAGCTCTAGGGTGGAGGACTGTCACAGAGGATTGAGACACCTCTAGGATGTAGGACTGTCATGGAGGATGGAGACAGCTCTAGGGTGGAGGACTGCCATGGAGGATGAAGACAGCTCTAAGGTGGAGGACTGCCCTGGAGGACTGAGACAGCTCTAGGATAGAGGACTGTCCTGGAGGATTGAGACAGCTCTAGGGTGGAAGACTGTCCTGGAGGGTTGAGACAGCTCTAGGGTGGAGGACTGTCACAGAGGATTGAGTCACCTCTAGAGTGTAGGACTGTACTGGAGGTTGGCGATAGCTCTAGGGTGGACTGTCACAGAGGATGGAGACAGCTCCAGGGTGAAGGACTGTCCTGGAAAAAGGGACAGCTCTAGAGTGGAGGACTGTCCTGGAGGATGGTGACAGCTCTAGGGTGGAGGACTGTCATGGAGCATGGCCATAGCTCTAGGGCAAAGGACTGTCACGAAGGATGGCAATAGCTCTAGGGTGGAAGACTGTCCTGGAAGACGAAGATAGCTCTAGGGTGGACTGTCATAGAGGATGGAGGCAGCTCTAGGGTGGAGGAATTATCCTGGAGGGTGGTGACAGCTCTAGGGTGAAGGGCTGTTCTGGAGGGTGGTGACAGCTCTAGGGTAGAGCACTGTCACGGAGGATGCAGACAGTTCTAAGATGAATGACTGTCCTGGAGGGTTGAGACAGCTCTAGGGTGGAGGACTGTCATGGAGGATGGAGACAGCTCTAGGGTGGAGGACTGTCCTGGAGGATGGAGACAGCTCTAGGGTGGAGGACTGTCATGGAGGATGGAGACAGCTCTAGGGTGGAGGACTGTGCTGAAGGATTGAGACAGCTCTAGGATGGAGGACTGTCCTGGAGGGTTGAGACAGCTCTAGGGTGGAGGACTGTCCTGGAGGACGGTGACAGCCATCGTATTGAATGGCTCCCACACAGTTGGGAAGGCAGCAGGAAATGAGGTTATCTAAAAAAATTCAAGTGGGACTTGTAGACTTCCGAGAGTGGTGGATATTTTGGGGAGTGTTGGTGGGGTCTGTGCCGTGTAGGTGAGCCTCACACTGCACAGCCGTTCACATTCGGGTGTTAGCTGTCCTCTGGGTTGGATAGCCTGGGAAAACGATATTTAATATGAAGACAGGAATGAAAAGGCTGTGCACCTGCATGCAGAGGCGAAACCTGTCTGCAGCTGTGTCTGTCTTTGGTTCTTTTTCTGCAAGTTCCCGCTCTTCTTCCTCCATGCTCCTGTCCCTTCCTGATTTGAGAAACTCCTGCCCCAGGTGGTTCTCATTTCTCCTGCTCGCCACAGCCTTGCCCTCTGTGACCTCTGGTCCGTGGCCTCCCCGTGCGGCTGGGCAGCCTCATCACTGCCGAGGCCGGGGTGGTGCTCCCTTGAGGCACGAGCATGTTGAAGCATTAGCAGCTCCAGGTCTGCCCAGAGGAGGGCAGGGGGCGTGAGCTCTTCTTCCCGGATTCCTGACTCTCCAACTCTTACATGACTAGGAGTCCACACAGCTGACAGGCCGTGCAGGGGCCGGAGGCTGAGGCCGAGGCCACGCTCTCTGCACTGGAGTCGTCGTGGTTGCCCTGCTGCCGTGCGGGGAGCCGCTGTGTGCTCCCTGTCCCTGCTGAGCCCTGAGCCCCGATGCAGAGGGAGAGGCCTGCTCCACGATCTCACGACGCCAAGTCTGTGCTCACCGGCTCCAAGAAGCACTCGCGGCCGCCTGGCCCAGGGGCTCTGATCTCAGCCTGAGTACACTGGGTCTTTCTTAAAAAGGCATCTCTGAGGAGGGAGCCTCGAATTTGCTGCTTAACCTTCTGTGTGGTTTAGTCAGACAGTGAGGGGTGGGGCGGCCCCGGACCCCCCAGTGCAAAAACAAGTGTCCAGAGATAAAGCCTCCTCAGGGCTGCAGCTCCCAGGAGCTGTCTGAGAACAGAAGGTAAAGAGAGAGAAGAAAACCTGAGGACCTTCATCAGAACAGCACACAGAGTAACAATAAGGGGTTCTTGTTCCAAAGTTCGTTGTCTTTAAAAAATCTGTTATGTGAAGTATGTCAAAGAGATCAGGTATTAAAAAAAGGTGTATGCTGAAGACAGCATAAGCTACAGATGTATGTATTTAGCTGTGGTTTTCCATTTCAGCAACAGAAAAAGATACAAATATGACACCCACGCGCATAGGAACTTAAATTTGTTTGCATATATTACATTATAAATACATATGTGCCTTTTAAAAGATTATTCCTGGACCCGGCCCCACGTGCAGCGTGCGGAGTGGTTGTTGTCTTAAGAGATCCACATCCCCCTCGGCTTGGAGGAAAACAGGATGACACGTTCCCAGCCATTCTCCCGTTCAGTCACGTGGGGTCGGTGGGCCGATCACTCGCCATGGGCTCTGAAAATACGTGTGTGGCTTAATTTCGAGTTCTCACAACTCTTGAGAAAAGTGCTGTGGGTGGGTTGCAACAGCCCACACCCCCTTCAACAGTAAAGCCCTCTGGAACAGCGCCCACGTTGCAGAATGCCTGCAGCCAGCAGCCGCCCTGCCGGCCTGGCCGAGCCCCTGGCCCCAAACGGAAGCATCTGCCTGGTCATCACCCAACGCACACCGCCCACGAGCCCCCCAGGGGCGCGCAAGGCAGTGTGGCCATCGGAAGACTCCATCATGGAGTGCACGTTGTCAGGTCCCTGCACAGACTCCAAAGCCCGGGGCCTCAGCCTCCGCCGTGGTTTAAAAGCCTTTGTCAGCCATCCTTGGGCCAATCACAGTCCTCTGCCACTGAAAACGTGTGGTTTGATGGAGAAGAAGTGATTTCCAAAGGGAGGTGCTGGTCCTATGAGAAGGGCGGTTTAGGGCAAGAAAAATAACTGACGTCACTCCCCCGCACACAGGCCCAGACTGGGAGGTCGGAGGCCGGAGGTCGGAGGGGACGCACAGGAGAGGAAATCCAAGTGGGTCTTTACAAAAGGAAGGGGTCACCTGTGCAAAGTGTGGGCGGGCCCGCCCTGACCTGGCACCAGAATCCGGAGCCAGAGGCCGTCTGGGAAGGCCAAGCACAGACACTGGCCGTGGCCTGAGAGGACTCAGCTCTGGGCACTGAAGAAGCCAGAGGATTGGGAAGGAGCACCCCAGATCCAGCCTTGGTGAGGAAGAAGCAGCGACCCCTGTGAACATCAGTGCTGGCCGGGTGCACACTGTCCGCCCTGGTCCAGCCAGGACTTTGCTTCCTGCATCTTAGACCCTGCTGACCTCACCCTCCAGAGGCTGCCCTGTGAACATCAGTGCTGGCCGGGTGCACACTGTCCGCCCTGGACCAGCCAGGACTTTGCTTCCTGCATCTTAGACCCTGCTGACCTCACCCTCCAGAGGCTGCCCTGTGAACATCAGTGCTGGCCGGGTGCACACTGTCCGCCCTGGTCCAGCCAGGACTTTGCTTCCTGCATCTTAGACCCTGCTGACCTCACCCTCCAGAGGCTGCCCTGTGAACATCAGTGCTGGCCGGGTGCACACTGTCCGCCCTGGTCCAGCCAGGACTTTGCTTCCTGCATCTTAGACCCTGCTGACCTCACCCTCCAGAGGCTGCCCTTTAATGCTAGTCAGGGGCTTCCCGGACTGGGACCCTGTTAGTCACTTAAAAATCCTAAGTCCCGGCCATGCACAGTGGTTCACGCCTGCAATCCCAGCACTGTGGGAAGCCAAGGCAGGCAGATCACTTGAGTGCAAGAGCTCAAGGCCAGCCCAGGCAACATGGTGAGACTCCATCTCTACAAAAAATAAATAGGTCAGCCGGGCGTGGTGGTATACGCATATAGTCCCAACTACTTGGGAGGCTGAGGTGGGAGGATTGCTTGAGCCTGGGAGTTTGAGGCAGAAGTGAGCCGTGATCACCTCCCTGCACTCCAGCCTGAGCGACAGAGTGAGATGCTGAGTCAAAAAAAATAAATAAATAAACAAAATGAAAGGCAAGACACTGAGCACTGGGTGAGGTTCCACATTTCACGTCCAGGCAGGGAGGCAAGAGCGGCGGACCCCGCTTCTCTCACCTGCATCTCAATCTGCCCTCCTTTTTCTCCCTATGAAGCTTATTGCACATTTTCAGGTATTTCCAGTTTACTCACACATGCACATACGTATTAAGCAAACGGTAAGAATTATAAAGAAATCTGCATGTAAACAGAATTCCCCAAGAATATTTGGCCGTGTGATTACCTGATATGAGACATGCAAACCAGTTATAACAGGTGAGCCTGAGAGCCTTGAGCCTCCAGACCGTTTTTCCTTCAGGGTTCCATTTGAGTGCAGTAATCCGCCCATCACTCACAGGTCAAGCAGGAAAAGCAGTGTCACCACTGTACAGGCATCACCACTGTGCTGCTAGGCCCGGCTCCAAAATAACCACAGCTTGACCTGCACCCTCCCTGGAGTTAACACCACGGTCACCACGTGCCCCGCCAGGGCTAAGCCAATGAGAAGGTCCCTGGTTTCAGAACTGAATAAACAGCCACCTCGTGGCATGAAACATATCATGTCCTTGAAAACTGGAGCTGCTCTAAGGTTGCCTTTGCAAATGAAGTGACCTCCTGTCCCTGCTGGTCTGGAGATATCTCGCCAAGGCCCGGGCGCTGAGAACTGCGTGCCACCTCCTATGTGACTTTTCTCCTCAGTCGTGTCCCAAGCATGCAGCCCCGGCCTCCACACCAACTCCGCATGTTGAGCATGCCTGGTGGGGGGGGCGGCCAGGAGGAAGCAGAGCCAGGACTGGCTCCCAGCATCCCTGATCCCCCCAAGGTGCCCTCCTCGCCAGGGAAGAAGTCCCAGCTAAGCATCAATGAGGCTTATCCTTGAGGGAAAGGCCTGGAGACCTCTGGGAGCACCAATGGTGGCCCAGGCCCCGCTGTCTGGCAGGGCACGTGGCACTCCAGGGCTCATCTTCCACCATAACAGATGCGGGAATGTGGGGACCTTTAAATCCCGCTCGGGTTTTGTACAAAGGACATCTTAGGAGAGACCTTCTCCCTCTGCACGCTTCACAACAACGCTCATCTCCCATGAGCCCTGGTGTTTCTCTAGATCCAAAGGGCTGTACGAAGGGCACCTTAGGAGAGACCTTCTTCCTCTGTGCGCTTCACAACCACGCTCATCTCCCACGAGCCCTGGTGTTTCTCTAGATCCAAAGGGCTGTACAAAGGGCACCTTAGGAGGGACCTTCTCCCTCTGCACGCTTCATAACAACGCTTGTCTCCCACAAGCCCTGCTGTTACTCTAGATCCAGAGGGCTGTTGCATTTCCTTCTAAAATTCAAATGTTCCCCTTTATAACTTGGCAGAGTCCAATTTGACACAAAAAAACAAAAACAACAACAAAACCCCACATTTTAAAGCTATAGCAGCATTTGGCATTTTTTCTCATCAGTGGCAAACATCTCCCTGGTCGCTGCACCTGCCTGGAGATTCCCCAGCAGCCCTCCCCAGCATCTCGCAGCGCCCACCATCGCTCTCTGTACCTGTTTGAAAAGCTGCGGAGCCTTTGTATTTTTGGTCCTGATAATCTCTGGTTCATAAGTGTTGAGGGGTAAGGAAATGTAGTAAAATATGTGGGCAGGGGAACAGTTCAGATGCCGGGCTTCTACCCCCCAGCGTGCAGCTTCCCTCTCAGGCTGAAACGCCGACTCTGCAGCCCGGCGACTGCTTCCCAGGTGACTGTTTCCAGAGTCAGGTGTTGGCCGTGGTCAGGTTGACCTGCCTGTTTGTTTTCTATAAGCTGTGTGTGTTGTGCCCGGGTGTAGATGCCCTGAGGTTTCACGGCCCCCCAGCAAGCAGCCCCAGGCCCGGCACCGGATGGGCCCTTCATACCCATTCACTGTAACAGACAAGCAGACGGATGAGGCCATCGTGGTCCCTCTGAATAAACGATGCTTCACAGAAGTCTCCCCTTTCAAAACACGTACAGCGAATGACTCGGGCTTCAGAGCCACCCTGGGGTGCCGTCGGCTGGTGGGTGATGGAGCGGCTCTGCCTGGCTCCTCTCGGCTCTGGCGCGGCAGGTCTTCCTGCTTTCCAAGCCCGTGTCCCTGGTGCCAGCACAGAACTGAACTCCGCCCTTGAGTCGTGCGGGACGAGACCCCGTGCTGCGGGCGCAGTGCCCTCTGTGGGCGGCGCGTGGTGGCTGTCCTCCGTTTCCCACCCGGCGTCTACTGGGCCTTGTCCAGTATCACTGGGAGCTGCAGGCTCGGCTAGCAGGTGGCTCCCGTGCCATCCCCGTGAGCTCCGCCTGGCCCTGCTGCTCCCGCCCGGAAAGCTCAGACCCATAACCCAGCCCACTTGGCAGCAGCGTGCCGCCTGATCGGCAAGGTTTACTCCCTTTGAAAATCTCTGTTGGGTGGCCGGGCGCGGTGGCTCACGTCTGTAATCCCAGCACTTTGGGAGGCCAAGGTGGGCAGATCACGAGGTCAGGAGATTGAGACCATCCTGGCTAACACGGTGAAATCCCGTTTCTACAAAACACACACACACACACACACACACACACACACACACAAAATTAGCCTGGCATGGTGGCGGGCACCTGTAGTCCCAGCTACTTGGGAGGCTGAGGCGGGAGAATGGCGTCAACCCGGGAGGCGGAGCTTGCAGTGAGCCAGGATCGCGCCACTGCACTCCAGCCTGGGCCACAGAGCCAGACTCTGTCTGAAAAAAAAAAAAAAGGAAAAAAGAAAATCTCTGTTGGGCACATCTAAACGCACCCAAGCTTCCTACCGCACGTCTCTGCGAGGAGCCGGGTCTCCGAGGCATGGCTCCTGTAGTACCCAGGAGTCCACGTGTCACGGGCGTGCGTGGTGCTAAGCTCATGCCTCAGAGCTGATGAACACTGGGAAGCCTCAAAAATGCCCTCCAGCTAAAGGGGTCTTTTTAAAGCCACTTCTTGTTGATATTTATCTCACCATCCAACAAGCAAACATTTGTATGCAAAGCAAACTCAGAATCAGCATTCCCGCCAGTTACTAAGGAAAAATTTGCCCTTGTGATGCTTCACCTGGTGATTACATTTCCCACTTCTGATAACAGATGGGAAAATGCACACCGCTGGGGGAGGAGGGGGAGGAAGAAGAGGGGGCAAAGGGCAGCAAAAGCAGCCTGCAGCCAAACTGTGGCGTCCTCAGACCCCCACAAGCAGTGGCGCCTGTCCATGGCACCGTGATGTGCCTGTTCCACAGGATGACATCACACAGGATGACGTCCCATGGATGACATCATAAGGATGGCGTCACAAGGATGGCGACACTTTCAACCCGGGGCGTAGACTTGGGAAGAGCGTCTATACACTTGGTGTTGCCCAGTGCATCCTACAAGTAGGTTACGAAAGGGCGACCGGCCCCACGACGTCACGTGGAGGCACTGGGGCGACGCGGAGGGGAAGAAGTGGACACAGTCGGCGCGCTGGGTGGGAACGAGGGCCGAGGCTGATGGCAGCCTGGTAACTTTGGGGCCTGTGACAGGCAGGCGCTGGGGTTGAAGTGTAGAAAAGACGAACTCAGTGACTGAGGAGGGAATGACAAATGGGAGCCGAGTTTCCAGAAAACCAACCCCTCTTCCCTCCCACTGCTTCACCCAAAGGAAAGAATTCGGAAGTGAAGCCCTCCCCACATATGGGTTCAAAGTTGCCTTTAAATGCTTTGTACCTCTCGCCGGGGCCGGTCCCCCATAGGGTGTGGATGACAGACGCAGCCCTGCCCTTGGCTGCTGTGCACGCCATGCCTCCCTGCGTGGTCACGCCTGTCACCTGTCTCTGTGCCGTCTCCCACACGGTCACGCCTGTCACCTGTCTCTGTGCTGTCTCCCGGGTGGTCACGCCTGTCACCTGTCTCTGTGCCATCTCCCGCATACAAGCGGAAACACCTTGATCACAGAGACCCTCTTTGTCACAGCTCAGCATACGGCCCTGGACTGAGGGGGTAACTAGGGAAAGCTCTTCAGTGAATGAAAGTGAATCGTTTTACAATAATAGGAAACAACTCACGGTACCTGTGTCCCTGTGGACAAACAGTGTTTCCGGGGTGGGTTTGAGCCGCCAGCGTGTGGTGAGGCAGAGCGTCCCGGGTTTGCGGCTTGGCTGACTTCTGAGTCAGCGGCTGGGGCATCGGCTTGTGCTCCGCAAGGACGAGCAGGGGTGGCCCCTGGCCGAGCCACCGCACGCTCCCCTTCCGCAGTTCCTGACGGCATCCGCTGTATGCAGATGCTACAGAAACGCGTGTTCCCTTCCCAGTGCACCCGGCGGTAACGCTGCAAGAATTTTAAGTGCTGGGTCCCGCTCTGGACCCCACAACTTAACAGCGTGGGAACACTCGGGGTGGACTTAAGCCACAGCCACACGGATTACTCAAGTGTTGGCAGATAAATCTCATGAAAAATTGCTGACAGAATTGGAATTACTCAGCTTGAAGAAAGGAGATGTTATGAACATATTCATAACAGCCCACATCTCTATTTTTAGCCCCTGCAATTCCCATTTTGGGGGCCGGGAATTTGGAGGGTGGTCAGAGCCTGTTCACTCTGGGGGCTGCCGCTGCCTGCCAGGGAGCCTGGTGGGGGCTGCTCGGCAGCTCCTGAGCCAGCTGCACCCTCTGAACCTGTTTTCTCCAGTGAGCCGGCCGCACCCCCTGAACCTGTCAGGATCACATTCTCCTTTGTGGCCATGAATATTCAGCCCCCAAACAATGAACATAAACAGGGTTTTGCCTTTTCTATTCCTCTAAATTGTATCTGAGGCCTCACTAAACCTTCCTCACCTGTGCAATGAGAAGGGACCAGATGACTTCTAAGATTAAGTAGAAGCAACTGAAATCTCATTTCAGCTCTAAAATAGCCCGATTTCCTTTATTTTAACACAGTTTGGGGTGGGCATGCAGGTGCATGGTCCCCTCAGGTCAACCCTGCCCTCATCCCACCCCAGGGGCACTGGCAATACCTGGAGGCAGTTCTGATTGCACAGCATGGCGGGGGGTCCCACTGGCATCAAGCGGGTGGGGCCGGCCTGCTGCTGGCACCCCGAGACACACAGGATGCCCATGTGGGGAAGCCCAGCCACAGGCCTACATGCCGTGCCGAGGCAGGACAGCCTGGCCTGCTGTCACTGGGTCAAGTCCCTGGCACTGAGCTGTCACAGGCCACAGCGCTATTCCCCATGGGGTCCCACAGCACGGGGCTCGGCCAGACCCGACCACCACTGCCCCGGATCTCAGCTATTCCCCATGGGGTCCCACAGCACGGGGCTCGGCCAGACCCGACCACCACTGCCCCGGATCTCAGCTATTCCCCATGGGGTCCCACAGCACGGGGCTCGGCCAGACCCGACCACCACTGCCCCGGATCTCAGCTATTCCCCATGGGGTTCCACAGCACGGGACTTGGCCAGACCTGACCACGACTGCCCGGGAACTCAGCCCGGTTCATCAGGGTCGTTGGTGCCCCTGGCCACAATAGCCATCCTTGAGAACACGGCACCTGAGCCACACCAGCCAGGTAGTTTTGCCAGAACCTTCTCTTCACTGGAGCCACTAAGATGGAGCCTAGAACCATCAGCCTCTGTCTCCCTGCATGAGCACCTGCTGGGGCAGGGCCAGGACGGGGCAGCAGTGCCAGACACAGGGAGAGGGCATGTGCCCCGCGGACTGGTTTGAGCCGGGGCTCAAAGTAAAGGGGCAAACTATAGAAATAAAAAAGTAAAATCATCACTGTCTAGTAGCCTCCCAGGCGAATGGGAAGTGTTTCTGCAAAGCCTACGATTCTTTTATCTGACCTGAAGTTGGAAATACATCAACCAGAATTATTTTTCCTTCCTTCCCCTTCCTTTTTTTATGTGAGGAAGTCTGAAATTTAGGGTCTTCCTGTTTAACTTTATTCCCTCAGTTGTTCTGTGGTCAGGAGCAGCACTTTAAATTCTCAGTATTTTACAAAGTTGTGAAATAACCTGCTTGTAAAATGCCATTGGGGTAAATCAGCAGCTTTCACAGCTTAAACCCCAAAGGTCTGACGTGGGTGAGCGGCTCCTCCTATCCCAGCGAATGTGGCTTCAGGGACAGAGACCAGAGAGTGCCCAGGGTCCCCTTTCCTCAAGTCGTATGCTTTCCATGTTTTATGACTGTCGAAGTTACACAAGTTGTTTGTAGAAAATATGGAAATTACCAAGAAGCAGGAAGGGGAATCCGAATCCCTCAAATGCAGCGGGGAGACGGTGTGACTTTGCCTCCTGTTCTCCTTCGTTCCTGCTGAGTGTGAGAGGCCTGCTTAGGTGCTGAGAGGTGTGAGGGGCACTAAGCCTCCAGGCATCCAGCAACCCTCGGCCGCGTGTCGCACACATCCCGGGTTTCGGACGAGTGTGAAGCTCACGGAAAAGCCAGGTGGGTTCTCCAAGGTGGAGCCACAGGGGGACAGGAGAGCGTCGGTGACCAGGGTCAGCATCCGGTGAGGTGCAGTTTTGTCCTGCCTTTCACCTGAGCTCCTGAGGGGTGCCCGGTGCAGAAAAAGTCTTCAGAGACCCCCCCAGTGGCCGCGCGCACCACGTGGTTGAACCCCGAAGAAGGCTGAACTCCATCCAAGCCCCTGAGGCCAGACATCTCCACGGTTCCCAGTTTTCCAATACTGCGGAGGTAATGCCTGTTAACGTTCTTGGACCGATACTTTCTCGGCTCTCGTTTATTTCCTTAGGAGAGAATTTCAGAACCGGATAGCCGGGGCAGTTAGAAGATACTTGCCTAATTTTACGGGAAAAGTGTCATTGTTTTAATTTGCATTCTTTAATTATAAGTGAGCTTGAACAGTTTTTTCCAATGTTCGATATTTACATTTTTTGTCACTTTTATTTTAGTCCTCCGCGAAGGAGCCTCTCAAATATTCCCGGAGCACAGGCTAATTTAGAACGTGTTATCCTGACAAGGCGGCCCAGCCAGGGAGGAGACGCCGGGGTCCGCGCCGCGGGGCGGGCGCTTCCCCGGACCCGGGGGAGGCGGGACGCAGGCGAAGGCCGCCCCGGGAGAGCGGGGTCCCGGGAGAGCGGGGTCCCGGCTGTGGGGGACGCGGGCCGAGGCTGTCGCGAAGCCGCTGACGGCCGAGGCGCTCCCGGTTTTCGCGGCGCACAAGGGTTGCCCGAGCGCTCAGAGCAGGGGCCGCCACGCGGGCGCCCGGTCCAACCCGCGGCCTCCCGGGTCCCTCCTAGCGGGGCCGCAGACGCCCGCGAGCCGCGTCCCCGGAGCGCAGAAGATCCCCGCGCACAGCGCAGGCCCCGCCGGCCCGGTGGACCCGCTTGAGGACGCGGAGGGGGCGCGTTTCCTCTGCGGCGCCCGCACGGCCTCTGCCCGCCTGTCCCGCGCTCCCGCCCGGCAGGCCCAGCTCGGACGAGGCTCAGCTGCCGCCCCCGTTGCCTTTGTGGGTTTTTCTGCGGAAGCCCCTTTTCCTCGGGTGGATGGGACCCTGCGCGTGGAACCCCGCACAGCCCCCGCTCCGCCGCGGGCCGCAGGACCCATTCCTTCTCCACGGTGGCGCTGGGGAGGGGCTGCTTCCACCCAGGAGATTCGCGAGGGAGAGAAAACATGCGGCTCACATCCGGACGGCAGCCCCGCCCCGCTTAGAAACAATATGGCCAGTTTGCTAATGAAAGGTGAAATTAATCCATTTCTTCGGAACACTCGGGGTCGCACCCAGGGCGCAGGTGGGTCTGCCCTGTGCGAATGACCTCCGCCCCCCGTTGGCCCCCCGCGCAGGGAACCGCCCCGCCCTTCCCGGCCACCCCCAGGAGCAGGGGCTGCTCTTCCTTCGCCTTTGCTCCTCATGGGCCCTCCCCGGCGGCGGTCGCCGCGTCCCTGTGGGATGCTGTGTCGGCCCGGCTCGGGGTCTCTGGGTTCTGGGGACCGGAGCCCCGGTGGTTGGACAGGGCAGGTGCAGGCCCCGGGGCTTCTCCCACAGACAGCGTGGCCTTTGCTCTGGCAGCGCCCGAGAGCAGCACCGCGCAAACGCCAGCCCAGGCTTCGGGAGGGCGCCTGGTTCCAGCGCTGCACACACTGGGGCGAGGCAGGGTGAGAGAGCACGCACATATATGCACACTCACACATACAGACATGCACACTCAGACTCACACATGCACACTCACACACGCTCACGCACACTCACATGCACGTGCATGCACACACGCACCCACACATGCATGCACGCACACATGCACACAGGCACGCACTCACATGCAAACGCATGCACACGCACGCACACACACATGCACGCACAGACATGCACACACGTGCATGCACACATACATACACCACACCCACATGCATGCACGCACTCATGCACACTCACACCATGCACATGCACGCACACTCGTACACACGCATGCACTCACACATGCACACACGTGCACACACGCACTCTCACACGTGCACGCCTGCACACTCGCACACTCAAGCACACTTGCACACGCACTCCCATCTCACAGACCTGGGCACACAGGCACATACGGGTGTGAGTCAGCAGCACGGGTGGGCTCACCACAGAATCTGAGCGAGGCACCTCCCACGGAACCTCCGTGCCCTCCCAGGATGGAAACCCCACGGCTCCGCTGCTCCCAGGGGGCCCCGCATGCCCCCCGCCGCGGGGGCAAGACGTGAACAGGCCAAGCACTGCCCTGAGCGGCACAGGAGGCCCTGGAGCCCGGCCGGCTCAGGCTCCCCGCAAGGAAAGCAGCCCATCCACGGACCAGGCCTTAGAGCCACGGGCGCACAGCGCGGTGCACACGCGAGAGGCAGAATGAGGAACGGGCTCGCGGGCTGGACGCTGGCGGGGACAGGAGCCTCCACAGGGGCCGCTGCGGGAAATTCCCGGGCCCCAGGCTTTTTGCGCAGGGACCTCGTCTTGTCCTTGGTATTCCAGAGGCCATGACCAGACTCTAGTCTCATAAGAAGTACAGAAATTCCTAAATTGCTCAGAGGTGCCTCCTGTGCCAAGGAAGGGGACGTCCGTGCCCCTCCTTGTCCCGGGGAGCACGGCTCCATGGCGCCCGCTGTGGAGCTGCGGTTCTCACCATGGGCAGGTGCGAGGCCGTAGACTGGTGTGGTCAGACCAGGGGACTCCTGCGTTCACCCTGGGCCCCGGAGACTAGTGATCCCGCTCCCCAGCAGAGCACCGCCAAAAGCCCCGGGTGCCGGAGCTGTCCTGCAAGAATGAACGGGCAGGAGACACAAGAGCGTGGCGGGGCCTTCCGAGGATGCGGTGCAAGGGCGCTGTTAGCACCCACGCGAGGCGGCAGCGCATGGAGGAAGCCTCCCATCGTAAGCGCGTTTCTGCCTGAAATGCACGTGTCCTTATAGGCAGCGGTCTTGCCACTCATGGACGGAGAGGCAGCATATGTTTAAAAGATGAGCACACAAAGGACTGTGCACCTGCCGCGGAGTGGCGTCCTCTGGGAGAAGCTGGAGAGTTTGAAGGGGTGGACAGGAGGCGGGAGACAGGGGAAGACGGAGCTCAGACCTGTAGGGGCTGCTGTGCTGGCCCAGAGTGTCCAGGGTTTGGGAGTGGAGGAAGGAGGCAAGTCTTTTCCAGTTAGGGAGAAACCACACAGACCCTGAAACCCGGTCCCCACATGCAGACCCAAAACCCAGTCCCATCCCAGGAGGCTGGGCCACCACCGTTGTGGGTGCTGAGTCCCTTACTTTCTGCCTCACCCGTTCCACTGAGCCTCTTTCGCGCCACCCTCACTGTCATTTGCAGGAAACACCTGTTCTCTCCATGCACCTGCTCTGATGCACTGACTTGTTACCGGGAAGGTGGCTGCTTCCAAGGCAGGCCAAGATGCCTGCGGCTTGTTATTCGTCTGAGAATGGCTCCTTGCTCTAACGGGGTTTGAGGGACAGACGGGACTGCTTCCTTCCCTCCTTCCTTCCTTCCCTCCCTCCCTCTCTCCTCTCTCTCCCTCCCTGCCCCCCCCCTTCTCTCCCTCTCTCTCTCCCTCTCTGGTTTTCTCTCCCTCCCTCTCATTCTCTCTAGCACTTTCTCCCTCCATTCTCCCTCTGATTCTCCCTCTTTCTCAGTGCTGCCTCCTGCCTCTATGATCTGAACAAATTTTCTGTGGAGATCGAAGTTGGTAGGGGGCAGGGGGTGGCAGCCTGTGTTTTTGGTAGAATTTCAAGCACGTTTTACAGGAGGAGCTGACACTGTCGGGCCATTATCTTTCCTGAGCAATGACAGCAGCACCTCCTGGCCTTGGGTCTTATCATCATATTGTTCCCGAGTGTGGCTTTCAATGCAGCTAATTACATAGGTTGTTGTTTTCTTCCACAGAGTTTTCCAGCCTCTCCAGGGCAGAGGCTGTGTCTGGTGAATGTCCAGGCACTGCAGCGCCTGGCACACGGCACTGGGTAGGTGCTTAACACAACATGTGAACAAATATTTATTGAACTACATAAAGGTAAACCACTCCATTCACAGAAGAGAAATATCTCTGTTGAGAATGTCATGGATGCCACGTAATTGGGGAGCAAAAGGAAGCCCCAGTCACCCACAACCTTTCACAGCACACGGTGCAGGGCTGGACAGTGCAAATAACTTACAGGGGTTTCCTCATCAAATCCAAGGCCATTTCCCAGAACTGTGACAGTAGTGAAATGGAATGTTACATTCACAGCACAAAATTGACAGAGACAGAAAGGACGTCTGCATTCCACTGTGGGTTTAAATGAAACGGTGAGATGCTCGGAGGAAGCGCCGGCTGCTTGCTGCATCAGGAACGTTTCGTAATAGCAAAGGCACTATCGGGAAGCGTTACGTAAGCTGTCCATTAAGGACACTGATTAGGAACGTTCAGAAATATGAAAACCGCATAGCATTGTTTGCTGGCCTCAACCACATGCAGCTTGCTTTCAGCAAGAGGGAAGGAAGTGATCACAGAAGGTGCAGGTCACTGCTGGGATGCCCCCTGGGCTGAGATAACTGAACGTATGAAACTGCTCCCTTGCCAACAGCTCGGTAAGAACGCAAGTGCTCGCGTTACAAAAGAATTTGGCATGAAGAGCTGTTCGTCAGAGAGCCCACCAGAGTCGTGTATACGTTTGAATCCACTTCCAACGTTTTAATTTACACAAATTTCAGGAGCACACTATTAGCCGAGTGGAAGGTGGTCTTATCCTCTGCACCACACGTGGGTCCGAGACCCCAGAGCACAGTCGTCTCCCTCGCCAAGAATGCACTCGGCAGCCAGGGACTCGCAGAGTGAACGTGTGCGGGTTTCAGTGGACCGCTTCCCATCTGGAGCTCAAGTTAAGATGAGGAAGTAGAATCACAGTAAATGAGGAGTTAGGGAATTTAGGGTAGAGATTAAAGTAATGAACAGAGGAGGAGGCCTGAGACAGCTGCAGAGAGACCCTGTGTTCCCTGTGAGGTGAAGCGTCTGCTGTCAAAGCCGGTTGGCGCTGAGAAGAGGTACCGGGGGCAGCACCCGCCTCCTGGGAGAGGGATGGGCCTGCGGGCACCTGGGGGAACCGCACGGACACAGACGACACTATAAACGCGGGCGAGACATCAGGGACCGGGAAACAGAAGGACGCGCGTTTCGAGCAGCTGCCCAGTGGGCCACAAGCCCCGCCACGCCACAGCCTCTTCCCCTCAGCACGCAGAGAGGGAGGCTGCAGATGCCAGAAACGGGCCCCTGTCTCCCATGAACAAGAAACAGAAAAAAAGGAAGAGAGCAGAGAGCCAGGCAGATGTTCAGGAGAATGAACGTGTCCGAAAGACAGACAGAAGCCCGGGGACTGACGTCCGTGGGAGCTCCTCCCGCACTGCAGAAGGTGAGTTCCTGGGTCCCCTCAGTACCACGCACGGGGAAGGCAGCGGGCGGAGGTCGGGAGGGCTGAGGGACACAGGTTTCTCGGTGGGGTGGTGAAAATGCTTTAAAATGGATGTAGCAACGGCTGCACGCGCTGAATAAACTGAAAACCACTGAATGGTGCAACTTAAATGGGTGACTTGTATGGTGTCAATCCTATCTCGGAAAAGCTGCAGAATATATCATCTTATTTTGAAAATCAGCCAAGATATGAAAATTATAGTAAATGTCTAGAAGAAAATGACTAATTTGGAAAATACTAGTAAAGAAAGTAATTTGACATCTAAGTTTATGACAGTACCACCCACTTCCTCATTTCCACCTTCAGTGAACACTTGCGGACAGCATGCTTCAGAGCCCGGCCCATGCCAAGGCCCAAGGACACAGATAAGAAGGTGCCCCTGCCCAAGAGGCTTAGCACCCAAGACAGATAAGCCAGTGGACACAGAGGCTTGCTATTCGTTTTCTTTTCTTCCTTTCTTTCCTTTTCTTTTTTCTTTTTAATTTTTTTCTTTTTTTTTTTGAGACAGGGTCTCTCTCTGTCACCCAGGATGATGTCCAGTGGTGTAATCACAGCTCACTGTAGCCTCCAACTCCTGGGGCTTAAGTGATCCTCCCACCTCAACCTCCCAAGTAGCTAATATTACAGGGATGTGCCATCACATTCAGCCAATTTTTCAATTTTTTTTTTTGTAGTGACAGAGTTGTGCTATATTGCCCAGGTTGGTCTTGAAATCCTGGGCTCAAACAATCCTCCTGCTTCAGCCTCCCAAAATGCTGGGATTACAAGAAGGAGTCACTGTGCCTAGTCTATTTTTTTGAAGAAATAAAATTTCAATTGTAATGTTCACACCAAGGATTTTCCTCTAATAATACATTGGTTGGGATTCAGCAATGTCACCACAGTCAAGAAAGTGGGTCAAGATTTGTCTGTGAAGATGTTTATGGCAGAGTATTTTAAGATAGTTGAAAATTGGAGAAAACATCAATGTCAAATAATAGAGTTTCAGTTAAAGTGTGGCAGCATCCCCAGGATGGAGATCTATTTAAAATGGTGTTGGAAAAAATGAAAAGTGTGTATTTCCTTTTGTGCAGTGTGTATACCCTGCCCAGTGTATATTTATGATGCGATTTTTGTATAATAAACCAAAATTTATTTTTACATAAAAAATGACCAAAGTAGGCCAGGCACAGTGGCTCATACCTGTAAGCCAGCAGTTTGGGAAGCTAAGGCAGAAGGATTGCTTGGGCCTAGGAGTTCAAGACCAGCCTGGGCAACATAGTGAGACTGTGTCTCCCCCAAAACTAACAAAACTCTCTGAGTGTGGTGGCACACCTGTGGTCCCAGCTAGTCAGGAGGCTGAGGTGGCAGGATCACTTGAACCCAGGAGGTGCTATGATCGTACCATTGCACTCTAGCCTGGGCCACAGAACAAGACCCTGTCTCAGAAAACAAAAACAAAAACAAAAACAACAAAAAAAGAGACCAAAGTGTTTCAGTGCCAAAATGTTAACAGGGATAAGTTTGGATGATGAAGATGGGAGTTAGAAGTGATTTATTATTTTCTTATTTGTGTTTTTCACAAAAAGTTCACACATTTTCTACAATGAGCATGCGTTACAGACAAAAAACATCTTAAAGTGTTTGTTCCTTTCCTAAAAGAGAAGCTACAGGAAGGTGCAGGCGCGTCACCTGGGACCTGTGCCTCTGGGATGACCACAGTACAAGAGTGTGTGTGTGAGCGTGCACGTGTGTATGAGTGTGTCCATGTGTGCCTGGATGAATGTGGGTATGAGTGTGTGGATGCATGTGCATGACTGTGGCAGTGTGTGAGTTGCACGGATTGCCAATGTGAGTGTGCACCTGTGTGAGTGTGATTGTGAGTGTGACAGTGAGTGTGTGATTTAGAAAGGGGAGTCATGAGCATGAACGGGAGCGAGTCCCACCCTCTGTGGCCCTGTCCCCGCATCCTTGTATCCTTGAAGCCCATCACCAGTGCTTGCTTAGGACATCACAGTGCAGGGGTCCTGGGACCTGAGCATCTGGAAGGCCCAGCACCCTCAGTGTCTGCCTAAGTCTGCTGTCAACAACAATCAGAAGAAAGGGAACACGTGAAACATCCAAAGTTCAGAGATGGAGCAACAGGAACCATGAACAGGAAGGAGACGCACACGGTGAGGAACGCTGCGGCTTAGGGAGAGGAGAAGAGCACAGAGACGAGTTACGAGGAACACGCACGAGGCCCCGTCCCAGAGACATGGGACCAGTTTACAAGATGACAGCGGGAGGGAAACACATGCGAGGCCTGTCCACATCTGAGAGACACGGGACCGATTTACGGGATCACAGAGGGAGGGAAACACACTTGAGGCCTGTCCACGTCTGAGAGACATGGGACCGATTTACGGGATCACAGGAGGAGAAAAACACACACGAGGCCTGCCCACATCCGAGAGACACGGGACCGATTTACAGGATCACAGGGGGAGAAAAACACACTTGAGGCCTGTCCACATCTGAGAGACACAGGACTGATTTACGGGATCAGAGAGGGAGAGAAACACACTTGAGGCCTGTCCACGTCTGAGAGACACGGGACCAATTTACGGGATCACAGGGGGAGAAAAACACACACGAGGCCTGCCCACGTCCGAGAGACACGGGACCGATTTACGGGATCACAGGGGGAGAAAAACACACACGAGGCCTGCCCACGTCCGAGAGACACGGGACCGATTTACAGGATCACAGGGAGAAGGAAATGGGTTGTACAAATCGCCTGTCAAGGGACGTGTTTCATCCGCATGCTGTGCAGGTGTGAACTGCCCTTGGGCAGGATGCCGCACTGCGTCCTCGCTGTAAGTTCAAGGTCCCATTTTCAAGACTCAGTTTGCAGATGTGTTCAGTGTTTCAGCATTCTGGAAACATTCCAGATTGTGACAGGTTTTGCAAGCACCTAAAACAATGATGATCATTGTTTGTCTGTTTGCCGTGAGCCAGACATGTCCTAGCGTTGTCTCATTTAATTAGTAAAACAGCGAAGTGCGTTCTGCTATTATAGACAAGGAAACTGAGGCACCACGCGTTAGGACCTCGGTCCAGGGTACACAGACCTTCCCCACTCCAGGCTGACGGGGTTCATGCAGCACCACCACCCCCCCAGATTGGTGAACGTTAGCCAATACTAAAAAAAACTTATTAAACAGACCACATTATTTGTTGTCTTTTTTGTGTGATATTGGCAGGTTTACTAGTTCAGATGCCTGATTCATTGTATTTTGATTTCTGAAAGTCTCCACTGACATCCTCCCAAACAAAATGGGAAATGAATCAGCAGGGTGGGCGTGGAGTCGCAGCTGGCGTCCAGGCAGTGCTCGGGGGCCTGGGCTTGCCGGTGTGACCCCTTTTTTTGGAAACATGAATTATGCTGATGACTTGGATGGCCCAGCTCGACTGAGCAGTTGTCCAATGGCTTCAGATGAGAAGGAAGCTAATAAGCTGCATAACAGAATTAAGATTCTGAAACATCTGACAAGGCTCATGAAAAAGTTTAACCTAATAAAAACTACCGAAATAAAATGTACTAGGGACAAATTGTAATATACAAAACCTAGACTTTTAAAGAATCAAGTAACTGAAAATCATGGGGGAAAAAACCCAACAACTGCACAGACCTAGAGCTTTGACTAGCAAGCCAGGGCTGTCTGAAACGTGATGTGGTGCCTGGAAAGGCTGGTGAGCATTTTGGTTGGATCAGTAGATATAGAGTCTGCAAAAGGGAGGTGATGGGCTGACTGCACTCTGCACGGTCACAGCCACCAGAGACTGGGTCAAGGTGCAGGGTCTGAAAGAGGCAGCCAGGGCTGAACTGGACCAAGAAGAACAGACCGAGGTCAGAGAATGCACAGCCTGAGAAACCCTTCAGACCCCCACGTCCAAACCACCAGCTGTAGGGCAACCCCTGCGTTCCAGCACAGACAGCGCAATCTGAGTTATCTCGTTTACTTTTCTAATGAGTGTATTTAACAGGGGCTTCTGAGATAAAGGGGTCCTGGCTGCTTCTGCCTCCTGCAGCTGCAAACGTCCACTGGATCCCCAGGGCAATGTCCCCAGGGGCAGATCTGTTCAGCCTCAAAGGCCTCCGCTAACCACCAGCTGCCCCCCCAAAAAGCAGCCTCTGCCCTTTCAGAGGCAGCAGTGCAGGCACCTCCTGCTCTGAATCCGGTAGATGTTTCCATGGAGAAGAGCCTCCCTTCCAAGACCTGGTGCTCCGGCTGGAGCTGGAGAGGAACATTTCCTTTTTGTGGATGCAAATGAGAAACATCCACTCACTAGAGGCTCCGCTGCGGCTCCAGGATCCATCCCACAGAAGCGTCCGGAGTCCTCACAGCTGGCGTCTCCTGGGGATCCGCTCAACGAGAAGTGCCTTGGCTGTTGACTGAAAACCCACAGTCCTGTCCTTCCAGAGTCTTGGGCCGGGTTCCTCGTCTCTTCCCCTGTACCCCAAAGGCTGCTTTGGAGTGGTCACAGCAGGCAGGAGGCAGCCCGTGCCTCTGGAATGACATTGAGAGTGTTTGTGTGTGAGTGTGCATGCGTGTGTGTATGAGTGTATCCATGTGTGCCTGGATGAATGTGGTTATGAGCGTGTGTATGCATGTACGTGAGTATGAATGACTGGGGTTATGAGAGTATGTGAGTGTGCACCTGTGTGTGATTATGTGTGGCAGTGAGCGTGTGAGTTGCACGGATTGCCGATGTGTGTGCACCTGTGTGTGTGATTATGAGTGTGGCAGTGAGCGTATGAGTTGCACAGATTGCCGATGTGAGTGTGCACCTGTGTGAGTGTGAGCGTGTGTGCCCCTGCCAGGGCGTGCGCTGGTGGGGGCGGTGTGCAGAGTGGGGCCTGGGCCTCCTGCCCCCAAGGGCAGCTGGGTGGGCTCCGTGCTCCCTCCGAGTGGACTTGGCCCCGGCTCCAAACCCAGCCGAGGGTCGGCTCGCTCCTGGGGACCCGCGGATGTCGCGAGGGGGCGCCGCGCCACTGAAGGCTGGGACGGGGGCGGTGCGCGGGGCGGCGCCGGAGTCCGGGATGCCGGCTCCAGAGACGCCGCGCTCCGCCCCGAGGAGGCCGCCGGCCGGGTAAGCGGAGCCCGGAGCTCGCGGAGTCTGGACCGCAGGTAAAGTTGAGCGCGCCGTGGGGCCGGGGGTGGGGGGTCCGCGGCGAAGGAGCCGGGGCCGCAGTGGGCGGTGGGGCGGGGGGCGCGGGCTCCTGTCTGATGGTTCCGCGCGCAGCTTCTTCTCCGGGTGCGCGGTGCGCGCGGGCGCGGGAGGGTCGAAGGGGACCTTGGAATCCCCCTGTTCGGGCCAAGGGGGCGGGGGCGGCTCGGGGCCGGGCGGGGCTGGTGCCTCCCCCTCCCGCTCAGCGCCCAGAGTCCGGGAGTCGAGGGGGGCGTCGGGCCGGAGGCGCTCGCCGGTCTGGCCGCGCCGCGCGCGTGGATGGAGGTCTCGGCCGCGGATCGCCCCGTCTATTCGCGCTGGTCCTGCGGGAGCCCGGGTGAGCCGAAGGCGAGGAAGGGGCGCGGGTCTCGGGAAAACCCGACTCTCCCGGCGCCCGCCCCGGTTCGGTTGGGGGCGCACCCGGCTCGCGCGGAGAGCGGGCGGGGTGTGGGCGAATGCTCGGCGCGCTGCGCCTTTCCCGGTCCCCCTTCTCCCCGGAGATGAACGCCCCACTCCCGCTCGGACACACGGCCGCACCCCTACTCTGCCTCCTCCGACCAGCCGGGGCGCGGCCCGAATTGGGGGAGAGAAGACCCAGCTCCCGCAGCCGCGAATTCTGCAAACCCGGAGCCCATGCGCCCCGTCCTCCGGCCCGGGGAGCTCCCAGCCTTGCCCGCCGAGCGCAGCCCGGGTCCGGACTGTGGTCACTGGGGACGAGAAGGGTCCCTCCTGCGGGGCTCCCGGGTTCGGATGGACGGAGGGGGCGTCCGGCAGGTGAACTGGGCCCGCTCCGCGTCCCGAACGTTCCCCTAAACCCACAAGTCCCGGAGACCCTGGGGCATTCTGCGATTTCGGAGTGACCGGTGGAGCCCCCGCCCGCGCGCCTGGCTCCCGGGGTCTCCCCACACAGCAGGGGCTGCGGGGACCCCCTCTGTCACCTCCTCCAAAGGGTCTGGGAGCAATTCGACCTGCCTGGAGAATTCCAGGAAGTCCTTTCCCTGCGGGAGCCTCATGGGTCCCCCCTTCTCTGCCTGCAGAGACCTCTGGCTTCCGCGTGCGCTCAAAGTGAGCGCCGGGCAGATTGTAAATAATGGATTTTGACCCAGCTGGGAGATCTCAGAGTGATTAAGTGGAGAGGCTGTTCCACCCTCAGCCCTGCCCAGGCAGCTGGGTGACCCCGCGGGCCACATGCCACAGGGGCACGGACTCAGCCCTGAGTGGTTTTCGTTCTGCTGAGAGTCCAGGAGGCTTCCCGAGACCCCAAGCAGAACCGCGGAAGAGGGGACCCTCCTCCCCCACCCCTGTTCTCTGGGATGGTGCAGGGTACACAGCTGGCCTCTGAAGGTTCTTCCTTAGGAATTCCTAGTTAGAGGGATGGGATTGCCGGGCTTTCTTAGGGAATTTGGGGGGCATTGTGGTACATTCTGGGGATGAGGTCACCTTAGATGTCACATTCTCGGGACTATCCACTGTTGCCACAAAGGGTTGCTGTGTCCGCATCTTCCCTGGGGAGAGGTGACAAAAACAACTTCCAGGTCTGTCCAAGGCCAGTGCCAGTTGTTAGATTCCACTTTGCAAAAGTGTGTTTTAAATGTTGAGATTTCGATAATTTAAGGGAAAAATTGGTGTTTTTGTAGGCATGAGAAGAAAAGGAGGGAAGTGAGTTCTCAGCTGCCACAGGCAGGAGGCTGCTCAGCTTTCCCTTTTCAGCGCCTGGCTGAGCCCTGCTTGTGCCAGGCGCACAGGAAGTGTGTGGGGGGCGGGTGGCCGAGCTATGATTCGGGGTTTCTGCCCAGCGTGCGGCTGGGGCTGCATGGCTGTAGTCACAGGTGCAGGTGCCTCCACTCATGGGTCATGCTGGTAGGAACAGGCCGGTCAGAAACGATAGCGTGCTGGGTTTTGCCCTGGTGAAAAGCAGGTGCTTGGGTTCTGAATGTCTCGGGAGGATCTGCGCAGCTTTGTTGTTCTTTTGTCTGATGGTTGGGGGCTGCTTTTCTGGAAGAAGTGGGTCTCAGGCAGGCACCTGGAGGGCAGCGCGAACGGAGGGCTGTTTGTCGTGGGAGGCGCGTCTCTCTGCAGCCCTGGCAGGCGTGGGGGCGGGAGTGAAGGGAGCAGATGGGGCTGTGCCGACAGGCATGAGCTCTGGGGGCCGGGAGGGGTGGTAGGGCCTGCAGGACGAGGACACGCAGGGCATCCAGGGACGGCCACCTGTGTCTGAGTACTGCGCGCCTGTCCACGGATGGGTAATTTTGTAATGAATGGGGATATCTTAGGGCTAACGCTTGGTCAGGGATGTTCTTGGTGGTAAGGAAAGGAGCCATGGGGCCCTTGCTGCCAGTGAGGTCGCTCAGACACAAACGGGTGCTGCCATCAGGTAGCCCAGCCGGTAGGCATGAGTCCAACGAGGGCGGGCATTGACCGAGGTAGTTTAAGACCCCCTTCCTCAGATGAGGCTTGGGAGGCAGGATCTCGGCCCCCTAAACCGGCTGAATCAGAGCCTGCCTCTGACGAGACATGTACCCCGCCTTCCCGTGTGGGAGGCACTCAGGGTCCTTGCTGGTGTCGGAGAAACAGCACTGGCTCCTTCACAGCCGCGGCTTTCCGGCAGGAGCCTCAGCAGTTCCTTCCCCGGGCGGGCGGCGCTGAGCAGACGGGAGGTGGGCTGGTGCCTATGGTTGCAGTCGGCCTGGCGTGTCCTGCGGGCACCCGCAGGCTCTGCTCACCCACCGGCTGGTTTGTAGGGACAGGTCTGCTTGGGGAACCACAGCGAGGGGCACCCGAAGCAAATGTCAAGTCAAAATGGGTCCCCGGCGGGGCCAGGAGAACACCCAGACTCATGGAATTGCTAACAGAAATCTTATCAACAGCAGGTTCAGCCTTTTCACGTGATGGGAGACCATGCCAGGCAGCTGCCAACAGTCTGGCCACGAGGAGCTCCGTGCTGTTGAGGCACTGTGAACTATCAGACAGCCTCCCTCTGCAGACAGCCATGCGGATGTCCGGGGCGGCCAAGAGATGCCGGGCAGGGCTTTAACTGCTGGTCTCTGATCCCCGCCACGTCAGATGAGAGGGTTGAACTGAATGATGACGCCCTGACCTGTGTCAAAATCAGTAATACATTCCCTCAAAAAGAAACCATGCAGTATTTTAATTTGATTATGAGTTTAGAAAAAGGCTAATTGAAATGTAATATAAAAATAGCGCAGAAGACCTTTATGTTGCCTTTGTCAATTAAGGAAGCTGAGACTGTGTGAGAACCGGTACCTGTGAAGGCCTCAGGCCTCGCCAGCTCTGCGTCCTCCTCCCCCGAGGGGATCCTCACATCTCTTAGTCCAGCAGGTCCAGGTCCTCCATCCCTGCTGGGTTTCCTCAGCCGGGGCCTGTGGAGGGGCCACACCTGCCCCGCACTGCCCACCCTTCACCCAGGCCCGGCAAGGAGGGGACGCACATGCTGGGCCCGGGAGCCCTCCGAGGCAGTTCCCAGAGTTTAATGGCCTTCTGGATATTTTTAACCTTCTCAGATAGTTAAGCGATGGAGTTTAAATCTTATATTAGACGTGAGTAGTAAGCACATGAAATCAAAGGCTAGAATTATGGGGCCCAGTGTAGCTTCAGAAACCTTCAGGCTGATCTGAATGTGGCAGCAGTTTTTACTAAATTCCAGCCCGAAGAGGCAAATGTATTCTTGCATAGGATTAGTGCAGTGGCAAAGGCTGTGTGGTCCTAGTTGTTCCTGGCTGAGCTCCTGGGTGCGGCACACAGAGGGGCTCCTGTGCCCCCAGCAGGGTGCTCTCACCCGTGTCCCCGCCCTCGCATGGAGGGATTCATTGCCCGCGTTTCTCATCACACTCATCACCTGGTTAATGGGAAGCCACTTAGCCAGGGACTCTGGGGACCCCTTCGCCAGGGGTCCCAGGTGGTGGGTCAGGGTGGGCCTGGAATTGATTCTTAGCACATATCCTACATGACGTTCATCTCTGAGAAGTTTTGGAAATGGTGATTTGTGGATGTGACTTGCGTTTTCATAGTGAGATGGAATAGACAGAAAATATGAGCATTTCATACACTGTGCAGTTAGTTTTGTGTGTTCCTGGTCACAGCATAAAATATTTTTCTCACTGTGGGTTTTAAAATCATGGAAAGAGCTGCCCAAATACAGACAGCTAAAGGGATCCTTTCACCTTTTCTCTACGGTTTAGAAATGTTCAAAAAGCACTTAGAAGACCAGGTGGACGCGGCTCATGGAGGGGCGTCTGGGGACCCTGGAGCAGTGAAGGTCGGCTCTCCCAGCCGTGCCGCTCCGGTCCGGAGAGCCTGGCCTCAACACCTGTCCCAGCCGTGCTGCTCTGGTCCGGAGAGCCTGGCCTTGACACCTGTCCCAGCCGTGCCGCTCCGGTCCGGAGAGCCTGGCCTCGACATCTGTCCCAGCCCGGCCGCTGCAGCATCGGCCCTAGTGGGGAAGGTCTGGCTGTAACTTCTTCACCCACAGCTAAGCAGACACTTGGCTGGCTCCCCTGCCTTCCTTCTCCAGCTCAGGTTCACACCCCAAGGACACCCTTCCTGGCACTGACCCCTGTGTGCACACCTGAGCCACCCCCAACCTGGCAGATAACAGATTCTGAGCGTACAGTGGTTCTAGCGTGCATCTGTTACAGCTGGGAGGAGAGTTCCTGGCTTTTTTTTTTTTCCTGTTCTTTTGGAGGGGATGTCTTTGTGTGCAGATTAACAGGAAAAAATTCTATGACAAGTTTTATATCGGTACATTTTATTTAACATCATAGCAATTGATGCAATGGAGTGAAAATGCTTTGATGAAATAAAATGCATTAAAAGTTAACGCTTGGCTGGGTGCGGTGGCTCACGCCTGTAATCCCAGCATTTTGGGAGGCTGAGGCGGGCAGATCACCTGAGGTCAGGAGTTTCAGACCAGCCTGGTCAACATGGTGAAACCTCATCTCTACTAAAACACAAAAATTAGCCGGGCATGGTGGCAGGCACCTGTAATTCCAGCTGCTTGGGAGGCTGAGGCAGGAGAATCGCTTGAACCCGGAAGGCGGAGCTTGCAGTGAGCCGAGATCGCGCCACTGCACTCCAGCCTGGGTGACAGAGCAAGACTCTGTCTCAAAAAAAAAATAGTTAACACTCATGAGATTGCCTGATCACCTCTGTAGTCACAGGGCAGGGCCAGCCCCCTCATCTCCAGGCCCCCAGCTCTTTCACCTCTGTAGTCACAGGGCAGGGCCAGCCCCCTCACCTCTAGGCCTCCAGTTCTTCTTCCCGGAGGTTCACAGCCACTTCAAGATGACAGTTTCTGACTGTGAACAAATTTCCTTGATTTAATTTTCCCTTGTTTTCTGCCAAAAGAAAAGACATCTTCTAGAAGAGGGAAGATAGGAAATATGTATCATTGGCTTCTTTAATACTTGCCAAATTAGAAACGGAAACATTCTAGGGTGAAGAAAACAGTGGCTAGGCGTGGGTGTGCAGTGCTGGGGACCGACGAGGGGGCCTGTGATTCTGGGGGCTCCGATCGTGTTTCTTCCCTGAGAACCTGCAGGGCTGGCCGTGATTCTCACCACTTGTGGTCCAAGGCTTCTGCTGGGCTGACGGAGGAGGCGTTTTCTCCCATCCCGCCCCAGCAGGGAGCCTGCCCTCCTGTCCAGGAGCCCTCACAGCTCAGCCGGGGCCCTCCTGCGTCTCCCGACCACAGGCCCCAGTCCCGGCCAAGGTTCCAGGATGCCAGCAGGTGCCTGAGACTGGGCTGCCTCCAAGTTTCTCCTCACTGTGATGGCCCCGGGGCCATGCTGAGGCCTCCGTGTTGGTTTCTCCGGGGTTGGTGCCGGTGGATCAGAATCTTAGGCCTGGCCTGGCCGTGTCACTCCTATCTCACCTTCAGGGAGCTCTAGCCTGCAGCAGGCCCGTCCTTTGCTGGTGGCAGATTATTCCTCAACATGGGGATCTTGTTCCTTATAAAAGTGCTGCATGGCACTGAATGCCTCCAGACCTGGGAGCACGATCATGGGGTGGCCAGAGCACCTGCCACCTCGGGGTCTGTGCCATTCTCTGTACCGAGGCCCCATGGAAAGGCACTGCTCAACCCCACCCTAAATCTGGCCACCTTCACTGCAGGCCTATGTGACCTGTTTCCCAAAGGCTACAAGAATAGGGCATTTGAGAGCGTGTTCTTCTTGCCCAGGCCGGAAGGCACCAGCCACAGCCGCTGGACCCTGGCCCTGCTGGACTCTGCCCGTCAGCACCCACTGATCACTGCATGGGGTATGCACACGGTGTGCTGAGCTCCTGCCGGCCGGTGCTGCACCAGGCTCCAGGGGGGACTCAGCACCCAGGCCACACACCTGGGACTCCTGGCTGGAGCCAGTGCTGCGTCAGAGGCCCAGGTCCTTCCCATGACAGGCTGTGGCTGTGGGGGGCCCTCCCATGGGTGCTCAGGTGCACCCGTGGCCGGTCCTGAGCCAAGGTGCAGAAACACACCCCAGCCCCAGAGCTGCTGACGCACCGCTGCTTCCTGGAGTCTGTGCTTCAGTCAAGTCTGGGCTGATGCTCTTTGATGTGAACCGTGGTTGTCGGCCTCTGAAGAAATCATTTCACACCAAAGGGAATGTGGCATCAAAAAGAAGCCAACAGTGAGCCCACGGGAACAAGTGGAGGGCCTCTTCAGGCTTCCAGGTACAACAAATGCAATTTAAAATGCCTTTTATTGCTTTTTCTCACATTCTAAAAGCAGTACACTTTTATCACAGAAGACTTGGAAATGAAAATTAAAAAGAAGTATAAATTACTTTTAAAAAATCTTGCGTAAGATTGCAACTGTCCAGAGGTAATAGCTGCTAATACATTAGGATAGTTTCAATGTGTATTTATAGAATGACCACACACACGCACACACACATACGGGTGAAGGCTCTCATACATGTTTGGGGTTATTTCACATCATATTATATTGAAAGCATCCTTTTGTTTGGATTTATCAAACTCTGTTTCTGTGTCCTCCTGTTATTGGCCATGTAGGTTGTTTCCAGTTTGTTGATGTTCCAAATACCACTGTCATGGACGTATTTGTAGATACATCTTTGAAGAAACTTTGCATATCGTCAAAAGTTAGAAACACTAAGGTCTTACACATTATGCCAGGTCGTTTCTCGGGAAAGCTGTGCCAGATGCATCCTTCTCATTCTCCGCCTCACCGCACTGCATTTCAGTGCTTTAACCTCTTCTCAATTTTCCAAATACATGGCTTTTTGCTGTAAAAGTGATACATGGTCATTAGGAAACACACGCGTGGCAGGAGGTGTAAGAGGAGGGCCTGCCGCGCACTCGGGATGAGGCCGGCACCTGCGGAGCTTCCTCCAGACTTGGGCCCTGCTGGCTGCACCCACACAAAAGTGCACTGGCTACAGGTCGAGTTTCTAGAAAACACTGCACTTGATGATGTCTGGCTAAGGCTGAATGTTTTTCTCCATTGCCTTTTTTTTTTCTTCTATCGTCTGTTTCTCAGTGATGATCTTAGTGGCTTCCTGTCTACTGTTTGTCACATTTCTCGCCTTCGGGTCTTCATTGTGGTCCTGGTGGCCATGTACCACCTGGCGCCCTGCAGGGCTGCAGCCTCTTCACCTGACGGCCTCATCCACCATGTGTGGTTGCAGGGCCAGAGGAAGTTAAATTAGCAGATGTTTCTGAGTGTGAGCTGGATTCTGTGCTGAGTTAGAGCTAGAAAAATGTCTCCACCTGCTAAAATCTAGAGTCTAGTTGTGGGGGAGGAGGAAATATAGACAGACGCAGGTCCACATGCACACACACACACACACGTGCACACACACGCGCCTAGGGGACAGGGCAGAGCCAAGAAAAAAGGAAAATGATGAGAGACTGGAGTGAAGGCCCCAGGGAGTGACAGGTGGATTGATCCAGCCAGGCCCGAGCTTGCATCTGTTCACACAGAGCTTTGGGACGTTAGGGTGACAGAGGAAGGAGGCGGCTGGGATAGCCCACACAGGTGGTGGGAGTCTGTCCTCTCCCTGCCAGGGTGCAGGACAGCAGGTCTCAATCTCGCCCAGTGGGACTCAGTGGTCCCTCATTCAAAGGGGCTGAGAGCCAGGCATCCAGCCCACGAAGCTCACATGGAAGCCACTGTGTGGTCTCAGGCAAGGCCGTCGTGCTGGGGGTTGGGGCGTGGGGCCATCAGCAAGCCCCTTGAGCGTTTGTGGTCTCAGGCAAGGCCGCTGTGTCGGGGGTCGGGGCATGGGGCCATCGGGAAGCCCCCTGAGCATTCATGGTCTCAGACAAGGCCGCTGTGTCAGGGTTTGGGGTGTGGGGCCATCAGCAAGCCCCCTGAGAGTTTGTAGTGGATGGTCTCATGGGTGTTTCTTGAACCGTGCTCTGCATGGCCTGCGACATGGTCTCACTGGTTGCTGGGGGCCCCTGAGTTATGGAAATTATTCTAGGATCCTTCAAATGCTTCAGTTAACTCCAGCCAGGCCTTGAGAAGAAAGCACTTTAGAATGAGAGGTTGTCTTTTATCTCTCAAATGATGGTTTTTAGAAAAAAATTGGTAAAATTAATACTTGCTAGGAGGAAGCATCAGAACATGGATTCTCTAACTCTTCCTTAGGGTGTTTTGATTTACTGATGAATTGGCCTCTTTCTCTCCTTTTTAGTGCATGAAGCTTTCCTTTTTAGACTGTAATGGTGACGCTTTCTCAAATAAAACCAGAACTAAGGGCTTCAAAACCACTCCACGCAAAATTAATAAAGAAGAAAATAACATTCTTTCCATTTCATTTCAAGGGCAGTTTTCAAAAATCTGCATTGACTTAAGGCTAGAAAGAGAAAATGCATACATGGAATTTTCTTTCCACCCTTACTCATGGATCTAGGGTCTGTGTGGGGTCTCAGATTTCCACCAGGGGCAAACTTCCTCATCTTTCTTCATGTTTAAATGTTAGAAATAGCCTGAAGCCTTGGGCTGCAGAGAGCTCAGGGGCACCTTTGAGCTGGACAGACCTCTGTGGAGGAGAAAACTGACCCCGGGAGGGTTTGGTCTGGCCAGCGAGGGTCAGCACCCACCTCAGCCTGCCTGCATCTGTCTGCACCTCAGGGTCACACATGCAGATGGACTGAGGGTTCCGAGTGGGTGGCTCAGGGATACTGGGAGCTCGTCGCGTAGTCTGATGTTTTTGCATGAAAGTGAGGTCCTCTGAGGGAGATGCACCGTCTGAGCCTGTTCGTGTTGGGGTGCCGCGAGCAAACCTCACGCCCTCCTCACCTTGCCGACGCTCTCTGCATCTGCCCCAGGACATAGATGATGAGCCTTTCTGCTCTACCGTAAACACCCGAGCACCCAGCGCCCTCACAAGAGAAGCAAGCGCTCAGTGACCACCTCAGCGGCGCGGACTGCTCTGACACGTCACCCCACCGGGATTTTTAGAACGCCTCTGCGCTCGTGCATTCACTCCATTTTACAGATGAGAAACTGGTGTGACTCCCATGTACGTGGCCCAGGCTCACTAATTCTCTCTTCTTAATGCTCTCACGCCTGGGCCAGCCCTTCCTCCCTCCCGCCGCAGCACACGCTGAAGAAACAAGTCCAGCTGTGAAGCCCCCACCTCAGCCTCGGCCCCAGAGTCCGCACTCTGAGAAGTTGCTCCGGCGCCACTGACGGGCACTCCATGTTATATGCCCAGAGTCCTCGCCCTGAGGAGCTGCCGGGGCCGCGCTGACCACACTCCACGTTATGGGCCCAGAGTCCGCGCTCTGAGGAGCTGCCGGGGCCGCGCTGACCACACTCCACGTTATGGGCCCAGAGTCCGCGCTCTGAGGAGCTGCCGGGGCCGCGCTGACCACACTCCACGTTATGGGCCCAGAGTCCTCGCCCTGAGGAGCTGCCGGGGCCGCGCTGACCACACTCCACGTTATGGGCCCAGAGTCCGCGCTCTGAGGAGCTGCCGGGGCCGCGCTGACCACACTCCACGTTACGGTCCCAGAGTCCTCGCCCTGAGGAGCTGCCGGGGCCGCGCTGACCACACTCCACGTTATGGGCCCAGAGTCCGCGCTCTGAGGAGCTGCCGGGGACACACTGACCACACTCCACGTTATGGGCCCAGAGTCCTCGCCCTGAGGAGCTGCCGGGGCCTCGCTGACCACACTCCACGTTATGGGCCCAGAGTCCGCGCTCTGAGAAGCTGCCGGGGACACACTGACCACACTCCACGTTATGGGCCCAGAGTCCGCGCTCTGAGGAGCTGCCGGGGCCTCGCTGACCACACTCCACGTTATGGGCCCAGAGTCCGCGCTCTGAGAAGCTGCCGGGGACACACTGACCACACTCCACGTTATGGGCCCAGAGTCCGCGCTCTGAGGAGCTGCCGGGGACACACTGACCACACTCCACGTTATGGGCCCAGAGTCCGCGCTCTGAGGAGCTGCCGGGGCCTCGCTGACCACACTCCACGTTATGGGCCCAGAGTCCGCGCTCTGAGGAGCTGCCGGGGACACACTGACCACACTCCACGTTATGGGCCCAGAGTCCGCGCTCTGAGGAGCTGCCGGGGCCTCGCTGACCACACTCCACGTTATGGGCCCAGAGTCCGCGCTCTGAGAAGCTGCCGGGGACACACTGACCACACTCCACGTTATGGGCCCAGAGTCCGCGCTCTGAGGAGCTGCCGGGGACACACTGACCACACTCCACGTTATGGGCCCAGAGTCCGCGCTCTGAGGAGCTGCCGGGGCCTCGCTGACCACACTCCACGTTATGGGCCCAGAGTCCGCGCTCTGAGGAGCTGCCGGGGACACACTGACCACACTCCACGTTATGGGCCCAGAGTCCGCGCTCTGAGAAGCTGCCAGGGACACACTGACCACACTCCACGTTATGGGCCCAGAGTCCGCGCTCTGAGGAGCTGCCGGGGCCTCGCTGACCACACTCCACGTTATGGGCCCAGAGTCCGCGCTCTGAGGAGCTGCCGGGGCCTCGCTGACCACACTCCACGTTATGGGCCCAGAGTCCGCGCTCTGAGGAGCTGCCGGGGCCTCGCTGACCACACTCCACGTTATGGGCCCAGAGTCCGCGCTCTGAGGAGCTGCCGGGGCCGCGCTGACCACACTCCACGTTATGGGCCCAGAGTCCGCGCTCTGAGGAGCTGCCGGGGCCGCGCTGACCACACTCCACGTTATGGGCCCAGAGTCCGCGCTCTGAGGAGCTGCCGGGGACACACTGACCACACTCCACGTTATGGGCCCAGAGTCCGCGCTCTGAGGAGCTGCCGGGGACACACTGACCACACTCCACGTTATGGGCCCAGAGTCCTCGCTCTGAGGAGCTGCCGGGGACACACTGACCACACTCCACGTTACGGTCCCAGAGTCCTCGCCCTGAGGAGCTGCCGGGGCCGCGCTGACCACACTCCACGTTATGGGCCCAGAGTCCGCGCTCTGAGGAGCTGCCGGGGCCGCGCTGACCACACTCCACGTTACCGGCCCAGAGTCCGCGCTCTGAGGAGCTGCCGGGGCCTCACTGACCACACTCCACGTTACGGTCCCAGAGTCCTCGCCCTGAGGAGCTGCCGGGGCCTCACTGACCACACCACGTTCCGGGTGCCCAGCGCACCTGCCGCTTATGCAGCTTTCGGTTCTAAACCTCGCTCCCCAGAAGGCAATCTTCACGCCCACTCAAGACGTACTTTTCGGATGCTGCAGCCCAGGCGTCCTACTGCACACTAGGAGCTGTGGTCACCTCGTCCAGAAAAAACAAGAATGTGGCCAAATGCCCGTGGCTGCCCTCTGCGTCTCCTTCATTGTTGCCGGTTTTAAAGCTTCTCCTCCCACTATCGTGACGCTCCAACTTTCCGGGGCTCATGGGGTTGTGGGGCTGGTGGGCGGAGTCCTGTGCTCATTGGCGTTTGGCTGTGGGTTCTGGTCTCAGCGCCGTCCACAGGGCCAGCCTCGCGGAGCCGCCCGCCCATTGCGCTGGGCCTGGGTGGAAGGGCCGATGAGGATGAAACCTCGAGGGAGCATCCCTCAGAACCTGTGTCAGCACCCAGCTGGGCTTCTCATGTGCAAAGGCAGAATCTGATTTAAAAGCCAGGGAAGATGGAGGCGGTGGGAGGGGGGAGTGGGTAATAGTCTAAAGGAAAAAAATCAGGTGAAAGGGACAAAAAGAGAAACTTGAAAAGGAAGCCTTGGAAAAGAGAGAAGAGAGGGTGGACAAAGAGGACCAAGATGAGACTGGAGAATTTCTGATCAGTGGGGAGGGGGGAAGCACCACGCCTAGTCCCGGAGGGGGTTTGCTGGGGGCTGCCCAGCACAGCTCTACAGGGCAGGCAAACCCAGCTTTGGTCCCATCTCATGTCAAATACTGATGCCGAGTGCTGGTGAGTAAAGGCAGGAAACGTAGAAATCAAAAATTAAAAAACAAAGTAGCCAGATGCAGTGGCTCATGCCTAGAATCCCAGCACTGTGGGAGGCTAAGGTGGAAAGATCACCTCAGAAATTTAAGACCAGCTTGGGGAACATAGCAAGACCCTGTCTCTAAAAAAAAAGAATTAACCAGGTGTGCTGGCACAGGCCTGTAGTTGCAGCTACTTGGGATGCTGAGGTGGGAGGATCACTTGAGCTCAGGAGTTTGAAGCTGCAGTGAGCTACAATCACACCATCACACTCCAGTCTGGGTGACAGAGTGAGATGCTGTATAAAAAGACAAAACAAACCAAAAAACGTAGAAAAAAACTAGAAGTAAATATATGCACAGTCTCTGAATGATGAGGACTGTCCAACCTTAGAAGCATGAGTCAGGCTCTTCTCAAAAACAAAAACAAACCAGAACTTAGAGTCAAACAATACTCAAAACTCAGCGTGTTGTTGTATACTAGCAATGAAAAACCTGGAAAGGAAATTAGGAAGACAATTTACTATAGCATCAAAAAGAGTAAAACCCCTAGCAAGAAATGTAACCAAAGAGGTGTAAGACTTGTATGCTGAGAACTACAGAACATTGCTGAAAGAAATTACAGACCTAAAGAAATGGAAAGACATCCCATGTTCACGGATAGGAAGACTTAACATTGTTAAGGTGGCAATACTCCCAAACTGATCTATAGATTCAATACAATTCCTATCAAAATCCTAGCTGACTTTTTGCAGAAATGGACAAGCTGATGCTAAAATTCATATGGAATTACAAGGGACCAAAGTAAGTGAAAAAAATCTTTAAAAAGAACAAAGTTGGAGTTCTCACACTATTTATTAAAACTTACTACAAAGCTACAGTAAGCAAAATAGTGTGGTATTGGCATAAGGAGAGACATATTGATCAATGGAATACAATTGCAATTCTAGAAATAAACCTATACATCTGTGGTCAGCTGACTTTTGATGAGAGTGCCAAGACCATGCAATGGAGAAAGAATAGTCTCTTCAGCAGATGGTGCTGGGACAACTGGATTCCACATACAAGAGAATAAATATCCAAAATGTCCATGATACAATAAAAAAAAGTCACTCACCAAGAACCAAGAAAACCAGAACATAAATGAAAAAAGACAATTAACAGACACCAACATCAAGCTGAATCAGATGTTGGTTTATATGACTACTATTTTAAAGTAGGCTTCACCAATCAACGATGGGTTTAAAATGCTTCACCAATCATGTATTTTCCTGAAACAAATGAAGGAATAGAAAATCTTAGCAAAGAAATGAAAGATATAAAAAAGAAAAAGATGAAATCACGTAACTGAAATATATAACAACAGTTTTTTAAACTCTGACTGCATGGGGTGAACAGTAAAGGGGAGATCACGCTGGATGGAATTAGTGAACCTGACCCACAGAAATTACCCAACATCAACAGAAGAGAGAAGAAAGACTGGAAAGCATGGGCAGAGAGTCACAGGGAGTTGTGTGACGATAACAAAAGTATTAATACTTGTATCATCAGGCCCCAGAAAGAGAGGAGAAAGAGTGGGGCTGAAAAAGTATTTGAAGAAAGAATGCCCCCAAAACCTCCCAGATTTGGCAAAAGACATAGATCTACAGATTCAGGAAGCAGAAAGACAACAGGAAAATCTCCAGATACTTGGAAATTAAATAACATGCCTTAAAATTATCTATGGGTCGAAGAGGAAGTCTCAAAGGGAAATTCGAAACACATAGAACTGAATGAAAGTGAAAATACAGCAGAGCAGCATATGTGAGATACGGTCGGAACAGTTCTTGGGGGAGGTTTATAACATCCAGTGCTTAGATTAGAAGAGACAAAAGGTCTCAAAGTAATATTAATAATATGTTACAAAATTGAATTAATTCTTAAAAAGTCCTGAAAAATCTCCAGACCTGGTGATTTTACTGGAAAATTCTACCAAATACTTAAAGAAGAATTCATTCTACCAAACATTCAAAGAAGAGAAGGGAACCCTTCCTCACTCAATGTGAGGTTTAATGAGGTCAGCCATACCTGGCGACCACATTAAACAAAGACATTACAAAAAAAGAAAACTAGAAAACTATAAGCCGGGCCTGGTGGCTCACGCCTGTAATCCCATCACTTTGGGAGGCCAAGACAGGCAGATCACTTGAGGCCCAGAGTTCAAGACCAAGCTGGCCAACATGGCAAAACCTCATCTTTACTAAAAATACAAAAATTAGCCAGGCGTGGTGGTGCGCACCTGTACTCCCAGCTACTCAGGAGGCTGAGGCGCGAGAATCACTTGAACCCAGGAGGCAGAGGTTGCACTGAGCCGAGATCGCACCACTGTAGTCCAGTCTGGGTGATAGAGCGAGACTCTGTCTCAAAAATAAGTAAATAGGCCAGGCACAGTGGCTCATGCCTGTAATTCCAGCACTTTGGGAGGCCAAGGAGGGCGGATCACGAGGTCAGGAGTTTGAGACCAGCCTGGCCAACATGGTGAAACCTCATCTCTCCTAAAAATACAAAATTAGCCGAGTGTGGTGGCGGGTGCCTGTAATCCCAGCTACTCACAAGGCTGAGGCAGGAGAATCGCTTGAACCCAGGAGGGGGAGGTTGCGGTGAGCCGAGATCGCGCCATTGGAATCCAGCCTGGGTGAGAGGGTGAGACTCCATCTTAAAATAAATGAATAAATAAATTTAAAAATAAAAAAAGAAAGCTATAGACCAGTATCTTTCACGAATTCACATGCAGAACCCTCAACAAAATATTAGGAAATTGAATCCAGCAATGAATAAAGTTGCTGCACCAAATGAGATTTAATCCAGGCACACAAGTCTGGTTCAACATTCTGAGTCAAACACTGTACTCCACCATATCAACAGAAGAGATATACAATCATATTAATTGATGCAGAAAAGCTTTTGACAAATCCAACATCTACTCACAATAAAAACTCCCAGAAAACTAGAATTAGATCCTCAATTTGATAAAGAACATCCACAAAAAATCCACATCTGAAGCCTTTTCAAGAAATGTTGTAGGTGCAGTTGGTCATCCATGGGTGGGGTAGCGTGGAGGGAGGATGGAGAAGCTTATCCTAAACCTTCCACCTGCTACACAAATCAACTAAAAGCAGATCACAGACTTAAATGTAAACATAAAACCATAAGAGTTCTAGAAAAGATAGGGGAAATTCACTGGGACACAGGGGTAGGCAAAGCCTTCTTAGACTTGACAACAAAGGTATAACCCATAAAAAGTAAACTTGATAAATTGGACCTCATCAAAATTAAAAACTGCCCTGCAAAAGACATTTTAAGAGCATGAAGCGTAAAACTACAGAATGGGAGAAAATATTTGCAAACCACGTATTCACTAAAGGACCAAAGTTTGGAATATATAAAGAACTCTCTAAATCACCGGTAAACAAATATTCAAAACATGTCCAGTTAGACATGTACAAGATGTGTGCACAGACCTTTCACTGTGGAAAACTCATGGAAGGCAGACAAGCAGGTGCAAAGACACCTAGCACCGTCAGCCTTTAGGGAAATGCAAATTAAAACCACTGTGCCCCTACACATCTACCAGAGTGGCTGAAATCAATAGAAAATATTGACAACACCGAATGCTGACAAAGATGCAGAGAAATGACCTTTCATGCCTTGCTGGGAATGTAAAATGGCTCAGCAACTCTAGGAAACAGTTTGGCTGTTTCTGATAAAACTAAACATGTCACTCCCGTATGACCCAGCAATTGTGATCTTGGGCATTTATCCCAGAGAAATGGAAAATATATTCACATAAAAACCTAGACACAAATTTTCATAATGTTATTACTAACAACCAAAAACTGGAATTGTCCCAGAGACCCTTCCACAGGTGATAGTTCGACGATCACACTTCTGTACTGCGGAATACTCTCAGTAGAAAGGGATGGGTTATCGGTACACACAGCAGCTTGGATGAATATCCAGGGAATTATGCTGTGTGAAGAAAGCCAGTCTCAAAATAATCAGACTCTGCCATTCCATTTGCACGGCATTCTTGAAAGGACAAGCTTATAGAGATGAGAGCAGATTAGGGGCTGCCAGGGTTTTACAGAGCTGGGAGGGGGTGGCAGGAGTGACACTGCCTGCGTGGGTCAGCATCAATCCTGGCGGTGAGATTGTACTGCAGTTTTGCAAGAGGCCACCATTGGCGGAAACTGGGTAAAGGGTACAGGGGATCCCTTTGTATTGTTTCTTGCAACTGCATGTTAATCTATTATTAATCTCAAAAGGTTTAATTCTAAAAATGTATATGTATATGCATAAAGGCTTAGTAGAAGTTCTGGGTAAATAAGTCACCTTAAAAGTAGTTACCTGTGGGGAGCGGATTTGTTTTGAAGGGGGAAGGGTGAGGATGGCCATGTGCTTTTACCCTGTGTGCTTTTTTTTTTTTTTACGATGAAAATACATTTATGTTTTAGTAGTGTAATTTCAAATATAAACAGATTAGGGTCAGGAAGTCTTCCCAGAGAAAATGAATTTAATATGCAAAAGGATGTTCTTTGCAGTATTCATGAACTAGCATGGAACTTTAGTATCAAAATAATGTCTGACAATAGGGAAATGTAAGTAAATTAAGATCCATCCTCAGGGTGAGGTATTACGCAGTTTCCACCAAAATGCTTATATCCAGGCACAGTGGCTCACGCCTGTAATCCTAACAATTTGGTAGGCAGAGGTGGTAGGATTGCTTGAACCCAGGAGTTCAAGATCAGCCTGGGCAACATAGTGAGATGCTCTCTCTACAAAAAAATAGAAAAAATTATCTGGGTGTGATAGCAGACACCTGTAGTCCAGTTACTTGGGAGGCTGAGGTGGGAGGATCACTTGAGCCTGGGAGGTCAGGGCTGCAGTGAGCCAAGATTGCACCACTGCACTCCAGTCCCAGGATGACAGAGTGAAACCCTGCCTCAAAAAAAAAAAAAAAAAAAAATCCTTTAATGGTTTATGAGAGTGTTGGGGAGTGTTCAGTGATGGCTTCTAGCGGAATCAAAGAAGAATCAAAACTTTATTTCTGCTGGATTCCTGAGGTCAGTGAAGGAACCACCGCTCAGCAAAGACGTGACCTCGCTCTAGAGCCCTGCGCCCAGCTGTCCCTGCCCACAGCACAAACCCCCAACTTCTCCACCTTGCTCCCTTGCTAAACCATTCTGTCTGGAGCAGATTTCCCGTGGGGAGGGAGAAAAGAGGGGCTGTTAGGAAAGGGGTCTGAGGAAGCCCTTCAGCGTGAGTGTCCTGTCCCCTGTCCCCTGCTCCCTGAAGCAGCTGTTCTAACCCAAGTCTGGGGCTCCCCGCTGGCCTGTGTGCCCCGATGGCACCCACCGCCCTGGAGCTGAGCTGCACTGCCACAGGGGGGTGGCAGCCAACACTGCTGAGCAAACACTGAATTTGGCCACCACGTAAAACTATGCAGAGACGAGAGGGAAAGACGTCCTGCAAAACGTATGGTGGCTGTTTCTGGTGGTGGGATTGGGTATTTTTTTCTTTGCTTTTATTGTACTGTCTGATTTTCCATTTTTCCACTAATTGGAACATTGCTTTTTATGCAGATGAACATCTAAGACTCGTTTAGACAAACTGATGTAGAGAAAAATAAGAAACATCAAAACATACCGTGCCCTGACCTGGGCTTTAATCCTCATGAGGCCACACTGTTCAGAATCGGCTGAGGGACTCTGTGGCATTTCGGGGTGTCCTTGCTGACAGGGTATTTGGTGGCCCCCAAGTTCCCTCCTCAGAGGTGGCAGCCGTGGGGGACCCTGCAGCAGCTGTAGTGGTGTGGGACTTGGTAGCGGGGTCCTGACGGCGGAGGACCCAGCACGTCTGTTCTCAGCGGAGCGGCTGCCCATCTCCCCCTCCCCTCCCCTCCCCTCCCCCTTCTCTGCCCTCTGGGGGCTCCGCTCTGGGTGGGGGTGGCACCCCAGCCCTGCACGGGCGCTCTTTTCCCTTTCCTGTATGCCTTGATGATTGTTAATAAAACTTCTTCAAAGTTGGTTTTCCAAATGTGGACGGTGTGGGAATGAGACATTTGAGTTATTCCAGCTCCCTGTTTTTCTTCCAGAAATGGATAATGGGCCCATTTCACATTGAATTAAAAGGCTATTAGGGCGTGCAAATGGTGTGAGCAACGTGTCATTTGCTGTTTCTCACAAATGTGAAATTTTCCTGGGACGATGTTCTCGCCGACCTGGCTGAGTGGCAGATCGGGAAACATTCGCTGTTTCCTGAGTGACACCACGGTGCAGTGTGGAGGGCCCAGTCTGGGGTTAGCAGAGAAAGAAACCGGGGACCAGACACAACAGGTCACAAATCCAGAAGTTACCGATTGTGTTACTGAGCAGAACCAGTGCCTTGAGGCTGTATGGAGGCGGCAGCAAAAGACGCAGCGGCCTCAGGTCCCTTTACATGGCCTGAAAGGCACGGCTGTCACATGGCTGTCACAAGGCTGCCACTCACATGCCTGTCACATGGTTGTCACACGGCTGCCACACGGTTGTCACGCAGCTGCCACATGGATGTTACACGGCTGTCATACAGCTGTCACACGGCTGCCACTCACATGCCTGTCACGTTTGTCACACGGCTGCCACATGGCTGTCACGCAGCTGCCACATGGATGTTACACGGCTGTCATACAGCTGTCACACGGCTGCCACTCACACATCTGTCACATGGTTGTCACACGGCTGCCACACGGCTGTCACACACCTGCCACATGGATGTTACACAGCTGTCATACAGCTGTCACACGGCTGCCACTCACATGCCTGCCTCACGGCTGCCACATGGCCGCCACTCACATGCCTGTCACATGGTTGTCACATGGATGTCACACACAGTTGTCATGCCTGGCTGTCACACATGGTTGTCACGTTATCAGATGTGCTTGTCAGACACAGTGTCACATGGCTGTCACATGGTTGTCACACCCGTTACACCCATGGTTGTCACACACGTGTCACACACAGTTCTCACACACACAGTTGCTGCACATGATTATCACATACATGTGGTTGTCATGTGGTTTGCACATGGTTTGCACACACAGTTCTCACACAGATGGTTGTCACACCTGGCTGTCACACACGCGGGTTGTCACATGCATGTCACACACAGCTGTACTCTTGTCCCTGAGGGCACAGTCAGTGGAGGGGCAGCAGGCCCCATTCTGCCCTCCCTCCACACCTCCCACCTTCAGCTGCCCCTCGGTGGGAAAGCATGGTTTTTAGCCACAACCTCCTGTGGCCTCACAGCTTTGGTGGGCCCCACGTCGCCTTCCCCACTCACTCTCAGACCCTCGGACCTGACTGTGAGGACCCCTCTCTCATTCCTGGTTTGAGCCCGTGGAAGCCCAGGTCTCGGGGTGGGGGTGCCCTGAGGGTGCTGTGAGGTGGTGAATTGGGCTCTTTCCTGAGGTGCATGGGTGCAGAGAAAGGGGACACCCTACTGGACCTGCCACCCAAGGGCTCAGGGTGGGTGCTGCCTCCTCGCCAGGTGGGCAGGAGCCTGCCCCTCGCCCCAGGACAGACGGCCAAGGCCCTAGGCAGAACACAGACCCTGAGGCAGCACCTTCAGGCCAGGAAGAACGAGCCACAGAGGGTGGGTGTGGTGCCTGTCCTGGATCCATGTGTGGCTGCTGTGGCCACCCGGGAGAGGCAATGCGATCTAATAAGGAAGCTTGACTCATCAGATCGGGAGACACCACCCCCACCCTCCTCCCAGAAGGAGGCACAGATGGAAACAGCTGAGTGAGACCCCAGAGACCAGGTCACACTCGGGTGAGGAGCCCAAGAGGGGCGTGGAGGCTGGAGGCCCGGCCCATGCCCACCTTGGCCAGCCCGCGAGAGATGCGCCAGGGTCGACTGCAGACTCTCAGCCAGCCCCAGGGCGGCCCCTCCCTCCTCCCCCGCTGCCTGGCCCCCTCGATTTTTCTAGCAAATAAGCAACAGCACGTCAGGAAACTATCTTAACTGAGAATTATGTTCCTGAGACAGGTGATGAAGCTATTTTTAGAAGTCTGTCACAGTTAAATTCTATAAAAATTAAATGACCCCAGCCCATCAGTCGGGTCACCATGTATGACAGTCCCTCCCGCCAGCATCTCCGATGCGGAAACTGCTCGTTCAAGGGCTGGGCACTCTCTGGTCTGAAGATTTAGGATTAATAAGGAACCGCCCAGAAATCAGTTCGTACCTGCGAGAGACGTCCGTGTCCTGAGGCAGAAATGACTGGGAGGCACTTTCCAGCAGGGTGCTCCGTGGGGGCTTTGGGGCTGCTTTAGGGGAGACTCATTCCCAGGCAGCAAAGGGGGCCCCTGGCAGCTCCAGCCACCAGAAGCACCCGGCAGCCATGAAGAGCCGAAGGTCCGCAGGTCTGGCCGAGCACTGAGCTCGCCTGTGAGATGCGGCCATTGGTGACTAATGTCCGAGAGGCATCAGGACTCGACACAGTGCCCAGTTCTGCTGGGGGCTCCACAAACATTTGCGTGTTGAATGAGAAAACAGACATCTAAGAATAGCATCAGGAGATGAAAAAAACAAAAATAAGGGAAGAAGAAAGAGCAGAGAGACTCGTTCCGCAACAGCAGAGGAGGCAGCAGCTCCACGGTAGCTATGGGGTGATAGGACCCCTCTCACTGCTCACCAAGGCCGGCGAGGGCACCCAGGACGTGTCAGAGGGAGAAGGCCGGCAGCCTGCAGAGACACCAGGCAGGCCCTACCCGGGTGCAGCCCAGGACACCACGGAGCAGCTCAGGCGGGCCAGCCTCAGCCCAGCTGGCACAGGGAGGGCAGCCTCACCAACCGAGGGACCCTTCCTGGTGGCTGTACGGGTGAGGCTGAGCCTCAGGGCACAGATTTGGGGGTCTCTAGGGAGAGCTGTTGCTGCCAGGCCTGGGGTCCCCACAGCACCTGTCCCACCTGGCACCACCCTGGGCACCGGACCCTCCTGGCAGAAGGCATGCAGCTGGCACTCAGTGTCCCTTCAGATCGGGCTGTGTTGGGCCTGGGTGTCACCCATGGACAATGTTCACGCCGCGGGGTTTGTGTGAGCCCCGTCCTCCCTACAGGTGAGCTGAGCGCTCAGCCAAGGACCCGGCCAGGCCTCACAGCCAGCAGGCTGCAATAGAGGCCGTCCACCTCCCCTACGGCTCCTCGGTGTGACTGGGGTAAAATACACATCACCTAAGGTATTCCATTTTAACTATTTCAAGTGGACAGTTCAGTAGCATGAATTCCAACCGCCGTGCTGTGCAGGCATCACCACTTTTTGCCAAATTCTTCCATTGCCCTCAACAGGAAATCTGTAACCACTAAGCAGTAACTCCCCCATAGTGCCACCTCCAACCCCTGGTAAGGTCCACTCTGCTTTCTCTATGAACCCCGCTATTCTAGGGATTTCATGTAGGTGAATCACACAGTGCTGGTCCTCCAGTGTCCAGCTTCTCTCACTCAGCATAACGCTCTCCAGCTCCAGCCGCGCTCCGAGGAGGAGCTCCTTCCTTCTCCGAAGGAGGTGCGTGTCAGAACCTCCTCCTATTCTGTGTCTGGGCAGTGCCCTCGTGCAGGGTACCCCACACTGTGTGCGTCCACCCTCTGTTGGCGACACGTGGGCTGTCCCCATCATTTGGCTAATGGGACTGATGCTGCTCTGAACGTCGGCGCTTGTATCCTCTGTTTGAGTCCCTGTTTTCACTTCCTCCCCACCTTTTGGCTAATGGGGCTGATGCGGCTCTGAATGTCAGCACATGTATCCTGTTTGAGTTCCTGTTTTCACTTCCTCCAGGCATGTTCTTAGGAGGGAAATGCTGAGCCAGATGTTGATGCTGCTGCTTAACTTTTAGAGAGTCTGCCAAACTTCCACAGCAGCTGAGCCATTTTCCCATCGGCAATCCTGAGGGGTCCAGTATCTCCCATCCTCACCAGCACTCAGGATGGTCTGTCTTTCTTATTACAGCCATCCTGGCAGATGTGAAGCGATAGCTCATATCTGCATTTTCCTAATGATGAGTGATGCTGAGCATCTTTTCATCTGCTTGCCGGGCATGTGTGCATCTTCTTTGGAGAAAAGTCTGTTCAAATGGGTACAATGTACATTTTTTAAAAAAAGGCTATTCAAGTTCTTTGCCCATTTTATTTACTTATTTATTTAGAGACAGGGTCTCACTCTGTTGTCCAAGCTGGAGTGCAGAGGTGCAATCAGCCTCAACCTCCTAGGCTCAAGCAATCCTCCCACCTCAGCCCCTGGAGCAGCTGGGACTCCAGGCATGCACCACCACACCCAGCTAATTTTTGTATTTTTTGTAGAGAGAGGGTCTCGCTATGTTGCCAGGCTGATCTCAAACTCTTGGACTCAAGTGATCCTCCCACCTCAGCCTCCCAACGTGCTGGGATTACAGGTGTGAGCCACCATGCCTAGCCCCTTTGCCCATTTTTAGATTTGGTTGTTTGTCTTTAGTTACTGAGTTAGAGAAACTCATTATATGTTCTTGATATTAAGCCCTTATCAGATATGTGATTTGCAAATATTTTCCCCCAGTCTGTGGGCTTTCATTTTGTTGATAGTGTCCTCGGATGCACAGAAGTTTTTAATTTGAATGAAGCTCAGTTGATCTATTTTTATTTTGTTGCCTGTGCTTTTGATGTCATTTAAGCAACCATTGCCAAATCCAACATCATGAAGATTTGACCACATGTTTTATTCTAAGAGTTTTATAGTTTTATCTGTAAATTTTGGCCGTCAACCCATTTTTACTTGAATTTTTTTTTTTTTTTTTTTTTTGACAGAGCCTGGCTCTTGTCACCCAGGCTGGAGCACAGTGGCGCAATCTTGGCTCACGGCAACATCTGCCTCCCAGGTTCAAATGATTCTCCTGCCTCAGCCTCCCAAGTAGCTGGGATTACAGGCACCCACCACCACACCCAGCTAATTTATGTATTTTTAGTAGAGACGGGGTTTCACCATGTTGGCCAGGCTGGTCTCAAACTCCTGACCTCAGGTTGTCCACCCGCCTCGGCCTCCCAAAGTGCTGGGATTACAGGCGTGAGCCACCACGCCTGGCCTTTTACTTGAATTGTGTATATGGGGTGGGGTAGGGCTCAGCTGCACCCTTTTGTGTGAGCACATCCCCATCTTCCTGGTGCCATTTACTAGGAAGGGCCTCCTTCCTGAATTAAATGGTCCTGGCACTCTTTTCCCAAAATCACTTGATCATAGGTGTAGGGCTCATCTCTGGGCGTCCTGCTCCGCCCTCAACTGCCCTGTCTGTCCACAGGCCAGGCCATGCATCTTGATCGCCATAGCTTGGCAGCACCTTTGAGATTGGAAGTGTGAGGCCTCTATCATTGCCCTTCTTTTTCAAAATTGTATTGACTATTCGTGGTCCGTTAAGACTCCATATGAATTTTAGGACGGGCTTTTTCATTTCTGCAAAAAAGCACTGTTTTTTGTAGGCCATTCTAGAAGTGGGCTGAGTGAATGTGCCAGATGGGTTTGTTGTGAGGAAATCCCAGCACTGATATTTGGGGCTGGGATGTGAAGGCTTCAGTAAAACTTGTCAAATTCAGACTCAAGGTGCCTTTTGTACCATTGTCCTGGGGTTTAAGCAGGAAATGTTAGATTTTTAAAAGCTTTTTATTTGAACGATTTTTAGACTTATAGGAAAGTTGCAGATTCATAGAGGTTCCCATGTCTCCCACCCAGCTTCCTCCAGTGTTGGCAGAATGGTCCAGACCAGGGATTCCCACTGGCCCCGCCCTGGTCACTACTTTAAAACCCCACTCAGATGTCACCGCGTTCTTCATACTAGAGCCACGGTTCTGTCCAGGGCCCCTCACCATCGTTCCCATCATCCGTCTGTAATAGCTCTCCAGTTTGTTTTTCGTTTTTGTTTTTCACAATATTGATACTTTTTAAAGTTATTATTTTTTTGAGACAGGGTCTCACTCTGTCCCCCAGGCTGGAGTGTAGTGTTGCAGTCATGGCTCCCTGCAGCCTCAGCCTCCAGGGCTCAAGCATCCTCCCACGTCAGCCTCCCGAGTAGCTGGGGCCACAGGCGTGAGCCACCATGCCTGGCTAATTTTTGTAGAGATGGGGGTCTCGCTGTGTTGCCCCGGCAGGTCTTGAACTCCTGACCTCAAGGGATCCACCCACCCCGGCCTCCAAAGTGCTGAGATCACAGGTGTGAGCACCGTGCTGGGCCTTCAAACGTGTGCTGTGCTCACCCCGAGAGACTGGAGCCTGCTGCGTGTGGCTCTTCTAGTCTTTAGCCTCCGGATTTCATGGAAACACATTTTCCACAATTACCTGGGAGAGCCCTTGTCTCCCCACGCTTCCGTGGGGTTGTGGATTCCTTGTGAGGCACCTGGGCTTATCGTGGGCGTTGGTGTTGCGTGTGGGTGTGGCTCACTTGTGGCATGTGAAGAGCGTGTGGAGCACCCCAAGGCTTTAGGAGTCACTGCCTCTGGAAGGCCCTTCCCACCTCCCTCCATGGGGAGACAGCCTTAGTTTCTGTTCATCCTCCTCTGTTCCTCCTGCACAGCCAGGCAGGCACCTGTGCATTTCAGCTGGCCCCTGTCTTACACCATGGGTGGCAAATCTCTGCCTTTCTTCTCACTTTGCCTTCTCACTTAATGTCCTGGAAGTCATCTCGTGGCAGGCCTTACAGACCTTCCTCCTTCCGGCACGTGCCCCACCGTGTAGACACCCGCGTTTACTCAGCGACCTTGCTCTGTGCGGGCACTGGGCTGTTTCCAGGGTTTTGCCATCTCCACCTGTGCTGCTGTGAACACCACATGTGGACCTTTTCATCTCTGCAGGGTTGACTCCCAGAATTGGGGTTGCACAGAGGTCATTAGCCAGCCGGATGTTGCCACATTCCTCCCTCCTGAGAGCTGTGCCCCGTGTCGAGCGCTGTTTGCTCACAGCCAGGCCAGGGGTTGTGGTAGGATTTTTAAATTTTTGCCAGTCTCATGGGTGAGAAATGGTATCTCAGTATTGTTTTAATCTGCACTTCTCTGATTACGAGTGTGCTTGAACATGTTTTCCATACGTGTGAGAGTCATTTTTATCTTTTGTGAATGGCCTGTTCATGTGTTTCCCCATTTCTCGATGGGGTTTTTGGTCCTTCACCCCCTGATGTTTAAGAGTTCATGCTATATGAGTTTTTCCCCTTGTTGTTTTTCTTTTTCCACGTGTGCCCAGCTCTTTATGCACATTTGAACCTTAGTATCGACATGTCCAACTCCATAAAATAGCTTACCCTGTTTTACTGGGATTGAGTGGAACTGATGAGCTAACACCAAGAGGAAGCCACCTCCACAGCGCCAAGTCTCCTGTCCAGGAGCATGGCTCGCTTTCCATTTGTTCATGTTTACTTTCGTGTTTTAAATTTGTTCTTGTAAAAACAGTACACATTCCTTGTGAAATTTGTTCCTACATGTTTTTTTCCTACTGTAAATGGACTTTTTCTTTCATCAATTTAATTTAATTTTTGAGACAAGATCTCACTCTGTCACCCAGGCTGGAGTGCAGTGGCACGATCTTGGCTCACTGCAGCCTCCGCCCCCCAGGCTCAGATGATCCTCCCACCTCTCAGCCTCCCAAGTAGCTGGGACTACAGGCATCACCACATGTGGGTAACTTGTATTTTTTGTAGAGACAGGGTTTCGCCATTTTGCCCAAACTGATCTTGAACTCCTGGACTCAAGCGATCCCCCGACCTTGGCCTCCCAAAGTGTGGGATTACAGGCGTGAGCCTCGGTGCTTGGCCATAAATGGACTTTTCCAATGATTGTGTTCTTTGTTGTTTGTGTATAGGAAGGCTGTTGATTTTATAGCCTGCTACTTTTCTGAATTTTTTTATTCAATAAATAAGTTTTGTCATTGATTCTCTGGGATTTCCAAGTATAAGATGATCCTATCTGCAAAGAGAGACGGTTTCACCCCTTCTTTACCTGCTCTATGCTTCTGATTGATTTTTGCTGTCTAGTTTTATTCATTAATACCTCTCGTATAATGTTAAATATATCAGAGGTAGTGGGTATCCTTGTTTCTGATTGCCATGGAAATGCCTCTAGTGTTTCTCCATTAAGAGAGCGGCTTTAGAACTTAACACAGGCTGCCGGTGCTGGTGAAATACCCATCAACGCCCTGAGTATTCATCAAAGGCTGCTTGGTATCTATGGAGATGATTACATGACTTTTCTACCTAAATTTATTATTATGGTGCATGATGTTAATGGATTTCCTACCACTGAACCTACTTTGCACCTTCTGGAACAAATTCTACTTTGTCGCAGTATTTTTTTTTCTTAAGAGGCATTGAATTCTGTTTAATAATATTCCGTTTAGAATTTCTGCATTGGTATTGATGAGTGATATTGAACTTAAGTTTTCTTTCTTCTTATTATATTTGGTTTAAATATCAGTGTTTGCTTACTTCATAAAATGAACTAGAGAGCTTTCCTTCCTTCTCAATGTTCTGAAATAATTTGTAGAGCATGGAGACTATCTAGGCTTTATAATCTTGGGAGAATTCTCTGTAAACCTGTCGGGGCTTAGTGCTTTGATAGGACAGTCAGTAGTAACTTTCTGTTTCTTCAATGGAAATGGGTCTGCTGAAGTTTCTAACTCTCCTGGGACAGTTTTTGGTGTCTCTGTTTCCCGAGAACATCTGCACTTCCTCTGGGTTTTCAAATGTGTTTGCAAAGAGGACTGCACAGTGTCTCCTCTGATTGTTCAGTCTGTTTCAAACGTTACATTTCTTGAATATAATAATGTGGCTTTAAAAAAGAAAAAGGAAGACACTTGAAGAATGGGAAAATATCCCTAAGTCATCCTACAGCTATAAGCCTTGTTTTCAAAGCAGCACATCACAGACTCGTGTTTACCGTCAGTTTACGAAGAATGCGCTGATGTCTGGGTCCATAAAAATATCTTTCCTGTCCTTTTCTGCTGTTTGCTGACGAAATGCCTCTTCATAAAAAATAGCTTTAACGCCTGAGAGTTACAGAAGCTCCCCTCAGCGAGGAGTCTCAGAAACCACGGAGGTTTTACCAAGTCCCTGTCGGTGAACATCAACTTGACTGACGGGGCGCAAGCTTCAGGAGATGAAGTGTCAATAAGGATTAATACGAAGGTAGATCAATCACGCTGTCATTTCATAGGGCTTCAGTTTCTTTCTGTAAAAACCCGTCAGATGTGATTTTCCCTCTAAAATTAGAATCGTTTTTATTCCTTTTTCCAGTTACTAAAATTACCTGTATCGTCTGGGGGAAAATACAGAAGGACAGAAAAAAGAAAGTAAAAATCACCTGACCTGACCGTGCACTGTCAGCCTGTCTGTGGCCTTCCTTCCGGAAGTTTCTTTATGCGTCTGCCCATGGACGGCAGGTGGGAGCGCGGACACCTGTCGCCCTCTCGGCCGCTCTGGGACCTGCCCTTTCTTTGAAACGCTGTGTCCAGGGCATGACCCCCATAGAGACGTGGGCCTGGGTGGAGGCTGCAGCTTAAGAGGAAGCTCTCGGCGTCGGGGCCTGTGCCCTGCCGGCCGCCCTGACCTTGGAGGAAGCGGGCGCTGACACACTGTGGGCGACAGGAAGGGCCGGGAGCTCTGTGGCCGTTGGCAAGGCCAGGAACCCGGGTAGTCGAGCTGAAACTGTGATCTGAGGCGCGAGGCCTCCGTGGGAGAAGGGTCGCTTCAGACGGGGACCGAGGGCCTGGCTCTGGGAAGGTGGGTCCTGCTCCCTTCTGAGGCAGGCAGAGCTGCAGGGAAAGCAGGTGTGTGGAGGCCCCTCCAGAGCCAGGCTCCAGGCGCTTCAGGTACGGCGCCCGTTCTGCTCCCTTCCCAGGCCTGCCCAGCTGCCCACCGCACGAAGCTTCACAACTGAGCGAGCAGCTCCTCACGGAAGGTTAGATTCGGCGCGTTACGTCATTACGTTCAGTGAAAGAACTGAGTGAGCAGCTCCTCACGGAAGGTTAGATTCGGCGCGTTACGTCATTACGTTCAGTGAAAGAACTGAGTGAGCAGCTCCTCACGGAAGGTTAAGTTCGGCGCGTTACGTCATTACGTTCAGTGAAAACTGAGTGAGCAGCTCCTCACGGAAGATTACATTCGGCGCGTTACGTCATTACATCCAGTGAAAGAACTGAGTGAGCAGCTCCTCACGGAAGGTTAGTTCGGCGCGTTACGTCATTACATCCAGTGAAAGAACTGAGTGAGCAGCTCCTCACGGAAGGTTAGTTCGGCGCGTTACGTCATTACGTTCAGTGAAAGAACTGAGTGAGCAGCTCCTCACGGAAGGTTAGTTCGGCGCGTTACGTCATTACGTTCAGTGAAAGAAGGTGTGGGAGTGACTAATCACTTGTTTGATAAAATTGATTGAAAAAGAAATTACCAACTAAAAATTATAATTATTAAAATGTAAAAGTTTAATTACAGTTTCTAGGAAATTCGCCTTGGCTTCTGCCCGCTTTCTGTTCAGGACGCTGAGCTTTGCTGCTTGGTGCCTTGTGAGGACGTGGCGTCCCCGGCGATGCAGGGGCCGGGCCGCGCCAGCCTCTGTTGCTCCTCTATGGGGTGGTGACAGCCTCAGGCCTCCCTGGGGACAGGCTGGGGACTCCCAGATACTGAAGCTTAGCAGGTGCGCCCCCACATGGTCATGGAGCTGGGGCTCGGGCCAGACCAGCGACACCCTCCAGGCCTCAGTGGTCCTGTGTCCACCCCGGAGCCCCCAGGGCAGGAGATGTGGGTGGGATCCCTGCAGGAAACCGTGAGGGTTTCAAACTAAGCCTCCTTTCGTTTTCCCTGGCGGTGTCAGCATCGTGCCTCTAAAGAGTTCTGTTCCTTGGTCAGAGTTCCAGGTGAGATGCTATCTTAGGTAGGAGAGGTCATCTGGCCCCAGCCAGGGTTTCGGCCCCACCAGTGGGGCAGGGCCTGGGGACTGGTAGTTTAGCACAGCGGCTCTCAAACTTGTGGTGCTGGGAATTTTTAGGACCTCCAGCAGCCTGTGTTCCTGGAGGAAGGAGGGTGTGGCAGAGGCCCTGGAGTCCCAGTGTCTGAGAGGCCAGCAGAGGAGGGGCTCAGGATGGAGCGGGAAGCGCGGGGAGAAGAGCGGGGACTCAGCCTCCCCCCTGGATTTCGCTTCTTCTGAATGCAGGCCCTGGAACCCCGCTTATTACCCGCCCACCCAGTGCCGCAGCTCTGGAAATGCAGCTTGGTGGGCTGGACCCAAGTCTCTCCATGTGGCTCCATAGGAAAAATACTGATGCAAGTAACTACTTCAGAGACAAAAACAGTTTTAACAATGTACCAATTATAATCCTTTTACCTATATGTTTAAACAGAATTAGCAGTTAGAATTATACTGGAACATAATATTCTTTTTTCTTTCTTTCTTTCTTTTTTTTTTTTTTGAGATGTAGTCTCCCTCTGTTGCCCAGGCTGGAGTGCAGTGGCGTTGTCAAGGCTCACTGCAACCTCTGCCTCCCTGGTTCAAGTGATTCTTGTGCCTCAGCCTCCCAAGTAGCTCGGATTACAGGCACGCACCAACACACCCGGCTAATTCTTTGTATCTTTTGTAGAGATGGTGTTTCACCATGTTGGCCAGTCTGGTCTTGAACTCCTGACCCCAGGTGATCCGCCCACCTCGGCCTCCCAAAGTACTGGGATTACAGGCATGAGCCACTGCACCCAACATAATATTCTTAAAACTCTTAGACATACAGACATGTAGGAATACTTAAAGACATGACATGCGTGCGTGTGCATGTGCATATGTGTGCACACTGCGTCATTGCATGTCTGCCTGTGTCAGTGTGTGCATGAGTCTGTGTGTGCAGGTGTGTGTGTGTCTTAGTGTGCATGTGTCTGCATGTATCAGTGTGTGCATGTTTGGGTGCATCTGTGTGCAAGTGTGTGGTGTGTGTGCAAATGTGTGTCTGTGTGTGCATGAATGTGTGCATATGTGTCTACATGAGTCTGTGTAGTGTAACGTGTTTATGCATGTCTGTGTGTGCATCTGTGTGTCTATCTGTGTGCATGTCTGTGTGCATGTGTCTGCATGTGGGTGTGTGGATGTGTGTAACGTGTCTATGATGTGTTCATGTGTCTGTGTGTATGTCTGTGTGTGCCTGTGTGTGCATGTCTATGTGTGCGTGTGTCCGTCTACAGGAATTTGCGTGTGTGTAACATGTCCATGATGTGTGCATGTGTCTGTGTGTGGGTGTCTATGTGTGCGTGTGTGTAACGTGTCTGTGTGTGCATGTGTCTGTGTGTGGGTGTCTATGTGTGCGTGTGTGTAACATGTCCATGATGTGTGCATGTGTCTGTGTGTGGGTGTCTATGTGTGCGTGTATGTAACATGTCCATGATGTGTGCATGTGTCTGTGTGTGTCTATGTGTGCGTGTGTGTAACGTGTCTGTGTGTGCATGTGTCTGTATGTGGGTGTCTATGTGTGCGTGTGTGTAACATGTCCATGATGTGTGCATGTGTCTGTGTGTGGGTGTCTATGTGTGCGTGTGTGTAACGTGTCTGTGTGTGCATGTGTCTGTGTGTGGGTGTCTATGTGTGCGTGTGTGTAACATGTCCATGATGTGTGCATGTGTCTGTGTGTGGGTGTCTATGTGTGCGTGTGTGTAACATGTCCATGATGTGTGCATGTGTCTGTGTGTGGGTGTCTATGTGTGCATGTGTGTGTAACGTGTCTGTGTGTAATGTGTCTGCGTGTGTGTCTGTGTGTGCATGTGTCTGTGTGTGTGTCTGCATGTATCTGTGTGTGTGTCTGTGTGTACATGTGTCTGTGTGTGTCTTGTGTGTCTGTGTGTGTATCTGCACGTGTCACTCCCTGGTGACCAAGTACCTGCCCCTTCTCTGTTGCATCATTCATGGCCCGTGTTTCTCAGGTGATTGTTTTTTACTTGAAGTGAGTCAAGTAGCTGGTCAGCCTCTGCCTCCCTATGGCTTGTGGGTCTTTGCCTCACACCAGTCCGTCTCTGCCTCCCTACGGCCGGTGGGTCTCTGCCTCACATCGGTCCGTCTCTGCCTCCCTATGGCTGGTCAGTCTCTGCCTCACACCGGTCCTTCTCTGCCTCTCTACAGCTGGTCGGACTCTGCCTCACACCGGTCAGCCTCTGCTTCCCTGTGTCCGGTGGGCCTCTGCCGCCATCTCTACACTGTACTGGCTGTTTGGGGGCTCCACTTGGGCTCAGGGCCTGTGTGGAAAGCTGGTGCCGGGGCAGCTCACACCCAGGGCAGCCTGGTTGGCCTTAAGACAGGGGCCTTGTGTCTGAGCCTCCAGGTCATCGTTCTTACATTTCAGGGTGTGATACTCCCATCTGTCTAACTTGTTAGGAAAAGGCAGAGAGGAGATAAGAAAAAGGTACCAATTCTGCGAAGCTATTATGTTTTCATTTGTCTTGTCAAAGCCTTGCACTTGGAGATTCTGTGCTTTTGTGGAGGAGAGTGGGGATGCTGTCTGAGAAAAAGGCACAAACCATCACGCTATGATTAAATTGGTCATGGGAATAAATAGAAAGTGTTCCCCCTGAAGTAGGAGTTCTTAACCTAGGACTGGTGGGTCCACGTGGCCACGAGTAGATTCTGCAGGTCCACGGAGCCCAGTGGAACCCAGGTGTGTGGTTGTGGACCTGTTGTGAGAAGACGAATCGTGTCCATCTGCTAAGGGTTCATGGTCCATCCCAGGTCAACACACCTCCCCTGAAAGCAGAACGTGACGTGTTGTTTCAGGGGTTTGAGAAGTGCTGGCAGGGTTCTTACAGGATGGCACCATTTGAAAGGGGCGCCTGTGACGAGCCCCACACCAGACAGCCCGGTGGCAGGAAACATGTCTGCAAGGGAGGCCTCCAGCCAGAGCTCACTGGGACATCATCTTTTCCAATTTAACTGTCACACTTAAAATACCTCAAAACACAGATACCTGCAAAAACATTTATTCCTCAGCTTACATAAACGGCAGGTGGTGTTCAAAGTAGGAAGGGTGATGGAATGTGGGGAAAGAAGCAAAGGAAGGGCCTTTGGCCATGGGTCCCTCCAGAACCGCCCCAGCTCCAGAGGCCAGCGAGAGAGATGCCTCGAAGAGACTCCCGAGTGATGAGACCCCCAAGCATTCCCTGCGGACAGAGCCTTTGTCAGGAGGGTTCCCTGCAGACAGAGCCTTCGTCAGGAGGGTTCCCTGCAGACAGAGCCTTCGTCAGGAGGGTTCCCTGCGGACAGAGCCTTCGTCAGGAGGGTTCCCTGCGGACAGAGCCTTCGTCAGGAGGGTTCCCTGCATACAGAGCCTTCGTCAGGAGCGTTCTCTGCGGACAGAGCCTTCGTCAGGAGGGTTCCCTGCATACAGAGCCTTCGTCAGGAGGGTTCCCTGCGGACAGAGCCTTCGTCAGGAGGGTTCCCTGCGGACAGAGCCTTCGTCAGGAGGGTTCCCTGCGGACAGAGCCTTCGTCAGGAGGGTTCCCTGCGGACAGAGCCTTCGTCAGGAGGGTTCCCTGCGGACAGAGCCTTCGTCAGGAGGGTTCCCTGCGGACAGAGCCTTCGTCAGGAGGGTTCCCTGCGGACAGAGCCTTCGTCAGGAGGGTTCCCTGCGGACAGAGCCTTCGTCAGGAGGGTTCCCTGCGGACAGAGCCTTCGTCAGGAGGGTTCCCTGCGGACAGAGCCTTCGTCAGGAGGGTTCCCTGCGGACAGAGCCTTCGTCAGGAGGGTTCCCTGCGGACAGAGCCTTCGTCAGGAGGGTTCCCTGCGGACAGAGCCTTCGTCAGGAGGGTTCCCTGCGGACAGAGCCTTCGTCAGGAGGGTTCCCTGCGGACAGAGCCTTCGTCAGGAGGGTTCCCTGCGGACAGAGCCTTCGTCAGGAGGGTTCCCTGCGGACAGAGCCTTCGTCAGGAGGGTTCCCTGCGGACAGAGCCTTCGTCAGGAGGGTTCCCTGCGGACAGAGCCTTCGTCAGGAGGGTTCCCTGCGGACAGAGCCTTCGTCAGGAGGGTTCCCTGCGGACAGAGCCTTCGTCAGGAGCGTGCCCTGCGTACAGAGCCTTCGTCAGGAGCGTGCCCTGCGTACAGAGCCTTCGTCAGGAGCGTGCCCTGCGTACAGAGCCTTCGTCAGGAGCGTGCCCTGCGGACAGAGCCTTCGTCAGGAGGGTTCCCTGCGGACAGAGCCTTCGTCAGGAGGGTTCCCTGCGGACAGAGCCTTCATCAGGAGGGTTCCCTGCGGACAGAGCCTTTGTCAGGAGCGTTCCCTTCATACAGAGCCTTTGTTAGGAGGAGAGCCTCCTTCAGGATGTGCCGTCCTCCCACCCCCACCCTTACCTGGCGGGCGGCCTAGGTGGTTGTCTCCTGGGTGCTTTGTAGAACCCTGATTTGGAGCAGCACTCACATCCCAGCTTGGGCTCTTCTCCTTCGCTGTGACCTCCACCTGGGAGTTGGAATGCAAGGAGCAGCCGTCAGAGCAAATGTCTAGAAAGGGCTGGGTGGATGCCCACCAGAAGTTTCTCCATAGCTAGGCACCCCCGGGCAGAGCAGGTGTCTGTGGCTTCCCCACACTCACCCACCGCCCCCTGGTTCTGAGCCTACTCCGAGGTACATCTATCCGCTGCTCATAGCTTGCCCGTCCTCACCCATGAGACCTCAGCTGCCCATCCTCACCTGCCCTTTCTCACCCCTCCTTCCTCACCTGCCCTTCCTCACCCCTCCTTCCTCACCTGCTCATCCTCACCCGTGAGACCTCACCTGCCCTTCTTCACCTGCCCTCACCTGCCCATCCTCACTGTCCTTCCTCAGCTGCCCGTCCTCACCTGCCCATCCTTACCTGCCCTTCCTCACCTGTCCATCCTCACCTGCACTCACCTGCCCATCCTCACCTGCTCTCATCTGTCCATCCTCACCTGCTCTCACCTGTCCATCCTTACCTGCTCATCCTCACCTGTCCGTCTTCACCTGCCCATCCTCACCTGCCCTTCCTCACCTGCCCAGGCCTCTTCCTTTTCAACCTTCTCTTCTACTTCCCTCCTCTATCTTCTCCCCACTCTCTTGCTGTTTTTTGAAACCCCACTCCTCCCTTCTTCTCCACTCTTTTCTGGTATTCATGAAACCTTGGAACTGGGAGAGCCGTGCAGATCATTCGCCCTGATTTCCAGAGGAGACCTGGGACTGCCCAGGCCACAGCCAGATCCTGCTCTCAGGACCCTCGGGCCACAGACTTTTCCAGCCTGTATGGCAAGACTCCTCTTTGCACAGTGCTAAGCAGCCTTAGAAGAGTGTTACATGCTTCAACGTGTTCTCAGAAGTAGATACAATCTCTCCTGTGGCTCCTCTGGGAGGGCTCCTGCGTCTGCTCCTTAAGCCCCTGGCACCTTAAGGTAGATCACGGTGAGCCTTGGAGTATAAACGGCTGGGACGTCCTTGCTGTCTGCTCCCCTGCTATGAGCCTGGGCTGCACCCAGTCTCCAAGGAAAGTAGCCTGGTTTCCTTTAAAATTGGCAATGAAGGATATTTTATAACTTTTTTTGAAATTTGTATAATTTTTTCTTATTACTTCAGTGTTCCTCAAGCTCTATAATTAAGAATGTCTTACCATCTAACCTAAATCTCTCTTGCTACAGGGTTTTTTTTGTTTTTTTGAGATGGTGTCTCACTCTGTAACCCAGGCTGGGGTGCAGTGGTGCGATCTTGGCTTACTACAGCCTTGACCTCCTGGGATCAAGCAATCCCCCCATCTCAGCCTCCAAAATAGCTGGGACTACAGGTGTGTGCTACCACACCTGGCTAATTTCTTGTTTATTTTTTTGTAGAGACAAAAATCTCACTATGTTGCCCTGGCTGGTCTCAAACTCCTGGGCTCAAGTGATATGCCTGCCTCAGCGTCCCAACGTGCTGGGATTATGGGCATGAGCCACTGTACCCTGCCTCTTACTGCAGTTTGATTTGACTGTTATAGTTGTTGGTAATTTTAGTTGTGATTTTAATTGTTTTTCTTTCAATTGCATGTTGTTAGCATCATGTCTGAGAAGTAAGAAATCAGAAAGTATAAGTTCATAGAACAAAACCTGCAAGTTTATAGAACAAAGCCCAAATCTCTTTGGCTATGACAGTTTCAAAGAACAAACCTTTGCTGCAACGTCATTTCCACGGATAAACAAGGCTAAGTCCAAATATGTGGTATAAATGCATGGATAATGAACAAATGAACATCAGTAATTAGGTGGTGCCCAGTGTGGCAGCATCTGGCTGGCTGCTGTGATGGGAAGTGTTGCAACAGCGAGTTTGTGTGTGTTCAAGCTGCAGCCTGGGCTTTTGTGGCAAAGTGTGGCCAAACTCTGCTCTGAGCCAGTTCTGCTGAGTGCGCCGGGAAGAGAAAGGCCAAGGGTGGCGATCCTTGCTAGAGGGTCAGAGTTGTGCACATCTGGCCACAGATGCTCTGGGCAGCACAGCTCCTGAGACAGGGCAGCCCAGGCCAGTAACGTGCAGGGCAGTGCCTCTCTGGCCAGGGGACGGTGGGCTGAGGAGGCCACCCAGTGCAGTGGCAGAGGGCGGTGCTTCCCGTGGTTTACCTTTAAAACCCCTTCACGTTAAAGCGTGTCGAGGTCGGTATCAGTGAAGGTGAGCTGGTGACCTGCAGCAAGAGCCCCAGCCAGCGTCAGAGCGGCTTGGACCAAAGATCAGGCTGCAGAACCCTGATAAAGACCCGTTTGCCTCGGCGGCACCAGCACTGAGCAAACGTCCTGTCCTCCGACGTGGCAAATGGGGGTTTTCTTTCTTTTGTTATTGACTCATGTTTTACAATAGGTTGCAGCCATTATGGTTTTAGACTCTCAGTTTCTGGGAGGACATCTTTTGTGCTGGCCACATGCTTCTGACACACACCCATCCATCATTTCCGGTACAAGGCCTCAGGTCTCACCCACACTTTGTTGGGGTGATCAGACCCAACACCAGGTCATGGGCGACAAAGTCCGGCAGAGTCAAAGGAATGAGAAAAAGACAGTTTGAGAGAGAAAGTGGGACCGGGGTCCACCGAGCTCTGGGAGCCCACGCTATTTAATGGTACTCAAACAAACAAACAAACAGCTGGTGGGGATGTGGGGTTTAAAAGGAAACCAGTGTATCAAGTGAATGAGAGACCTATGGCTGCTTGAGATAATGGGAGTGCTAGAAGCAAGAAGCCAGCAAGTCTAGCAGACATGCAAGCCCTGCCTCAGCTTCTCTCCCAACACTCAGCTTTTCTCCCAACAGACTTCCTTGTCAGGAGTCAGCCACTCTCCCACAGGAAACATTCTTGAGCAGGAGGAGCTGGTTCCTGATGGCTGAGTGCACCTTCAGTGGAGAAGGCACATCACCGAATAAACTCAGGAGCCATGCTGGGTGTGTTCACATCCAGTCCTCTGGCCAATGGAGTATTTCCCTCTTGTTTATACTGAGTCTGTCTAACAGAACCGTCTGTGCCACCCACACCCATGGTGTCGGCCACCCATATGGGGAGCAGTAACAAGACACACCCACCCCTCCCAGCCAGGGACGTGTCTGTAGAGAGATGTGGGGAGTAGGAACCCCCATCCCGACCCACTGGTAATGAGGAGCCCTCCCTCACCATGGATGTCAACAGAAGCCTCTTGGGGAATGTGCACTTCTGTCCCCACTGCCAGCAGAGGTGTTGTCTCTCTCCCCCCTGCCAGAGCAGGGCCAAAGGAAGCCAACCGCAGCAGAGCCAGCATCTGAGAGGCTCAAAATGTCTAGGTTTCCATGGAAATCAGCCCTCATACCAAGAGCCAGAAAGATTTCGAATTTGGTGAAAAGGACAGTCAACGGCCATTGACACCAACACTAAGATGATAGTAATGTCGAAATTATTGGGCACAGATTTTAAAACAGCCGTTGTAAAAATACTTCAGTGGACAATTACAAACATGCTTGAAACAGATGAGAAATAGTCTCAGCAAAGGAATAGAAGATATAAAATAAAACCAAATGGGAATTTTAGATGTAAAAATACAATAAATGGAATGGGAAACTCAATGGATAGGTTCAGTGGTAGACGGAGTAGACGTATAAAAGAGTCAGTGAACTGGAAGGTAGAATGGTAGAGGGGAAACATGATGAGGAAAATGTGAGTAAATGCAATAGACTTTCCTTCTCCACGTGAGTTTTCTGAATTGCTCGATGGTGGGAGTAAAGATTGTGAAAATTCCTGATGTGGCTCTAAGGCAGGTAGAGGGATGTGTAAGACTATTATTTACAGATGGGATGTGGGACATATAAAGGAAAGTGATGGCTCTACACTTCACTTGAACTGGTAAAATAACACCAGTGGACCATGACAGGTTGTGTGTGTATAATGTAATACCTAGAACAGATACAAAAAACACAAGAGATAAATCAAAATAGAATTGTCAAATAGTGAAGTAATCCACAGGGAAACATGAAGAAGAAAACAGAAATAAAGAACAGAGAACAGAAAACAGTACAAAATGGAAGATTAAAGTCCTAACATACAAATAATTTTAGTAGGTGTAAATTGTGTAAACAAAACAAAAATCAACTAAAAAGAGACATTGGCAGAGTGGGTTTAAAAGCATGACCCAATGATAAGCAGTCCACAAGAAAGTCACTTCAAATATAACAATATAGGCAGGTTGAAAATAAAAGGAGACAAAAAGATACATCGTGTAAACATTAATCAAAAGAACGTTGTTGTGGCTATATTTGTATTTGATAAGGTAGACTTCAAGGTAAATAATGTTACCAGAGACAGAGGAGAAACGTTATGTAAAAATGAAGGATCTAAGAGGACATAGCAATTCTAATGTATATGCACAAACAACAGAGCTGCAAAATATGTGAACCAAAGGATGACAGAGTTTAAAGTAGAAACATTCACAGTTGTGGTTGGAGATAACATCATCATCCAACAGATCTATTTGATATTTAAAGGATACTTCACTCAACAAAAGGAGAATATTCCTTTTTCTTGAGGTAACCATGAAACATATACCAAAGTTGTGTTAGTCCATTTTCACACTGCTATACAGAACTACCTGAGACTGGGTAATTTATGAAGAAAAAAGGTTGAATTGACTCACAGTTCCACATGGCTGGGGAGGCCTCAGGAAACTTACAATCATGGCGAGAGGTAAAGGAGAAGCAAGACCTTCTTCACATGGCTGCAGGAGAGAGAGAGTGAGTGAAGGGGAAGTGCCACACTTTTAAACCATGAGTCCTTGTAAGAACTCACTCACTATCATGAGAACAGCATGAGGGAAACCAACCCCGTAATCCAATCACCTCCCACCAGATCCCTCCCTCAACACATGAGGATGACAATTCAAGCTGAGATTTGAGTAGAGACACAGAGCCTAACCATATCAATTCAGCCCTGGCCCCTCCCAAATCTCATGTCCTCACATTTTAACACAATCATGGCTTCCAAACAGTCCCCCACAGTCTGAACTCATTTCAGCATTAACCCAAAAGTCCAAGTGCAAAGTCTCAACTGAAATAAGACAAGTCCCTCCCACCTATGAACCTGTAAAATCAAAAGCAAGTTAGATACTTCCAAGATAAAGTGGAGGAACAGACATCGGGTAAATGCTCCCATTCCAAATGGGAGAAATTGGCCAAAAAAGGGGGCCACAGGTCCCATGCAAATCCAAAACCCAGCAGGTCAGCCATTAAATCTTAAGGCTCTGAGATGGTCTCCTTTGACTCCATGTCTCACATCCAGGTCACACTGATGCAAGAAGTGGGCTCCCATGGCCTTGGGCAGCTCTGCCCCTGTGGCTTTGCAGGGCACAGCCCCCATGGCTGCTTTCACTTGCTGGCTCTGAGTGATGGTGGCTTTTCCAGGCAGATGGTGCAAGCAGTTGGAGGATCTACCATTCTGGGGTCTGGAGGACAGTGGCCCTCTTCTCACAGCTCCACTAGGCAGTTCCCCAGTGGGGACTCTATGTGGGGCTCCAACCCCACATTTCCCCTCTGCTTTACTCTACTAGAGGTTCTCCATGAGAGAAAAATCATCTCAAGTTCAAAGGTCCACAGATCTCTACGGCAGGGGCAAAATGCCACTAGTCTCTTTGTGAAAGTATAGCAAGAATGACCCTACTGCAGTTCTTAATAAGTTCCTCATCTCCATCTGAGACCACCTTAGCCTGGACTTCATTGTCCATATCTCTATCAGTATTTTGGTCAAAACCATTTGACAAGTCTCTAGGATGTTCCAAACTTCCCCACATCTTCCTGTCTTCTTCTGAGCCCTCCAAACTCTTCCAACCTCTGCCCTTTACCCAGTTCCAAAGTTGTGTCCACATTTTCAAGTATCTTTGTAGCAGTGCCCCACTCCAGGTACCAATTTTCTGTATTAGTCCATTTTCACGCCTATACAGAACTACCTGAGACTGGGTAATTTATGAAGAAAAAAGGTTTAATTGACCCACAATTCCACATGGCTGGGGAGGCCTCAGGAAACTTACAGTCATGGCAGAAGGTGAAGGAGAAGCAAGACCTTCTTCACATGGTGGCAGGAGAAAGCGAGAGTGAGTGAAGGGAAAGTGCCTCACTTTTAAACCATCAAATCTCAGGAGAACTTGCTATCACAAGAACAGCAGGGGGGAACTGGCCCATAATCCAGTCACCTCCCACCAGGTCCCTCCCTTGACATGTGGTGATTACAAATCAAGATGAGATTTAGGTGGGGACACAGAGCCAAACCATATCAAAAGTATACCATAAAACAAATCTCAACAAATTTAAAAGAACTGAAATCATATAAGTGTTCTCAGTGTGGTTCTCTGAGCATAATGGAATAAAACTGGAAATCAATAATAGAATAATCTTCAAACACTGGAAATTTAAATCATACTTCTAAATAATCCTTGGGCCAAACAAGTCTTTTTTTTTTTTTTTCCTGAGACAATGTCTCTCTGTCGCCCAGGCTGACTGCAGTGATGCAATCATGGCTCATTGCAGCCTCGACCTCCTGGGCTCCAGCAGTCCTTCAACCTCAGCCTCCTGAGTAGCTGGGACCAAAGGTGTGCACCACCATGCCCAGCTAATTTTTAAATTTTTTGTAGAGATGGGGTCTCCCTGTGTTGCCCAGTCTGATCTTGAATTCCTGGGCTCAAGTGATCCTCCCACCTCAGCCTCTCAAAGTGTTGGGATTACAGGCATGAGCCACCTCACCTGGCCCAAAGAGGAAGTCTTAAGGGAAATCAAAACATACATTGAACAGAATGAAAATATATACACAACATATCAAAATTTGTGAGACCAAGCTATACAGTGTCAAGAGGGAAATTACATTAGAAAAAAGGAAAAACCTCAATGTACAATCTCAGGTCCCACCTGCAGTACCTAGAAGAGGAAGAGCAAAGCAAGTAGAAGGAATGAAATAATGAAGAGCAGAAGTCAATGGCGCTTAGCCCAGTAGAACAATAGGGAAAAGCAGTGAAACAAAGAGCCGACTCTTTGAAAGGATCAATAGAATAAACTTGGCCAGATGCAGTGGCTCACACCTGTAACCCCAGCACTTTGAGAGGCCAAGTCAGGAGGATCATTTGAGTCAGGAATCCAACACCAGCCTGGACAAGACCCCACCTCTACAAAAATATAAATTTAAAAATAAATTAGCAGAATATGTGGGCGCATGCCTGTCATCCCAGCTACTTGGGAGGCTGAAGGGAGAGGATCACTTGAGCCCAGGTCAAGGCTGCAGTGAGCCATGATCATGCCACTGCACTCCAGCCTGGACAACAGTGCAAGACCCTGACTCTAAATGCATAAATAAATAAATAATTCCTGGCAAGCCCAACAAAATTAAGAAGAGAGAAGACACACGTTACCAACGTCAGGAACAAAATAGAGGACATAACTGCATACCCTGTAGACATCAGAAGTGTGAGAAGGGAACCCTGCCAACAACTCTACATGCACATTTGACAGCCCAGATCTACTGGACCGATTCCTTGGAAAATACACACTACCACAATTCACCCAGTGTGAAATAGATCATGAGAATAGTCCTATAACTGTTAATAAACTTGAATTTGTAAATTAAAAATTCCTGAAAAAGCAATCTCCAAGCCCAGATGATTTCACTGGAGAACATCTAAACAACTAAACCTCTGAGTAAACATCTAAGGAAGAATTAACACCAATCTATACTGTCTTTTCCAAAAAATGGAAGAGGAGGGAACATTTTCTAAAACCTTATTAAATATTAGCAAATAGAAATCAGCAATACGTAAAAGGAATTATACACCATGGCCAAGTGGAGAGTTTATTCCAGGGATGCAAAGATGATTCAGTATTTAAATTCAATCAGTGTAAGCACCATATTGACAGGCTAAAGAAAAATCACATAATCATATAAGTTGATGCAAAAAACTTTTTAAATAACACCTCTTTTGATAAAAATTCTCAGAATATAGGAATCAAGGGGAAGTTTCTTGACTTGATAAAGAGTATCTACAAAAACCTTAGCTGACATACACTTAATGGTGAAAGACTGAATGTTCTTCCCCTCAGATGGAGAACAAGGCAAAAATGCTCACTTTCATCACTCTTATTCAACATATAACTGAAAGCTCTGGTCACTGCAGTGGGTAATAAAATGAAATAAAATGTATATAAGTTATAAAGGAAGAAATAAGACTGCCCCATTTGCAAATTACATGATTGTATACACAGAAAATCCCAAGAAATCTACAAAAAGCCAAAAAAAACTCTTAGAACTAATAAATGAATTCAGCAAGATTGCAAGACATAAGATAAACATACAAAATCAATACACTAGCAAGACACATGGATATCAAAATTAAACATAGAATATAATACCCTTTACAATTGTTCAACAAAATGAAATACTTAGGTATGAGTCTAGCAATACACATATAGAACTTTAATGCTGAAGACTACAAAAGGCAAATAAAAGAAATAATCTAAATAAATGGAGAGATGTATCATGTTCATTTATGGAATTAGCTTATTAAAAATGTCAGTTCTCCCCAAATTGATATAAAAATTTGAGGTTAAAATCCCAGTGATTTAAAAAATATATAGATGAGATTATCTAAAATTTATATAGAAAGTCAAGGGAACTAGAATAGGTAAAATTATTTGGAAAAGAAGAATAAAGTGGGGAAAATCCATCCACCTGATTTCAAGGCATGTTATATAGCTATAATAATTGACACTTTGTGGTATTGGTGGAGGGATATGTACATAGATCAGTGGAATAGAACAGAGAACCCAGAAATAGATCCACAAAAAAATTCCTGATTAACTTTGACAGAGGTTCAAAAGTGATTCAGTAAAGTAAATATAACCTTTTCAACAAACAATAAGACATCCATAAGCCAAAAAAAAATGAATCTTGACCTAATCCCACACCTTATACAAAAATTAACTCAAAATGGATCATGACTTACAATAAAACTATAAACATTACAAAAATAACAAGAGAAGCCTGGTTGTGGTGGCTGATGCCAGTAATTCCAGCACTTCTGGAGGTTGAGGCGGGTAGGATTACTTGAGCTCAGGAGTTCGAGACTAGCCTGAGCAACATAGTGAGGCCTTGTCTCTATGAAAAGAAAAAAAAGTCAGCCAGGCATGGTGGTGCACACCTGTAGTCCCAGCTACTCAGTAGACTGAGGTGGGAAGATTGCTTGAGCCTGGGAGATCAAGGTTGCAATGAGCTGTATAGAGGCTGCAGCAAGCCATGATCACACCATTGCACTGGTGTTGCCTGGGTGACAGAGCAAGACCCTATCTCATAATAAATAAATAAATAAATAATAACAGAAGAAAACCTTCGAGATGTTGGGCTAAGCAAATCATTCTTCACACCAAAAGCACAGCCAATAAAAGAAAAAAAGGATAAATTGGACTTTATCAAAATTCAAATATTTTGCTCTGCAAAAGACCTTGTGTGAAGGTTTTAAAGATAAGCTGTAGACTTTGAGAAAATATTTGCAAACTATATACCCAACTAAGTACTAGTATTAAAATGCGTTTAAAAACTCTCAAAACTCAACAGCAAAATAACAATCCAAATAGAAAATGAGCAAAACACATGAAAAGATATTTCACCAAAGAGAATAGATGACAAAGAAGTGCATTAAAAGGTCTTCAGTGTCACTAGCTATTAAGAACATGCAAATTAAAAGACAGTGAGGAGTGATGTCATCAAGATAGCAAAATAGGAGTTTCCAGTTTTCATACTCTTAGAGAAACAGTTTGAACAACCATCCACACACAAAAATACCTTCACAAGAACTAAGGAATCCAGGTGAGAGATTAGCACCTGAATGGAGCACAGGAATAAGGAAAGACTCATTGAAAAAGGAAGGAGAGTTTCACATTAACTCATACCACTCTTCCCCCAAGTCCACATAGCACAATATGGAGATACTCTCCACATGGAAGGAGAACGAAGCGAGCACTCAACTTCACTGTGGACCCCAATACTAGGTCCCTCCCCCTCCCCAGAGTGAACCTTGATGCCAGGCTGGCCCCTGCAGACCCAGGTGCCAGGACTGCAGCTACAGGCCTAGCCTCCAGGCCCACCCTAGCTCCAGGCAAGTCCTCGCAGCCACATGCTCCAGGCCTACCCCAGCACAAGGGTGGCCTCTGCAGCCCAGGTACCAGGTTGGCCCTTGCAGACCCAGATACCGCCTACTCATGCAGACCCAAACTCCAGGCCTGTCCCATGGACCCAGGCCCCAAGCTGGCCCTTGTAAACCCAGGCAGCAAGCTAACCTGCCTGAGGACTCCAGCAGCAGGCCTTCATATGGAAGCACCCTTGCCCAGATAATCTCTGGGTGGGCTGACTGATAAAGGGCTCTCCTTGCCAAAGCCAGTTTATAAAGACTGGAAGAGGTGCTTGCTTCTTTAAATACTCAGATACCAATGCAAGGGCACAAGGATCATGAATAATCAGGGAACATGACATCACCAAATACACAAAATAAAGCACCAATAATGAAACCTAAAGAAATGGAGATCTACAAACAGCCTGACAAAGAATTCAAAATAATAATCTTAAAGAAGCTCAGTGAGCTACAAGAGAACACCAATAGACAACTAAACAAAAATCAAGAAAATAATACATGAGCAAAATTAGAAGTTCAACAACAAAGAGATAGAAAGCATAAAAAAGACCCAAACAGAAATTCTGGAGATAAAGCACGCATGATTGAATTGAAAAATCCATAGAGATTTCAACAGTAGACTCAATTAAGCAGAAGAAAGAATCAGCAATCTCAAAGATAGGACATTTGTAGTTATTCAATCAGAAGAGCAAGAAAAGTGTGAAGAAATCCTAGAGACTTATGGACTGCCAGCAAGCAAATCAATATATGCATTATAGGTGTTCCAGAAGGAGTGGAGAATGAAAAAGGGGAAGAAAGCTTATTTAAAGAAACAGTGATGGAAAACTTCCCAAATTTAGAGAGGGAAATAAACATCCAGATCCATGAAGCCCAAAGAACCCCAAATAGATTAAACATAAAGAGATATTTACCAAGACACATTATAATAAAATTCTCAAAAGTCAAGGACAATGAGAATCTTGAAAGCAGCAAAGAAATCCATTTATCACATATAAGGGAACTTCCCCATAAGAATATTGGCATATTTCTCAACAGAAACCTTGCAGGCCAGGAGAGAGTGGGATGATATATTCAAAGTGCTGGAAAAAAAAAGTCAACCAAGAATATTATACTCGGCAAAGCTGTCCTCCAGAAATTAAGGAGTGATAATTATTTTCCCGGACAAACAAAAGCTTAGGGAGTTTATCACCACTAAATCTGCCTTACCAGAAATGCTGAATGTTCTTCAAATTGAAATGAAAGCTCACTAATAGCATGAAAAAATATTAAAGGATAAAACTTACTGTAAAGGTAAGAATATAGTCAAATTCAGAATGTTCTAATACTGTAATGGTGAGTCATAAGTCACCTGTAACCCCAGCATAAAAGTAGAAAGACAAAAGTATTAAAAATAAGTATAGCTACAGTAATTTGTTAATGGATACATAATATATAATGTAAATTGTGACATCAGTAACATAAAATGTGTGAGAAGAAAAAGTATAGTTTTTGTTTACAGTTGAAGTTAAGTTGTTATCAGCTTAAATAAACTGTTACAACTAAAAGATATTTTATGTATGCCTCATGGTAACTAAAAAGAAAAAAATTGTAATAGATACACAAAAGAGAAAGAGAAAGGAATCAAAGCATACGCTATGAAAAAATTATCGCATCACAAAGAAGACAGCAAAAGAGGAAGAAACAATCAAAGGAACTACAAAACAGTTGAGAACAATTAACAAAATGGTGGTAGTAATTTCTAACCTATCAATAATTACTTTAAATTTAAATGGATGAAATTCTCCAATCAAAAGACATAGAATCACTGAATGGATTTTAAAATAAAATCCAACCCTGTGCTGCCTACAAGAGACTTGGTTTAGCTTTAAGGATATACATAGGCTGAAAGTGAAAGAGACAGAAAAAGATATTCCATGCAAATGGTAACCAAAAGAGAGCAGGGGTGTTTATACTTATATCAGACAAAATATATCTGCACTCTCATGATCATTGTAGCATCATTCACAATAGCCAAGATATGAAATCCACCTAAGTGCCCATTCATGGATGAGTGGCTGAAGAACATGTTATTGACATATACACACAGAGACACACACACAACAAAACATCATTCAGCCTTGAGAAATGTGTAATGAACCTGGAGGATGTTATGCTAAGTGAAATAAGCTGGGTATAGAAAAACAGTAATGTGTGATCTCACTCGTATGTGGAATCTAAGAAAGTTGAACTCACAAGCAGAGAGAATGGTGGTTGCCAGGGGATTGGGGGTGGAGGAAGTGATGTTGATCAAAGGGTACAAAGTTTTAGTTATACAAGATTAATCACTTCCAGAGATCTAACATGCAGCATGGTGACTATAGCTAATAATACTATAGTGCATACTTGAATTTTTCTAAGACAGTAGATCTTAAATGTTCTCACCACACACAAAATGGTAACTGTGCAAAGTGATGGATATATTCATTAGCTTGATTGTGGTAATCATTGCACAATGCATTCATATATCAAAACACTACAGTGTGCACTTTTAATTAGACATCAATAAAGTGGGACAAATGAATACAATAAGATGTCACCACACAGCTATGAGAATGCCTAAAATTAAAAACGGTGATATCAAGTGCTGGCAAGGATGCTGAGAAACTGTTTCTCTCATACATTGCTGGTGGGAATGTCAAGTAGTACAACCACTCCAGAAAGAATTTGGCAGTTGCTTTAAAAACTAAATATGCAACTAGCCAGTCAGTAAGGGGGAAAAGGATAAATTGAATTTTATCAAAAGTAAAACCTGTTGCTCTGATGAGCATTTACCCCAGAGAGGAAAAGCAAACTGTGTGGAAATGCTTATACCACTGTGTTCATAATAGCCAAATCCTGGAAATAACCAAAATGTTCTCCCACTTGTGGTTAAACAAACTCTGGTGCATCCATCCCATGGAATACTACTCTGCAGTAAAAAGGGATGAACTCCTGATGTATTCAGCAACCCAGATGAATCTCCAGGGAATTATTCTGAATGGAAAAAGCCAATCCTAAAAGGTTACGTAGGGTGTGGTTCAACATTCATAACATTCTTGAAATGACAATATTATGACGATGAAGAACAGATGAACAGTTTCCAGGGGTTCAGGAGGAGGTGGCTGGGAAGGCAGGGGGTGTGGCTGTGAATCCGCAGGAGGGACCCTTGTGTGAGGAGAGCTCTGTGTCTGGATGTGTCCATGTCGGCGTCCCGGTGGAGAAGGCGTTCCACGGTTTTGGGGAGGCTACCACGGGGAAAACTGAGTAAAGGGTGCAAGGGTGCCCGTGTATTTTCTCTTACAACTGCATGTGAATCTGCAATTACCTCAAAATTTGATTTTGAAACTTTTTGGAGCAATTATATGCAGCTGTACTGTACATACCCTGCTTTGTGGATAAGAGTTATTAATTACCAAATTTCTATGTGTATTATAGACTTGGAGATTGTGTCCCATAAATCATAATTGAAAAATAATTGTCAATTTCTCAGTCAAAAACATGGCTAAAAATGGATCTCATTAGCAAGTTCTCTTCTGAACAGAACCAAAACCTTGCTAATTAGATCTTATATACTTCATTTTATACACGTGTGTATTTATGAAAAATAAAACCCCTTTATAATTTATGGAACTTTGGCATATAGAAAATAAAAGTGGCTGGGCGCAGTGGCTCACGCCTGTAATCCCAGCACTTTGGGAGGCCGAGGCAGGCGGATCATGAGGTCAGGAGATTGAGATCATCCTGGCTAATACAGTGAAACCCCGTCTCTACTAAAAAATACAAAGAAAAAATTAGCCAGGCGTAGTGGCGGGCCCCTGTAGTCCCAGCTACTCGGGAGGCTGAGGCAGGAGAATGGCGTGAACCCAGGAGGTGGAGCTTGCAGTGACCTGAGATGGCGCCACTGCACTCCAGCCTGGGCGAAAGAGTGAGACTCTGTCTTGGCTGGGCGCGGTGGCTCACGCCTGTAATCCCAGCACTTTGGGAGGCCGAGGCAGGTGGATCACAAGGTCAGGAGATCAAGACCATCCTGGCGAACATGGTGAAACCCTGTCTCTACTAAAAAATACAAAAAATTGGCCAGGCGTGGTGGCGGGCGCCTGTAGTCCCAGCTACTTGGGAGGCTGAGGCAGGAGAATGGCGTGAACTTGGGAGGTGGAGCTTGCAGTGAGCTGAGATCGTGTGCCACTGCAGTCCAGCCTGGGCAACAGAGCGAGACTCCGTCTCAAAAAAAAAAAAAAAAAAAAAGAGTGAGACTCTGTCTCAGAAAAAAAAAAGAAAGAAAATAAAAGTATTTCAAATCAAAATAGTTGAGACTCACATGTGAACTCATATGTGTATCAGAAAGAGATTACAGGAATGATGCTAATATTACTCATCTTTAGTTTACAACAAAAATCTCCTGAGTCATATTTTATTCAAAATTATTTATGTTTGGCTTTTTTTAACCCATGGGTGATTATAGTCTTAATTCATCTAATGTTTTTCTTGATAGGACAAGTAAGAATTGAAAAATAAAAAATTCATTGGCACACTAAATATTAGCCTGGAACTGAAGTTAGATACATTGTATTTTAGACAGTTCTCAGCTGCAGTCGTATGCTCACTGATTGGTTGAAGAAGTCATCTTGTTTAGATGGTTTTTCCAGTTGTCGCATGGCCCTGTTTGTGAACCCGTGTCACCGCCGAGGTTAACAGTTCCAGCTGAAAGGCAAAGTGTGCATCTGGATGAAGGCCCCACTGAGGAGCCTAGAATAGTCTTCCTGAAAGGTGTGTGTAGGTCGCAAGGGTCTCATTTCCTGCAAACGAACTCGTTTGGCCACAGGGCAGCCGGTGGTAAGAAGACATGGGGAAGGTAAGTGACACCTGAACCAAATTTGTGAAGATGCCAGAACAGAGGCAGGCAGCGGCTGATGAAAGCATTTATCTGCAATGGCTGGATTATCTGGCAACATCTACTGCATGACAAATGCTTTAAGTCCTGAACAGTTGGCTTCTGAGCTTCAGTGAAAAATCCTCTGAGCTTCCTCCTTGCTTTGCTCCTCCTCGGATGTCAGCCCTCCTGGCCTCGTACAAGGTCCCCCAGGTGCCTTGGGATGTGGGGCTTCTCCGTCTGGAACTGTGGACGTTTGGGGTCGGATAGCTTTGCTGGGAGCCATCCTGGGCACTGTGGGTGTTGAACAGTATCCCTGGCCTCCATGCCTCCATGCCAGGAGCATCCCCAGTCAAGACAATCAAAACCTGGACATTGCCAGGTGCCCCGTGGGAACTGAGGGTCGCAGTGGATCCCAGTCGAGAAGCCCTGGTCTGGAAACCACGCTAAGCGATCTTTACCCGGCAGTGCGGACCACGCTCCCTGTGGAAGCCTTGGTGGGTCTTGCTCATGTAGATTAACAGCCCCACTAACTGCAAAGCACCCGCCCCATGAGCCCTCATCCATGTATGTAATAAGCATGTACAGAGATTCTAATTTTAACTCAGAATGGTAAATATTATTATATCCCAGTGACTTCTCCTTATTGATTACATTTGAAAAATCCTGATACTCTGGGTAGTGGCAGTTGCAGCTTTTCCCGGTGACACACACTCATGTTGCATGTAGAACCGCACTTGCTCTGGCATCCTGGAGGCTGGCACCTGGCTTGCTGGCGGCAGTGGGGCCACGTGTCCCCTGGGCCGGGCTCATGATCAGGGATGGTGGTGACACAATGCCCGAGGCACTAAACTTGTGGTCCAGTTAAGCCACAATTTAATTTAAACTGCTTGAGAGTCCATTTCATTTATGTATGTGTATTTAGCCAGATTTAAACAAAATAGTCACTGTTTTCCTTGGGACTGAAGGAGTGGATTGGCAGGGGGGAATCCTGGGCAAACAGGGAGTGAGGGATGGGGTGCGGTGCATGGACCCTGACCTGGGGCCCTGAGCACAGCGAACTTGCAGAGCTTCTCCCGGTGAAGGCAGAATGTCTGAAACCCTAGCGTGGGCTCAGCAGCTGCCAGGGGCCAGTGATGAACGCCAACCTCATCTGTCCTCGATCCCTGAGGCTAATGGTGACGCATATGCTTCTAAGTAGGGTTTGCCTTTTGCTTGGAAGGAAATGTTATAATTATTTCACCCTAACCCGCTGCATTCGTTGCTTAGAGCTGCGCAGCCTAAAACACCAGAAATGTATTCTCTCAACCCCGGGAGTCCCAAGTACAGAGTAGGGGTCCGCAGGCCTGTGCTGTCTCTGAACCGCTGGGGAGGGGCCTGCGTTGCCGCTCGGGCTCCTGCAGCACCGGCCATCGTCAGCCCTCCTTGGCTGTGACCTCGGCCTCTGCATCCCACGGCCTCAGTGTCGGCCTCTCCCCTCTTATGGGGACATCCGTCCCTGGACTCAGGCCCACCCTAGGGGCCTTGTCTTAGCCACACGCGAAAAGACCCTGTTTCCCCATGAAGTCCGTCTCACAGGTCCCGGGGCTGAGACTCGCACACACTTCCGGGGACGCAGTGGAACCCACAGCTCTGCCTTTGGGCAGCAGCCGCGTGGGGGAAGGAGGTGGGGACGGTGGCCCACGGGCTGGGGCACAGCTGGACGGTTCTGTGTATTTCGCTGAAGAAGCATCCTGTCGCCATGCCTGCCCCCGGGAGCTTCCGTTCCCCAGAGGCCGCGGCATTCCCGGTGAAGCCAGACTGCCCGGCTGGAAGAGCCTCCTCCCTGAGGAGTGGCCCCGGGCAGGTGGCCTCAGCCCTCTGTGCCTCGGTCCGCATGGGGCCCTGGTACCCACGGCATAGGCTGTTAGGGGTTAATGACCGCCTGGCGCCTGTGAATTTCTCTGTGTTTGTTGAATCAACAAAGTAAAAGAGCCGTGGATAATGAGTGCTTCCTGGACACGGGACCCGTGCGGACACAGGAGAGGCCTGGGCCCGCGTTCTCCCTCCCACGCAGGCCACTCGGCCGCTCTGCACGCCAGGCCCCGCCTCCACATCGAGCCCCTCTGCCAGCCCCACCCTGTCTTCAGTCAGCCTCCCTTAGAGGGAGCCCAGACCTCGCAGCCTGGACCCCTCAACCTCCACAGCCTCCCCAGAGGGGCCTCCGAGCGTGGTCCCGTCCTTAGCCCCTAATTCCTTTATTCGGAATTCTAATGTTCTCACTGAGCTCTGACTAGGCGCAGGCGACGTCCCGGGCAGCAGAAAACAAATCACACACAACCCGCCCTCCCAGCGCTGAGCTTCTGGGGGGCACAGGCGCCCCTCTTGGCTCAGAAGGTGGGGCCCTGCACCCCCATCTGACCCCATCCTCTGCCCTGTGCTGGGGCAGGTGCGTCCGACCTCATCCGGGGCAAGGTCGTCCGCGTGCAGGAGCCGCATCTGGACAGGCCGCACCTGCCTTCCCTCCCCGCCTTGCTCTGCGTCAGCCTAGGAGCCTCCTGTCCTGGCCGCGGGTTACACCAAGCGCGGCGGTAAAGACAACCGTTGTTTCTTAGCTGTCGTGGTTTCTGAGGGCCCAGCGCGGACGCTTGCCTTTCTCTGCTGCGTGAAGTCTGGGCCTCGGCTGGAGGCAGAGCGGAGGCTGGGGCCACCGGAAGCCTTGTTCTTGCGTGGCTGGGGGCTGATGCTGGCTGCCGGCCGCCCTGGGTGGCGTGGGAGCAGGAGCGCGTGGAAGACCCAGCCTCTCTGAGAGCCCCCCACGTAATCACACAGTGAGAGGTCCGCTGTGGTTTAGTGGGAGGAACCCGAGACTCCACCCAGGCTGAGTGGGAGGGAGGCGAGACCCCACCTGGCCGTGGGAGGAACCCGAGACCCCACCCAGGCTCAGTGGGAGGGAACGGAGACCCCACCTGGCCGTAGGAGGAGTGTCCCGCGCACCTAAAGGGCTGACAGGGCCGTGTGAAAACCCGCCGGGGTCGCTGGTCCTGGCTCTCCTGACCTTCTGCCTCCCCGCTACCCTCATCCATGTACCCAGCACACACGTGCACACATACGTGGATAAATGGAATAAACATAAACTTCACCCAGACAGCCGAAGCCCCTCCCTCTGTCTAATCACATGCATGGATACATGGATATATAAATAAATATCAACTTTACTCATACAGCCGAAGCCCCTCCCTCTCTCTAATCACATCTTCCTCCCTCTCCATGCAGAGGTGATTAAAGTTTGTATAAAATTGGGATTATTCTGTTCCTTGAATATCTGGTAGAACTCTTGATAAAGTCATTTGAGTTTGATTTGTAAAGAGATTTGTAATTACTCTTTCAGTTCTTTAGCAATTTTGTATTTATTCAGAGTTCCTATTTCTTAAGTCAATTCTAGTAGTCCATGTTTTATTCAGAGTTCCTATTTCTGAAGTCAATTCTAGTCCATGTTTTATTGTCTTTATTGGCATGAAGCCATCCAGAGTGTTTTCTCATGACGTTCTCTTCTCTACCAGATCTGATGTTATTTTCTTTTCTGATCTTCATCTTTAAATTTGAGCCTTCTCTTCTTTCCCCTCGATTCTGTTATTGTTTCCTTTCCTGCTCGTCGTTTTGAGAATGCGTTTTGGCCTCTCTGCCTTTCTTTGGGTTTTCACAGTAAGACAATCTGAAATTTTTTAGCTATGATGAGTTTCTTCTTAAAGTTACTAAGCGTACAGGCTTCATAGTGTAAATCCTTTTCTGTGAGTTTCTTTGTATAAAACTAAGAGAGATCATGGCCCAGTAAGAACTCAAACGCACGTTGCTTTTGTACCCACGAGGGCAGGCGCCGGACCAGGTGGTTCAAGACCAGGTGGCCGCACAGAGTGGACGGGGCCTGCGGTTCCAGCTCTCATGCCGAACATCCGTGGAGTCTTCGTGTTACCAGAAAGGGGTCCCAATCCAGACCCCCAGAGAGGGTTCTTGGACCTTGTGCAAGAAAGAATTCAGGACATGTCTGCCGTGTGCAGCAAAAGCAAGTTTATTAAGAAAGTAAAGGTGAATCGGCAGCTGCTGCATAGACAGAGCAGGACGTTCCCGAGAGTAAGAGGAGGAACACGTACAATGCTTGTTTATATACAAGACAAAAAAAAAGATCATAGGGAGATGTGCTCTGCTACAAGGGTTTGTGATAAAGGATTGATTTTCTTTATTAGTATATTTTGCAAGAATCAATATTATCTTTAAAGCAAAATTGGGAATGCTTCTGTTCTCAAGATATCGGGATATCAGGACACTCCTAAGTCTGGGTCTGTTTAGTAAACGTTATCAATCTGTTCCCGTAGCCATAAGCATCTAGAGTCTAGGAATACCCAACTTCCTGGGAGTCAGCCCAGCAAGTCCCAGCCTCACTTTCCAGCCCTCAGTCAAGATGGAGTAGCTCCGGCTGGAGCGCCTCCGACACTCAGAGGATGCACATGATATTAAACCAGTAAGAGCAGACACTGCAGATACTACCCTTGATCTCAAGGAAGTGACCTGATAGCCTTTTCAAGCTACGCTGTGTGTGTGCATGTGCGGGTGTGTGAGAGTGTGTGTGTATGTGCGGTGTGCAAGTGTGAGTGAATGTGTGTGAATGTGTCAATGTGTGTGAATGTGTATGCCTGTGTGAATGTATGTGTGTGTGAACGTGCATGTGTGTGAATGTGTATGCCTGTGTGAATGTATGTGTGTGTGTGACTGTGAATGCGTGTGTGAATGTGCATTGTGTGAATGTGTGTGAATGTGCATGTGAATGGGTGTGTGTGAATATGAGTGTGTGTGCACGTGTGCGTGTGAGGACTTATGCACCAGGACTATTCTAGGCATCTGCATTGGCTGTCAGTCCTCACAACAGCCTTGTAAGGTAGGTGCTATTCTATTAGGATTTATTTTCGTTTTATAGATGCAGAATGTGAGGCTTAGCAAAATTAAGTCGGTTTTTCAGGGCTGTTTGGCCCTTGCGGACCGCGGCACTCACCTGGGTCCGTCTGCACTAGCTCTAATTGTTAACGCTGCAATGAGGCTCTGCTCGTTAGACATCCTGTGAGGACTTGGGTTGGGGCCGGAATTGGGGGGATGGCAAGCGCTGTGTGTGCATGAGTGACACTTCACTACCGCCAGCAGGGTCCCCCGCCTCCAGTGACCTTGTTTCGGGGAAGCGCGCTCCCATTTCCCAAGCGCCCGCCCCGGGGAAAACGTGGCGTGGGCATCGTTATTTCCAATAACGCGCCATCTATCTCCAGCAGCGCAAACGATGCCTGCTCTGAACAGTTCAACCCCATGAGGAACATTTTGTATTCAACTTAATCTTTGCTTTATGTCTGTAATATCAAAGCATGTCTAAAGAGCCCGTGCACGGTCAGAATCTATTTAATTGTGCATAAGCGATTTCGACTTTAATTAAGGAAGCGGGGGAAGCGTTCCCTTAGCTCTCAGCCCCTGCACTCGCAGAGAGCATCTCAGTACAGGGGCCACTGGGAGCCCAGTTCCAGCCTCCTTTGAGGTGCCTGGGACCACTTGGGCTTCGCCCTGACAGTGACGATCGCATTCCTCGAAGATCACCGTTGTCCATGCGGATGGCGGCTCACCAGCGCCTGCACCTGGGCGTGGGCCACCCTCTGGAGATGAGCTGGACTTTGAAGCCACCGACGGGGAATGAAGTGGCTTCTCCAGCTTCCCGGCCAATCAGGGGCGGAGCCGTAATTAAAGTCCAGGCCTCCTGCCCGGTTCAGGGTTCTTTCTGGTACAAACCAGTGTCCCTGTGAGGACGGGCCTCCTGCCCAGTTCAGGGTTCTTTCTGGTACAAAGCAATGTCCGTGTGGGGATGCAGCCTCCTACCTTAGCAGAGTCTTTGTCATTTCTTTGGGGGTACCTGTGTCAGTGCAGACCAGTTCCACCCACTCCCACCGTGGGGCAGGCCCTGGGCTGGACACGGCACCGCGTGGATGCCCCGTGTGTGCTGGACGCCGAGAGCATCCCAGGCAGCCTGAGACCATTCCTTCCCTTGTCTGTCCCTGCGGCAGTGCGTCCTGGTCACTTGTGTGTGCCCTGAAGTGTTCCCAGGAATACGAGGGTGGGCAAAGCGGACAGTGGGCATGTCCTCGAGACGTTTACATCCTAGCGGGAGTGGACAGAAAATAACACTGGGTAAAAATAATGCACTAATCATTTAGTGCTTTAGGGGAGAAAAGAAAGAACGCAGCAAAGTGAGGTGGGCCTGGGCTTCAGCGTGAACCAAGTGGTGCAGGTGAGTCTGACGAGAGGTCAGGTTTGAGCAAACGCCGAGCGTGAGGGGTCACCATGGGGTGAGGGGTCACCGTAGGCGTCACTGAGCAGCTGTTCAGGCAGAGGAATGGCTGTGCTGAGGCCTGAGGCGGGACTCGCCTGGGTGCCGAGGGGAGCAAGGAGAGGCAGGACAGACCAGCCTAGTTAGGGCTGTGAGCTCTGGCGTTTTGAGCAGAGGGTGGTGTGCAGTGTTAGGAGGCCCCTCTGATCGCTGAGCTGGGAACAGAGGGCAAGAGGAGGAGGCGGGAACCTGCTAGGGCTGTGGGTGCAGCGGACAGGAAGCTCAGAGCAGAGGCTGCAGCGAGTCAGGAGCTTCCAGATGCCAGGCAGCCGGTGTCAGCAGCACGTAGCTGTGGGTGACCCCCAAGGACTCTGGCGGAAGGCCTGAGTGGGACTAGAGGCCAGGCCCAAAGCCTCAACATCTGTGCTGGGGGGATGGCCCCGCGCCGGGGACAGATGTGGCTCCCTCCAGGGCCCGAGACGGGCGCCACCCCAGGGCGGGCACTACTTGAGTGGCAGGTGCCTCGACCCTGTGGGCCTCAGGGCCAAGTGGGGAGCTGGCTCAGGGGGCTTCCCCCTCTGGTTTCCAACCTCGGGGTCCAGCCTGTGAAACAGCACAGACCAGTTTCCAGTGGAATCCACCACGCATGGGAGGAATGAGCAGGCCGATGTCCAGGGTAGCCCTGCCTGGTTCCAACCCCGTTCTGCAGGCGGCCCCTGGGGAGCACTGGCTGCACCTACAACTGTTTCCTGGTCGTGGGCTCAGGCATCCAGGACTGGCCGCGGAGGGAAGGCAGGGGGCTGCCTGTCCACAGGAGGAGCAGAGCCCGGCCTTCTGCTTCCATCACTGCCCGGCAGAGCCTCACTGTCCCAGCCCCGTTCACCAGAGCCCCCAGCCCCTGTGTGAGGGCAGCAGTGGCCGTGTGTGCCTGGGTGCCGTGTCCTGCCTGGACGCCGTCACAACACTCACATGCAGAAACACAAGAGCTTTCCCATTCCCCAAGCTCGGCATCAATTTCCCCTGGTTACGTTTATTTTAAAAGTAAATGTTACAGAGGTCCCCGTGGAGGGCCCAGGGGTGCACGATTCCTCATCCTCAAAGAGCCTTTAATGATAGACCTCCTGCCTTCCGTAAGGCTGGTAAAATCCAAGTCTTTATACATTGCCTTTCATTGGCTTTTTTTTTTTTTTGAGACAGGGTCTCGCTCTGTTGCCCAGGCTGGAGTGCGGTGGCGTGATCTTGGCTCACTGCAAGCTCCACCTCCCGGGTTCACGCATTCTCCTGCCTCAGCCTCCCGAGTAGCTGGGACTACAGGTGCCCACCACCACGCCCGGCTAATTTTTTGTATTTTTAGTAGAGACGAGGTTTCACCGTGGTCTTGATCTCCTGACCACGTGATCCGCCCGCCTTGGCCTCCCAAAGTACAGGGATTACAGGTGTGAGCCACCGTGCCTGGCCTCATTGGCTTATTCTTCTGAGCTTCCTGGTAAACCACTTTTGGTGATTTTACTTTCTCCTCCATGTGTGACTTTTCTGTAATATTTGTCTCCTGTGGACCCCGATGCCTCCAGGAGACAGTCCTCAGCGTGAGATCTTTCTACGGTCAATCTTGTCTACCGACTGTACTTTTTCATTTCTAGTTTTGTTTCTTATTTAGATTCTCTGGGGGTTTTTTTGTTTTTTGTTTGTTTGTTTTATTTTTTGTAATGTCTTTGCTTTCCCTAGTGTTTTTAATTCCTTCGTTCATTATTTTCTGTAATTCTATTTTCTAAAGTTCCCAGGAGGCTGTGTGTGCTGGCATGTGCTCACGGTGGACTGTTGCTGTGTGTGGTTTGTCATTTTAGTTTCAGTTCATCTTGGCTGGGGCTTTGTCTGTGGGAATCCCATGAGGCTTGAACTGAGAGTGCCTCTGGGCCAGTGCCCTGCTGACATTGGGCTGCAAACTTCTTTGCTCTGGGGGCCCGTCCTGTGCAGGGTGTTGGCAGTGTCTCTGGTTTCTACCCACTGGATGCCAGTCACGGTAGTCGTGACCATCACAGATGTCTGCAGACCTTGCGGGCTGCCCTGGGGCAGAATCACCCCCACTGCTGGGAACTGCCGCTTTGACTGGTTCTCTGCTTGGTTCTGTCAGTTTCAGGGGTATCACTGGCCTGCGACCACCTTTGTGCGTGATCATGTCTTGGCTGTATCACCCACCAAAATTCCAGCCTCACCCCACTGTGCATGCTAGGCTCGTAGACACACAGCATTGTTTTTGACCTGGCCAAGCAGAGAGGCCTTGAAACCTTCTGGTACTGGCTGGTGGGTTTCCTTCCCGATCACCCTCCGTGGAGGGGACCCTGCACGGCCCCTGCTTTCCTTAGATCAGTTCAGCCTCTGCCCTCGTGCTGTGACGGCCATTCCCGTTCACCTCTGTCGTCACTGAACCAGACCCCACACTCTTGACAAGAGTGTGTCGTCAAACTGGTTGATCTAGTCTAATACCTGTGGCAATTCAAGATGCTTATTTTTGCTCTTATGAATGAAATTGAGCATTTTTTCATATGTTGGAAGCCTTTTCCCCCTTTGATGTGAACTTTATGTCAGTTGGCCCATTTTTTCTATTGAGCTGTGCGTTGTCTTTCTTTTTCTGACGTTTTGCAGAGAATGGGGAGGAACTCCAGAGCTTTCAGAAGTAACTTTGTAATCTCCTAAATCAAGTAATTAGCTTTAGAACATTTCTAATGTAGCATATAACTTACGTCCATATTTTAAAATGTATGTTCTGGGAGGAAGAAAGCCTTTTACAGCAAAAGTTCCAGGTTATACCTGATTATCCACTTATTTTAATAATTATTCATCCCTGCCTACAAAAAAATGGAGCATGCAATGGATTTGGCTACAAGGGAAGTCAACCTGTCCTGCAAGCCTGGTGTGTGTGCTCGCGGGGACTGGAGGGGTGGGGCGTCAGAGCCACGATGCTCCGCAGTAATAACGCAGGTGACTCTCTGTCCCTTAGGGTGAAACTGGATGTTCATTTTCCAGGTCGAAGCCGCTGGTCTCAGCTGTGTTTTCACCGGTTCCCTGAAAGAGAATACCCTGTACCTTCACAGAGCCAGGTAAACCCAGAACCTGCCAGAAGGGCAAGAAACCTCAAGTCGTACTGGGATTATCATTTTCCATTTCAGAGAGAGGGTCTTCTTGGTGGGTTCTTGTGCCTTCTGCTGATGGTAAAGCTGAGACTCTGGTGACTGTTGACACACACCTGTCAAAGGCATGCCTCACAGGCAGCCCAGAACTCAGGCGCAGCCCCTTCCGAACCCCGCCTGGGACTGCAGAGGACAGGGGAGCTCACGGGGCCGTCTGCCACGCCACAAAGGGCTCCAGCAGCTGGGTTTGCACGCTAGGCTTCTTCGACAAACTGGGACAGCTGCTGCTTATTCCGGGCAGTTTCTGAGGCAGCACGTTCAGACGACTTCCTGCTGCATTAGGAAGCTCCGTCTTGTGAGCCCTGGGGAGGCCGGCAGGTTGGAACCTTCAGAGCCTTTAATCCCCCAGAGCGCTTGACTTGTAGGGCTCGGGAAATCTCCGCAGCAGGTTTCCATGACCTAAGCAGCTGATTGCTTTTGAATAAAATCAGATGCCCTGCTCCAGCCCTTCTGCTGGGCCAGCCCTCCGTCCCAGAGGAGCTCTCCTGCTTTGTGGACCTCTCTGCCTGCCCCCCACAGCCGCCCCCACAGCCGCCCCCACAGCCCTGTGTGGTATTGGATGAATCGGACTTGTCTGTGTTCCTCAGATCTATGCTTCAGGCCATGTCCTTGGCATGGGGTGTCTGGCACAGAGGTTTGGATCACATGTTCACTGAGTGAACCTTGGGGCACAGAGGCACACATAACCATTTGAATCCTGACCACGTCCCCCCTCTTCTCATGCAGCGAACTTGGCGCTGAAGGTCACAGCACACGTGGTCCCGGTGATTATGGAGCGCTTCTCTCCTGGCCTCCATTGCAGTAGTCATCCAAGGAGCTTTCTCCCATTCAGAAGCGACTTATGCAATTCTTCACTGGGGTGCTGAGCTCTTACTGGCAAGCTAACTAATGCCATTTTGTTAGACTGTCTTTCCCTCACTCCTTCCTTTTCATTTGACTTTTTCCCCCTAAAATCTCTAATGAATCACACGCTTGGGTCGAGTGGGCAGTCTGCGAGCTACACTGAGCAAACCCACCACGCCCCCTCTTCTCTGGTTCCTGACTTGCCGTAGTGGTGGGTTTAAGCTTTACTTGGCAGAGGTCCTAGAATACAGTTGTCAGCAACAACCAGAAAAAGGGCTTGACGTTGGCGGTGGAAGGCAGCGGCTCTCAAGCCTCAGTGATGAGGCTTGCGTGTTACTGGATCCCCCCGAGACCTACTCACTCAGAATGATTTTTATAAATGGAGATAAAATTCACCTAACGTTATATTTACCATTTTTATGTGCACGATTCTGTGGTTTTTAGTGTATTAACAATGCTGTGCAACCATCACCACTATCTAATTCCAGGACTTTTCATCGTCCCAAAAGAAACTCTGAGCCATTAGCAGTCACTCCCCATCGCCCCTCTTCCCATCCTCTGGAACCCCCTTGCCGGCTTTCTGTCTCTGTGAATTTACTTATCATGGATATTTTATTTTATTTATTTTATTTTTTGAGACAGTCTCGCTCTGTCTCCCAGGCTGGAGCGCAGTGGCGTGATCTTGTCTCACTGCAACCTCTGACTCCCGGGTTCAAGTGATTCTCCTGCCTCAGCCTCCCGAGTAGCTGGGACTACAGGCGCCCGCCACTGCACCCAGCTAAGTTTTGTATTTTTTGGTAGAGACAGGGTTTCGCCATGTTGACCAAGCTGGTCTCAAACTCCTGACCTCAAGTGATCCACCCGCCTCAGCCTCCCAAAATGCTGGGATTACAGGCGTGAGCCACCGTGCCCAGCTCGGACATTTTATATAAACGGATTCCCAGTATATGTGACCTTTTCTGCCTGGCTTCTTTCTCTTAGCATAGGTTTTATCCACACTGTGGCATTAGCAGCACTTGGTTCCTGTTTGTGGCTGCATAACATTCCTGTATGGAGGCCCATATTTTGCTTCTCCGTTTATCAGTTGATGGAATTTGGGTTGTTTTCAGTTTTTGGCTATTCTAGTAATGCCACTGTGAACATTTATGTACAAGTTTTTGTGTGAACACATGTTTTCATTTGTCTTGAGTGTACATCTCGGAGTGGGGTCACCGGGTCACATGAGAACTCCATGTTTAAATTTTTGAGGAACTGCCAGACTGTTTTCCACTGTGGCTGTGACATTTTATATTCCCACCAGCAATGTACAGGGGTCCAATTTTTCCACATCCTTTCCAACACTTGTTGGGTTTTTTTTTTCCATTTGTTTGACTATAACGACCCTAGTGGATGTGAAGTGGTATCTTGTAGTTTTAATTTACGTTTCCATAATGACTAATGATATTGATCACCTTTCATGTGCTTATTAGCCATTCACATACTTCCTCGGGAGAAATATCTATTCAGATCCTCTGCCCATGTTTAAATTGGGTTGTTTGTCATTTGTTGTTGAGCTCCAAGAGTTCCTAACATCCTGGATACTGGACTCTTATCAGATACGGGACTTGCAGCTCTTTTTTTTTCCACCGTTACTTGTCATTCATTTTCCTGGTCCTGTTCTTTGATATACAAGAGTTTCATTGGAATGAAGTCCAATTTATCTTTTTTTCTTTTGTTGCTTGTGCTTTTGGCATTCTGTTTCAGAAACCAATGTCTCATCCATGGTCATGAAGATGTACAGTCTGTTTTCTTCTACGTGTGTTTTGGAGTTTTAGCTCTTACATTAAGGTCTTTGATCTAGTTTGAATTAGTTTTTATATATAGTGTGATGTAGGCATCTTGGTCCATTCAGTGTTGCTATAAAGGAATACCTGGAGCCAGGTAATTCATTTTAAAAAGAAGCTTGTGATGTCATCATGATTCTGATGTCTGGAAAAGTTCAAGATCAGGCATCTGCATCTGAGGAAGGCCACAGGCAGCTCCAGTCATGGCAGAAGATGGCGTGGAGCTGGTGTGTGCAGAGACCACACGGAGATGGAGGAAGCAAGGGCTAGGGGTGCCAGGCGGGTTCAACAGCCAACTCTGGAGTGAACTCATAGAGCGAGAACTCACTCATTACCATGAAGACACCTCCCAGCCATGCATGAGGGATCAGCCCCCATGACCCAAACCCCTCCCATTAGGCCCCACCTCCGACACTGGGTATCAAATTCCAATATAAGATTTGGAGGCCAATATCCAAACGATAGCAGGGTCCAACTTTATTTTTTTACATGTGGATAACCGTTTGTTGGAGACACTATTACTTCTCCATTGAATAGTCTTGACGACCTTGTCAAAAGTGAACTGACGGTAGATTTATGGGTTCATTTCTGGACTTTCAATTCTGCTCCATTGATTTTTATGTCTCTCTTTACACTAGTACTACACTCTTGATTGCTGTAGCTTTATACTCACTTTGAGTAAGTAGTAATGTACTAGTCCATGTTCGCATTCCTATAAAGGAATACCTGAGACTGGGTAATTTATAAAGAAAAGAGGTTTAATTCGCTCATGGTTCTTCAGGCTGTAAAGGAGGCACGGTGCCAATGTCTGCTAAGCTTCTGGGGAGGCTTTGGGAAGCTTCCAGTTATGGCAGAAAGCAAAGGGGGAGCAGGCACGTTACATGGTGAAAGCAAGAACAAGGTTGCGGGGTAGGTACCACACACTTTTAAACGAACAGATCTCATTTCGACACAAGATTTAGGTGGAGGCATGTAATAAAATGATATCAAGTAAGTTTGAGCCCTCCAACTTTGTCCTTTGTCAAGTTTGTTTTGGCTACCTTGCATTTCCAATAGAATTTTCAACTTGTCAATAGAATGTTCAACTTGTCAATGTCTTCAAAAAAGTTACTGGGATTTTCATATGGATTGGATTGACTCTGTTGATCAATTTAGGGAAGATTGCCATCTTAACAATATTAAGTCTTCCAATACATGAGCATGGAATGTCTTTTCATTTATTTAGTCTTAAAATTTCTTCCACCAATGTTTGTAGTTTTCAGTTTTCAGTGTAGGTTTCAGTTTCCACTCCTTGGTTAAATTTATTTCTAAGTATTTTATTCTTTCTGATGCTCTTATAAATGGAATTTTTTTAACTTCCTTTTCCGATTATTCATTGCTTTTGTATAGAAATACAACTGATTTTTTTTACCGATCTCATGTCTTGCAACTTTGCTGAACCCATTCTCATAGTGATGTGTGTGTGTGTGTGTGCGCATGTGTATGTGTATGTGTGCGTGTGTGTTCTTTAAGGTTTTCTGTACATAAGATCATAAGATCAAGTCATCTCAAAATATAGTTTTACTTTTTTCTTTTGAGTGTGGATGCCTTTTATTTCTTTCTCTTGCCTAATTTTTCTGACTATAATTTCCAGTTCAATGTTAAGTAGAACTGATGAGAGCAGGTATTTCAGTCTTGTTCCTGGTCTTAGGGGAAAGAATCCAGTCTTTCACCGTTGACTATGGAGTTAGCGGTGAGTTTTTCCTACGTGGACCTTGTCATGTGGAGGAAGTTCTCTTTTAGACCTAGTTATTGATTGAGTTTTTTGTTTAATCAGGAAAGGATGTTAGACTTCGTCAAATCCTTTTTCTGCCTCTATTGAAATTATCGCATGATTTTTCCCTTCATCCTATAAATGAGCGTATTATAGTAATTTTGTGTATTGTGCCACCCGTGTATTCCTGTGATAAATCTCTATGGTAAACGATCAAATGGTCATCATGTATAATCCTTTTAATATGAAGCTGGATTTATTTTGCTCATGTCTTGTGGAGGATTTTTGCCTCTGTTTTCTTCTCTCTCTCTCTTTTTTTTTTTTTTTTTTTTTTGAGATGGAGTTCTCACTCTGTTACCCAGGCTGGACTGCAGTGGCGCGATCTCGGCTCACTGAAACCTCCGTTCCCAGGTTCAGGCAATTCTCCCTGCCTCAGCCTCCCGAGTAGCTGGGATTACGGGCACCTGCCACCACACCCCGCTAATTTTTGTATTTTTAGTAGAGACAGGTTTTTGCCATGTTGGCCAGGATGGTCTCAAACTCCTGACCTCAGAGGATCCACCTGCCTCGGCCTCCCAAAGTGCTGGGATTACAGGCATGAGCCACTGTGCCGGGTCTTTGTCTTTAGACAGTTTGTGGTGTGTCAGTGTGGATGTCTTTGAATTTATCTTACTTGGAGTTTGTTGAGTTTCTTAGATGTGTAGATTAATGTTTTTCATCGAATTTGGAGGGTTTTTAAACCATATTTCTTCAAATATTCTTTCTTCCCTGTTCCCTCTTTCCTTTCAGGACTCTCACTATGCAAAAGCTGGTACATGTGATGGTCCCACAGGTCTCTTAGGCTCTGTTCCGTTTTCTTCACTTGTTTTCTTTCTGCTCCTCAGATAGGATAGCATGAAATGATGTATCTCCAGTTTCTCTGCTTATTTCTTCAGCGTGTTCATAGCTGCTGCTGAGACCCTCTAATGAGCTTTTCATTTCAGCTATTACACTTTCAACACCAGAATTTCTATCACTTTTTTTTAATATAACTTCTGTCTCTTTATTGATATTCTGTATTTGGTGAGACATCATTCTCACAAATTCCTCTAGCTCTTTGAAGATATTAAATAAGCTTATGTGAAATCTTTTCTGGTGAGTCCAATATCTGTGTTTCTTCAGTGATATTCTGTTTTAGTTCCTTTTTCCTGTCTATGAGCTACACTCTTGTATTCTTTGTATGCCTTGTAATTTTTTGTTGAAAATGAAATTTTTAATAAGTGGCAGTTCTGGAAATCAGACTCTCCCCTCTCCCCAGGAGTTTTTGTAGCTACTGTGGTTTGTTGAGTAACTTTTGTGAACTAATTTTGTAAAGTCCATATTCTTTGTCTGATGTGGCCACTGATGTCTGTTCCAATAGCTTAGAGGGCAGCAAGTGGTGGGACATATAGATTCTTAAACGTCTGGAATGAAAACTGAAACTTGTTTTTGCAGATGGGCTCTGCGTGTCTTGGAGCAACCTTCAGCACTCATCCAGGCTGGTCAAGCCTCTGTCTTATCACCTCCTGCTCGCAGAATCTGAAGGTCAGCCCGAGGAGGCACTTCAGGGACTTCTCGGGTTTTTCCCGGCATGTGCGCAGCCGAGGCGTGTGCGTGGCATTCCAGATTCCCGGGAACTCTTAGAACTTTATCAGGCCTTCATTTCCTAAATCATCTCATTCCCCAGCCTTTCGTCCCCAGCTTTTTGTTTAGCCTGTGGCGGCAACCATAATCCATTGCCTCAGGCAGCAATGGCTGAAACACTTTCCTATCAATGTTTTTGACACACACTCCCCAAGTGGCTGCCTTTGCACAGACGGAGTTCCAAGACACCGGAGATGAAGGCAGGAGTTTGAGCCAGTCTTCCACGGAGTCAAAGTAATTACGATTCCTAGTCAAAGAGTCCTGTAGCTTCTCCTTCCAGTGCTGGTACCGGGAATGCAGGCTGTTGCTGTCCCCGCAGAGCTGGGGAGCGACAAAGCTTATTATTGTGACGAAGACTCAGCTGTTCTTTCTTAGTGCCCCACGGTTGGTGCAAGCTTTTGGTTAGTTTCCAGAGTTCCAAAAAAGTTGACTCTTGACAGTTTTCACCAGGTTTTCCATTGTGTTAAGGTAGGGATGGACTTTTGGAGCTCCTTATTCTGCAGTTTCTCCGCCTCACAGAATGCTGAGTAGGGCCAGGAATGCCGTTTTCCAGCAGGTCCCCTGGCTGATTCTGACGTGGCTGGTCCGCGGGACACACCGTGAGAAACTAAGCTAGGACTGCGTCTCTCCCTCCAGACATCACGGCGTCCTCACCGGTCGGTGGGGTCCGCCCTGAAACATCTGGCTCTTTGGAGTTTGCGTCGATTTGTGAAAGCTCCGTTCGACCCCGTGTTCCAAGTCCCCTAGTGTAAGAACCCGGCTGTTCCCTTGGTGATAACTCAAGGCGGGTCACCACCTGGCGGGGTCCGCTGGACGCTTGAGGGTCCCCCATGCGGACCAGGTGCAGAGGTCGGGCCTGCGGAGGAGTGGGAAGTGGGCGGGCGGAGGGGTCTCCGAGCTCACCTCCGAGGGTTCGGTGCCGGCCCGGCCCCTGGATCCCCGCGGGCGGACGCGCTCCCCCAGCTCAGCCCTCGCGACCCTAACGCGGTCCGTTCCTTTTGCAGGAGCCGGGCAGGAGCCCCTCGGTCCGGTCCGGCCCTGCGCATGGAGCCATGGCCCTGCTCCCCGGGCGGCGGCGGCGGGACCCGCGCCCGGCACGTCATCATCAACGTGGGCGGCTGCCGCGTGCGCCTGGCATGGGCCGCGCTGGCGCGATGCCCCCTCGCGCGCCTGGAGCGCCTGCGCGCCTGCCGCGGCCACGACGACCTGCTGCGCGTGTGTGACGACTACGACGTGAGCCGCGACGAGTTCTTCTTCGACCGCAGCCCGTGCGCCTTCCGCGCCATCGTGGCGCTTTTGCGCGCAGGGAAGCTGCGACTGCTGCGGGGCCCGTGCGCGCTGGCCTTCCGCGACGAGCTGGCCTACTGGGGCATCGACGAGGCGCGCCTGGAGCGCTGCTGCCTGCGCCGCCTGCGCCGCCGCGAGGAGGAGGCGGCCGAGGCCCGCGCGGGGCCGACGGAGCGCGGGGCGCAGGGGAGCCCGGCGCGCGCCCTGGGACCTCGGGGGCGGCTGCAGCGCGGCCGGCGGCGCCTGCGCGACGTGGTGGACAACCCGCACTCGGGGCTGGCGGGCAAGCTCTTCGCCTGCGTGTCCGTGTCCTTCGTGGCCGTCACGGCCGTGGGCCTCTGCCTGAGCACCATGCCGGACATCCGCGCCGAGGAGGAGCGGGTGAGCGCGGCCGGGGGTGGCGGGGACCGGGCCGGAGCTGGGGCTGGGCTGGGATCTGGGCTGCGGGGAGGTGGGTGGGGGAAGGGGCGCGGGGGCAGCCATGGCCAGGGCCTAGGACCGGGCTGGGGGCTGCCGGGACTGGGGTGGGCCGGGGCCGGGCTGGAGGCGGCCGGGCTGAGGGAGCGCCGCTGATGGTGGTCTTGGCCAACCTCCACCCCCAGCGGGAGACAACAGAGGCTCCAAGTTACATTCGGTTTCCGACGCAGCATCCGGTCCACAGGCCGCCGGAAACTGCTCAGCCCATCAGGCCTTCAAAGTTTGGACAACGTGGAGCTAAAATATTGGGTATCCGGGGCCTAGAGAATTGTGTGACATTTGGTCATTCTGGACCAAGGAGACCCAACCGCATTGTTTCAGGGCTGGAGGACAGTGCCAGGGCCAGGAAGGCTTCTGGCTATGGAACCGAGGTCTGGGTGCCGAGGTCTGTGTGCTGAGAGGTCTGGGTGCTGAGGTCTGTGTGCTGAGAGGTCTGGGTGCCGAGGTCTGTGTGCTGAGAAGTCTGGGTGCTGAGGTTTGGGTGCTGAGGTCTGTGTGCTGAGAGGACTGTGTGCAGAGGTCTGGGTGCTGAGAGGTCTGTGTGCTGAGAAGTTTGGGTGCTGAGTTCTGTGTGCGGAAGTCTGGGTGCTGAGAGGTCTGTGTGCTGAGAGGTCTGGGTGCTGAGGTCTCGGTGCCGAGGTCTGTGTGCTGAGAAGTTTGGGTGCTGAGGTCTGTGTGCTGAGAGGACCTTGTGCTGAGGTCTGTGTGCTGAGAGGACCTTGTGCCGAAGTCTGGGTGCTGAGAGGGCTGTCTGCTGAGAGGCCTGGGTGCTGAGAGGTCTGGCTGCTGAGAGGTCTGGGTGCTGAGATATCTGGCTGCTGAGAGGTCTGTGCTGAGAGGTCTGTGTGCTGAGAGTGTGGGTGCTGAGGTCTGGGTGCTGAGGTCTGTGTGCTGAGAGGTCTGTGTGCTGAGGTCTGGGTGCTGAGGTCTGGGTGCTGAGAGGTCTGGGTGCTGAGGTCTGGGTGCTGAGAGGTCTGTGTGCTGAGAGTGTGGGTGCTGAGGTGTGGGTGCTGAGAGGTCTGGGTGCTGAAAGGTCTGGGTGCTGAGAGGTCTGGGTATGAGGTCTGGGTGCTGAGAGGTCTGGGTATGAGGTCTGGGTGCTGAGAGGTCTGAGTGCTGAGAGGTCTGGGTGCTGAGGTCTGTGTGCTGAGAGGTCTGGGTGCTGAGGTCTGGGTGCTGAGAGGTCTGGGTATGAGGTCTGGGTGCTGAAAGTTCTGTGTTCTGAGAGGTCTGGGTGCTGAGGTCTGTGTTCTGAGAAGTTTGCATGCTGAGAGATCTGTGTGCTGAGGTCTGGGTGCTGAGAGGTCTGGGTGCTGAGGCCTGGGTGCTGAGAGGTCTGTGTTCTGAGGTCTGGGTGCTGAGGTCTGGGTGCTGAGAGGTCTGTGTGCTGAGAAGTCTGGGTGCTGAGAGGTCTGTGTGCTGAGAGGTCTGGGTGCTGAGAGGTCTGTATGCTGAGAGGACTGTGTGCTGAGAGGTCTGTGGGCTGAAGTCTGGGTGCTGAGAAGTCTGTGCTGAGAGGTCTGTGTGCTGAGAGATCTGGGTGCTGAGGTCTGGATGCTGAGAGGTCTGTGTGCTGAGAGGACTGTGTGCCGAGGTCTGGGTGCTGAGGTCTGGGTGCTGAGAGGTCTGGGTGCTGAGAGGTCTGTGTGCTGAGAGGTCTGTGTTCTGAGGTCTGGGTGCTGAGAGGTCTGTGTTCTGAGAGGTCTGTGTTCTGAGGTCTGGGTGCTGAGAGGTCTGTGTTCTGAGGTCTGGGTGCTGAGAGGTCGGTATGCTGAGAGGACTGTGTGCTGAGAGGTCTGTGGGCTGAAGTCTGCGTGCTGAGAAGTCTGTGCTGAGAGGTCTGGATGCTGAGAGGTCTGTGTGCTGAGAGGTCTGTGTGCTGAGAGATCTGTGTGATGAGAGGTCTGTGTGCTGAGAGTGTGGGTGCTGAGGTCTGGGTGCTGAGGTCTGTGTGCTGAGAGGTCTGTGTGCTGAGGTCTGGGTGCTGAGGTCTGGGTGCTGAGAGGTCTGGGTGCTGAGGTCTGGGTGCTGAGAGGTCTGGGTGCTGAGAGGTCTGGGTGCTGAGAGTGTGGGTGCTGAGGTCTGGGTGCTGAGGTCTGTGTGCTGAGAGGTCTGGGTGCTGAGGTCTGGGTGCTGAAGTCTGGGTGCTGAGAGGTCTGTTTTGTGAGAGGTCTGGATGCCGAGGTCTCTGTGCTGAGAGGTCTGGTTGCTGAGGTCTGGGTGCTGAGAGGTCTGTGTGCTGAGAGGTCTGTTTTCTGAGAGGTCTGGGTGCTGAGGTCTGGGTGCTGAGAGGTCTGGGTGCTGAGAGGTCTGGGTGCTGAGAAGTCTGTGTGCTGAGAGGTCTGGGTACTGTGGTCTGGGTGCTGAGGTCTGTGTTCTGAGAGGTCTGTATGCTGAGAGGTCTAGGTGCTGAGGTCTGTGTGTCTGTGTGCTGAGAGGTCTGTGTGCTGAGAGTGTGGGTGCTGAGGTGTGGGTGCTGAGGTCTGTGTGCTGAGAGGTCCGTGTGCTGAGAGGTCTGTTTTCCGAGAGGTCTGGGTGCTGAGGTCTGGGTGCTGAGAGGTCTGTGTTCTCAGAGATTTGGGTGCTAAGAGGCCTGGGTGCTGAGAGGTCTGTGTGCTGAGAGGTCTGTGTGCTGAGAGGTCTGGGTGCCGAGGTCTGGGTGCTGAGAGGTCTGGGTGCTGAGGCCTGGGTGCTGAGAGGTCTGGGTGCTGAGGTCTGGGTGCTGAGAGGTCTGTGTGCTGAGAGGTCTGTGTGCCGAGGTCTGGGTACCGAGGTCTGGGTGCTGAGAGGTCTGGGTGCTGAGAGATCTGGGTGCTGAGAGATCTGGGTGACTAGACCTGGGTGTGGATCTTCCTGCCCCTGTCTTAGACTTCCTGCCCCATCCGTCCTGTCCCACTAACCTGACAAGGCCTGGGCAGAAGTGTGTGTCCTTGTGGGTCAACCTATGTTACCATGAGGAGGCAAGAGAAGGCAAAAGCTTGCCAGCATGTGTCATGTCTGGGGAAGAAGTGAGCTCAGCATGTGTCATGTCTGGGGAAGGAGTGAGCTCAGCGTGTGTCGTGTCTTGGGGGGGGGACCGTGAGCCCGGCGTTGTGTCGTGTCTGGGGGGGGGATCGTGAGCCCGGCGTGTGTCGTGTCTGGGGGGGGACCGTGAGCTCGTCGTGTGTCGTGTCTGGGAGGGACCGTGAGCTCAGTGTGTGTCGTGTCTGGGGGGGGACCGTGAGCTCCGGGCCCTGGGCCTGGGGGTTTGTGTTGCCAGAGGGTGACATTCACGGAGAAGGGGCTGTGACTGTGTCTGAATGGGCATAGCTGAGTGTTGCCCTGAAAAAGTCTCCCTGCGTTTTCCGATGGCCACACCAGGAGGCAGAGCACCCCACCAGGTGGGGGTCGGGCACCCCTCCCCTCGGCACCGGCCTCCCTGGACTGCGTGGAGACCCCTCCACCCCTCGGGGCAGAGCACCCACCGTCAGCACCGCAGAGCCCCTGCCTACCTGGGGGACACTCATTGAAGGGCACAGCAAGAAGCTGAACTGACCCAAGCCTGCGGCCCGAGTGCCAATCTGACTTAAATACAGGTTTGGAAGTCGGCTGCTGCCTGCAGTCTGGGTGTCTGGCGGCCAGGCTGCCTTCCCCCGTCGTCCCCATGAGGTCCAGGTCCTGATCGTGCTTCCAAAAGGTGCTGGAGTGTTTGGCTGTCCTCGGTCGAATATCCAGGAGGGAAAATTCATTTGTGTCACGTTAGAGAATAGGAGAAGTTTGGGCTGCCCCAGCTACAGAAGTCACCCCAGGAACACCAGCCCTAACCCTTACTGTGGACCCCAAAACCCCAGATCCTCTCAGGGACAACCCTGGGCTCCGTGGCACCCAGCCCTTCACACTCCTGGCACGCACCCCTAAATTGCTTGTCCAGTTAAGAAGCAGTCGCCCTCCGCGTGGGGCCTGGTGACCCGTGTCCGAGCGTCCGGTTAAGAAGCAGTCGCCCTCCGCGTGGGGCCTGGTGACCCGTGTCCAAGCGTCCGGTTAAGAAGCAGTCGCCCTCTGCATGGGGCCTGGTGACCCGTGTCCGAGCGTTGCAGCTGCTGCTGACTGACCGAAGGTCTTTTTCGGAAGCGATTCAGTTGTGTGGGTGAAGAGCCAAGAAAAGGTGGTTCTCACTCCTGTCCTAAGAGAATATTTCAAAGCATGAGAATTGGCGTGTTGGTGACGTAACAAAACCGGAAGCCAGGGTGCTTCCAAGCGTCCAGCTGGGGGCTGGTGAAGGACGTCACCTTTTGTCCACTTGATTGATGGGATGTGAGAACCGTAAAATGATGGTGATTCCCGTGAGAAGATGCTCAGCCTCACTTTAATTAAATAAATACATGCTGAATCCCAGACAGTGCAAGTCCCAGCCCAGCTCAAGCCTCAGACGAGCCAAATCACTGGCTGACCATCCCAGGCCAGCTGCTGAGGGACGGCAGTGGGACCGTAACTCAGTGCTCCCTGGAGAGCACGTGGGTGCGAGCGCTTCAGTGCTGTTTGTCAGGACACGAGTTCTTGAGAACTAGGAGTCGGTGTTACTGACAGAATGTGAGCTCTCTGATGGGATGTGTGCGGGAGGCTGAGTCCAGCCACCACACGGGTCGGCTTCCACAGGGTTTCCCGCACGCACTGTGCTGTCCCAGGTGCAGGGGTGGGGATGCAGGAGCCGTGAGCACCCCTACACACAGCCCTGCAGACACTGGGGAGACCCCGAGCCAGAGTCCAGCTGGGACAGCCTCCCGGGTCTCCTGGATACCTCGGAGAATGAGGGAAGCCCAGGGTGCTGGTTGCTTTCAGTGCCCGCCCCGCGCTGAGTCTCCTGCCCCTGGGCTGCGACCTGCACAGGGGCAGTAGCTCCCTGTGGGGAGGGCTCGGCTCAGGGACCACGGAAACGCCTGGTCTGCTGCACACGGCGGGTGCGGAAGAAATAGGAAGCCTCAGTTATGTATGAGCAGGACATGCCCGTGCGTCCCCAGCAGTGCTCAGGACCTGAGAACCCGGCTTTGTCAGTGTGTGCTTGGCTCTGGGCTGCCTGGACTGGGAGCAGTTGTTGAGTCTGAGCCCACAGGGGACGCACTGGCCCACAGATGTGCTGGGACGGCCCTGGGGACCGGAAGGTGGACACCTGGACCCGCCCTGTGCTGTCCAAGCAGGCTCTGTCCTCTGCCTTCTCACGTGGGATCGTTCACTCCATTGCTGGGCCTTTCCCAGGAGAGAAAATCCGTTCTATCCCAAACCCACAGCATCTTCGTGGCCAGGCGTTAGGGTGATTTGCTCAACTGTTTATCTTGCCTGTGGCCACAGAGGTTACAAACCAAATCCTAAACATCTGTGGCCCCCAAAGTTATCCTGGATTCTCTGACCCTCAAAAAGTACATTCTAAACCCAAACACACCCACTGCACCCCCAACCTCGCCATCTTTCCTAGGAGAGGTCACCAGTGGTCACGACCTGCAGACACCTCAGCCGCCGCCACCACCACGCGGGACGGCCCGCAGCCGTGGCATGGATGTTTTAATCCAGGCTGTAGGGACACACACGGGTCTGAGGTCAGAGCTGGAGTGGGAGTTGCCACCCGTTCCCAGCTGGTGGAGGCTCAGCCAGGCAGGACCTCCCACCTCTGGGCCCCCAGCCACCTGGGGGTGGGCACCGCTCGTGCTCCCCATTGCCCTCATGGGACCTCCAGTGAGTCTGTGGCCTTCGGGAGTTTAGGCTGTGGACAGCTACTGGAGGAGGCCGAGCGACCTCTCTTCTCCCCACCGTCTGCTCCCAGACGAAGCCCCCCACGTCGAAGGCGCCCTGTGAACATACAGACGGGATCACGAGCTTCAGCTGCCGTGGGCCCTAATGGCTGCGGAATAATCGGCAGGGAGCGGTGTCTTCTGTCGTCTCTGACAGTGACAGGGCTTGATGATTGCAATGACGTGGTGTGGTTTTGGGGTCCCGTGGGCTCTCCATGGTCAGGATTGCACCAGTGTTGGCTTCCTGCTGGTGGATGTGGCCTGGTGACGCCCACCGTGAGGATCCAGAGGCTTTGGAGGGATGGGTGGTGGCAGTTTCCGTGCCCCCAGAGCTGCGCGCTCCCTCTGCGCTGGGCGGCTGCTGTGTGGCCTGGATGGTGTGAGCACCCACGGGCTGGCTGGAGGCCAGGACAGACTGTGCATCTGCTCACTGGAGACCTGCCCGCTGTTGGAGGTTTCTGGCTGGAGGTTGTTTTTCAAAATCCATTGCTTCCTTGTACATTCAGGCTGATTTTTGGCTCTGTGAATTGATTTTTTCTTTTAAACTCACATGATTAAATTGAGACCAGTATAATTAGTTATAGATTTCATGACTGGGATTTGAAGCATTGAATTCACTGAGAACATTTTTGCAACAGCTTTAAAAGCTGGTAGCCAAGTTTCTTCTGCACGTGGGCAGACGTCACAGACACCGAGTTGTGTCAGCTCACAGAGCGAGTTTTGTGGATGCCGAGTTGTGTTGATCAGGGTTCTCCAGAGGTGCAGGATGAAAGGGTGTGGCTGATTGGCAGGCGTCAGCTCACCCGGTCCTGGAGGCTGGAGGCCCCACGCTGCAGTCAGCACACCTGAGACCAGCAGAGCCTGGGTCTGAGTTCCAATCCAAAGACCAGCACCGAGAGACCAGAGCTGTGGTTTCCGTCGAGCCTGAGGCAGGAGGAAGGTCCTAGCCTGTGGCCAGGCAGGAGGAGTCCCTTGCACTGGGGAGGGTCAGCCTTCGTGTCAGGCACAGGCCTCCGGGGTCCGCCGTGAGGGTGTTCTGTCCACCTGCACCTGCGTGAGGCTAAGCCTTATGAGCTGACAAATCGCACCTCCCGCCTCCTGGCAGCGCAAAACGTGCTTGCGTCTGTCGCAGCCTGTCCTGTGGGGGACCCTTGGAGCCCTGAACGGCCTCATGGCAAGGATGGACATAGGGTGTGGACAGGACGTGGGGTGTGGCCTGTCCCTACAGCCGCAGGCAGAGTTGTCCTGGACCTGAGCACCAGCTGGCAGGTTCTGCGTTCAGAGCTGATTTCTTCAGAAAGAGCAGGCAGTGGGGCTCCTAGGGCAGCTGCTCTGGGCCATGGCCCCTTCCCATCCATGTGGTATAACAAGGGCTGTATTAGGGCCACAACAGATCCAAACTTGAGAATCTCGGGGGACGTCAGGCGGGGCTGACGTCTTGCGGCAGCAAGTCGAGTGGGCGGTGCAGGACCAGCCGGTGGCCCCCCGCGTCTGGGAGGCTCCCACACCACCAGTCTCCACCCAGGGGCAGTAGAGGGAGGGGAAGGCGGCCCCCTATGACGCCTTGGCAGAGCCTCTGCGTCCGTCTGCGTCCCGTTGGCCTGGACGTCTGCGGTGCAGAGGGGCCGGCATCACATCCTAACCCAGAGGCCACAGGCCTGAGCAAAGCTGCGGCTGCTCTTTACCAGGGAGGCAGGTGCCAGTCAGCAGCGTCTGCCACTGCGACATTGGCAGCAAATTCCTGCCAGCACCGAGTGAGGACCCGCAGCAGATGTGTCACCAGGGCCAGCTGCTCTGGGGCCGCACAATGCCACCGGACCAAGCTCTGGGAGGCGGGCAGGGCCCAGTGATGGCAACGCTCCTGCACGTGCGGCCGGCCGCACACCCCTCAGCCCTTGGCACCCCTGTGGAGGGATCAGAGACCCTGCAGAGGCTCGTGGAGGCCTGCAAACGGCAGGGCCTGGAAACTCCATGGGCAGGGGAGGAAGATAACAGGCTGCATTCTCTGCTCTGCTTCCTGCACAGATTTGATGGGGAAAACATCGAAGATTTGTGTTTTGGATTTTCACTTTAGTCTGGCAAAAAAAAAAAAAAAGCTAAAATCCCTGATATAAAAGCTTCAAAGCTTCAGTTTTTTTTTTTTTTTTTTTTTTTGAGATGGAGTCTCACTCTGTCACCAAGGCTGGAGTGCAATGGCGCAATCACAGCTTACTGCAATCTCCACCTCCCGGGTTCAAGTGATTCTCCTGCCTCAGCCTCCCGAGTAGCTGGGATTACAGATGCACCACCACGCCCAGCTAATTTTTGTGTATTTTTAGTAGAGACGGGTTTCACCATGTTGGCCAGGCTGGCCTTGAACTCCTGACCTCAGGTGATACACGCACCTTGGCCTCCCAAAGTGCTGGGATTACAGGCGGAGGCACCGCGCCCGGCCAATTCTTTTTCCATAAAATCCCTCCCAGGTCTCCGGTCTCTCTTCTTGCTGCAGTACGAGGCGCAGTTGCGGGCTGGCTTAGTTCTCAGACTCTGAGTGTGACTGGCGCTCCCATCCAGCTCTGGCTCTGACAGCGGCAGGGCTTGAAACATTCTCTCCATTCTGAGCCTGTTTCCTCACCAAACAAATGCAGATTCTTCAAAGCTGTTGAGATTAAGTTGAATAATTTACGTGCCTTGCTTTGGACAGTGCTCAGCACACAGAATCACACAGCGAGGTCTCTCTCCCCTTTTGCAAACGAGGGAAGCGAAGCCTCGTGTGGCCCCCTGTGTGGCGGCCGTGGGGAGGGTCTGTGGGGTGGGGACCGCCCCTCCGGGAGCCGGCGTGTGCTGTCCTCCTCTGATGACATAGCAGGAGTGGTCAGTGTGCAGAAATAGTGGGGAGGCTCACAAAAGGACCTGCTAGGAAGAAGCCAGGTAGCTCTGCCGGTTGGGCCTGGGGACAGGATGGGCAGCAGGGTGGGCCAGGGTGGTTTTGGAAAGACAGCACTCGGGCAGGAAAACAGGAATGAGAGTTCTTGCTTTGGGCCTCGGTCCCAGGCTTGAGGCCCTCTCGGGGGACCACCCTCTCCACCCAGCGTTTCTCGCCTCCTGTCCGTATCACTTGGGAGACTTCCCCTTTCTTCTTCGTGGACTTTGTTTTTTCCCAGGCTGTTGTTTTTCTCAGTTCTGTGCCCTGCAGGGGTCTCTGTGTGCTCCCCGCCTCCCCAGGCCTCCCCCACACTCCCGTTCCCTCTGTCACTCCCCGTGCTGGCCCACGGGTGCCGCTCCTGCCGGCCCCCCTCCCCCCCCCCCAGCCACCTCCTGTCAGTCTTCCCAGATCCTCTGCGTGGCCACCGGCCCCTCTGAGCACATCCAGCCTGCGCTTGGCCTGTATGCAGCTGTGAGGGGCGTCGGGGAGCCGGCCCTAGCTGTCCGGCCGTGAGCCCTGGACGGGAGCGTTTTCCTGGGAGCTGGCCCTAGCTGTCTGTTGGGGAGCCCTGGACGGGAGCGTTTTCCTGGGAGCCGGCACACCCCATGTCCTCAGTGTCTGTTCGCGGCATCTGAACTTTGCGATTTGGAAAGCAGGAGTCTGGGAGGAAAGCAGGGGAGGCCATGGAGCGGCCGCGGTTAGAGCTGGCAACAGTGTCCGCCTAGCTGCCTCACTGGGCCAGGAGGCGCCTGGGACTTGGCGGGGAGTGGATTTAGCCCAAAGAAGGCAGCAGCTGCGGTGTCCAGGTCCAGCCTGTGAGAGGCGCTGGCCTCGCTGCTGAGGGGACATCCTTGTCAGTGACATGCTCATGCTGAGGCCACTGAAGAGTCAGACACGTTTCGGGCCACTTCGGGCTTTGACGGGGTCATCCCGAGGACAGCTGCCTGCCCCAGAACCCAGTGGGAACAACTGATCCGGTTACAGCCTCAGGTCAAGCGTGGGGTCAAGAGGCCAGGCAGGCGCTGTCTCCTGACTGCCTCGGGAATCCTTGGCCCTCACATTCGGCCCTCACAGCGCCTCCCGCCTTTCCCCATCACAGGCTGAGGTAGGGATTCTGCTCCTGAACTGTGTTTTGTTGGCCGATTGAAGAAAAGCTGTACAGCCACCGCCATCAGCCACCTTCCTCTATGCCATCAGTCATAGAAAACTTAATAGAAAAACTATTCCAGTCACCCTAATAACAAAAATATGAAAGGCCTAGGAATAATCTCAGCAAGAGAGGTTCTGTGTCTATCAGGAGCAGCACCGTCACAGCGGAGGCGAAGAAAGGAGTGAACGGGGCACACCTGCCCCGAGGGGGGAGCCACTCCCCAAATTAACACACACACTTACTGCGCGTCAGTCAGAGTCCTAGTGGGTGTTTTGGACTCTCACAAAATAATCTTTAAAATCTAGAGAAATGTGTACGAAGATGTGACGGTGGATTCTGGAGAACAAAGAGAAAAGTGCAAAGCGGGGGGCCCACCCCAGAATTGATTCTCTCCTACTGCATAAGCTTCCCCTTGGGTTCAGATGGCAGCCGTCTGTCTGCGGGTCATTCTGAGGCTGGGTTTGGGCTTGGCATGCTCTGTCCTTGCCGCATCAACTGGGGTCTCCAAGGTGGAAGCTGGTGCATCTCCGCTCCCTCCTCTCCAGGAGGCCGGCCCAGGTGCGGTGGTGGGAGAGCTTCCAGGGGCACCGGGTCCCTTTCCAGGGCTCTGCCACGGTCACGTGTGCTCCTGCCCCGTTGGCCAGCGCAGGCCGGGACTTCAGGCTTCCCTCTTCCCCATCGCCATTCCTTCCTGTGGTAGGAGTGGGGGTTCCTGGAGGGTGTCAGGAGAGGGGCGTCTCCAGGTATGTGACAGGCCCTGAGGAGACTGATGAGGCTCAGAAAGCCACACCCCAGCGGGACAGCCTCTGCAGCAAAGCAGCTCCCCACCTTCTGCCCTGTGATCTCCCAGCCTCCATCTCACCCAGGGCTACCAGAGAAACTAGAATCTCTTCGCCAGGGTGGGTCATAGAAACCACAACCCCTTTTAAAGCTAGCCTGAGTTATCCCCCTAACTTCCCCACTCTTCTGTGTGAGGACTGGCCATGAGGAGATTGCCCTACGTTGTCTGATGGGGTCCTAAGACCCCCATTCCAGAGGGTCCTGCCCCATCATGGGAAGAAAGAGCACTGCCCAGAGCCCAAATCTGAACAGGCGGTCCTGGGGGCTCCTCTCAGTCCAACACCACGGAGCACAGGCGGCCCTGGGCGCTCCCCTTGGTCTAGCACCACCGAGCACACATTTCCATCTGCCAATCCCATTTCCACTCCAGCTTCACTGAACCTCCACATACAAAGAGATTGTTTCCCTAAATCTCAGGGTCTTCATGCCGAAGGCTCCTGTGTCAGTAAAACTCCCACTGTGAGTTTGTCATGTGTTTCTCCTGTCGGCCTTTGTTATGGGGTCGGCCGTGACCCTGACAATGGGGAAGAAAGAGATCACTCCCGTCCCACCCTACACGGTGGCACCACAGACCTTCCCGCCCTACACGGCAGCACCGCAGACCCTGGCACGGGGTTGGGGACAGCGGTCCTGAGTCGGGGAGGTGCAAGTCTGGCCAAGAGCAAGACTGTGGTGTTCACGGGGCCTCTGCCTGCTGGGGGGCCTGGGTCTCTGCTGCTGAACTTGCCCTGAGCCCCCATTAAGTGCAGAAAACCTTGAAGGGGGAGGCGGTTGTGAAGAGCAGTCGGACTGGCCTGCAGCCCACTCAGTGTCTGCCCCCGATCCCCAATGCCCAGCGCACTGATGCAGAGTTGGGATTGCTTCTTTCCTAAATCAAAATTCCTGTTGAGCCAGTAAGAACAGATTCTCCACTGCACCGATGTCCGGCACGCAGTCCCCAGGCGGGCACACTGCCCAGCAGCCCAGTGGCAGGAGCTCAGAGCTGACTTGCTTCTTGCCCAGGTCTGGGGTTGGTGCAGCGCCCGCAGCTCACGGGCCACAGCAGCGGAAGGTCTGCGGCATTTTGGACCTTGCTGTTGCCGGGGCAGTGGGTGTTGGCGCCACATCCAGGACCCATCTCCCGCCTGGTGCCGCTGCCATCACAGTGAAGCTGGACTGAAACCCACAGACAGGTCCAGCCCTGCCGGGCAGGCGTGATCAGGCTGACACTGCGGAAAAGCCCCACTAGGCAGGTATGATTGAGCTGGCGTCTCCGAAGGGCCCCAGCCAGGCAGGGATGATCGGGCTGGCGCTGTGGAAAGTTGCAAGCACACTGTGTGGGCACTTGGTGGGGCTGGGCTGGGTGCAGAGCACCTAATGGAGAGGAGTCACCTGCGGCGTGGCCACTGCTGTGGGCTGCAGTTCCCGGGAAACAGCAGTGGAAACCAGCGGCCCAGGGACAGGACAGGGGCTGCAGGTGCTGAGCCGTTGTTCGACCCAGTTGAATTCTAACTCGTGACTTGGAACGATTCTGTCCCGGGAAGGATGCCCTCTTCTGCATCCACAGGCAGTGGTGCCCTCTGCGAGCAGCTTGCTCACCTGTGTCTGTGACGCTGGTGCCCTGAGGGCAGGGCCAGCCCCCTCTCTCGGCACAGCTGGGTGAATCATCAACGACACCCTTGGCACCGTGAGCACTTGCACCTGCAGACCGCCTGGTCTCGCTCTTGGGCACCAGCCGTGCCAGGCCCGGGCCACCAACTCCGTGTCCTTCTTGCAGATGCCTCTCATGGTGTTTGGCACAGAACACCATGCTCAGAGGAAACCTCAGAATGTGCTGGGGTCAGGGGGCCCTGGGACGGCCAGGCTCATTTCAGCCAGGGGAGGGTGAGAGGACAGAATGCCGAGGGGAAGCTGTGCCGATTTTCTCCAGACACGAAGGCACAAAACGAGTTAACGCAGGGTGCGCAGGAAATCGAACTGACACGTCTGCTTCGGTGCAGATAATTCCAGGCGAGCACATTCTAGGCAAAGGCCTGTTGTGCTGTTTTGAAACAGTTTGTTCCCTTACATAGATTTAATATTCTGCTTTTCTGTCTTCATTTGACGCAAGAGGCCTTTTCTGTAGATGAGTGAAAAGAAAAAACCTCAATTCAGTTCAAAGTCAAACTGTTATGAATTCATAGTTAGTAAAATGAGTCAATAATTATTTTCTTTCAGGTACTTAGGGAGCGAAGGGTTAAAGTCTGCGGACAGAGTCGCTGCTGAGCAAATGACTGCTGGTGAGGCTGGGTCCCTCCAGCGGCTGGCTCCCGGCTCTCAGTGGCCGCGGCTGTTTGCCTGGTGGACAGGTTGGTGGAGGAGAGAAAGCTTCCAGGAGATACACAGGCAGCAGCCAAGGGATGCAGAAGGCTGAGGATTTGACTACACACTAAATAGACCTCAGACCCCAACAGGAAAATCGCGAGCTGCGGGGTCCCTGCATGCTGAGCCCTCCCTCGCCGTTGGGGACAAGTGCACCCAGCCTTCCCTGACCCCCTTGTTCTCACACCTCCGCCCCCCCCGAGAGTCACGGCACTCAGAATCAGCCTCGTTCCTGGCAGGCTGAAGCCGCAGAATCTTCTGTGCTCTGAATTGAGAACAGAGGCCCAGGAGCACCCACACTTGGCATCTCTGGAGCCTCGGTCGGGGTGACAAGTGCAGCTGCAGCCGTGGTTATTGGGGGAATGTGGCTCGGTCCTTCTGTTTACTGTCACTAGGGAATAAAAGGTTGATGCCAGGGCGGACACCATGTCAGCGGAGACCTCGCCTTCTGAGAAGGGCTCCCAGCCCACTTAGTTTTTCAAAGGCGGCTGGTCACGGTCCCTGTGCCTGCTCAGCCTGGCCCCACTCCATCCTCCACTGCCCTTGCCCACCGGGCTGCATGCCCATTCCGCCTGGCACCCAGGTTCCTGTGGCCACGTCCTGAGACTGTTGTCAGAACAGCTGTCCCCACACTGTCCGTCCCACGTTGCGGTTCCCGATGGCACCGGCGCTGCCGCGTGGTGTGAGCGTGCCAGGAAATGTGTAAATGCCTGGGAGGAAAAGCTGAACCCTCACTAGTCCCATTACACACAGAGCGCCACAGGAAGCGTTCTGAGACTGCCTTTCTGGTCTTTTCCTATTGACACACATTTTCTAGTTGAGACTTCAGTGTAGATCCTGCCTGGTGACTGGCTGCTTCACATGGCAGTGTGCAGAGGGCGCCTGATGCCCACGTGGCAGTGTGCGGAGGGCACCTGATGCCACGTGGCAGTGTGCGGAGGGCGCCTGATGCCCACGTGGCAGTGTGCGGAGGGCGCCTGATGCCCATGTGGCAGTGTGCGGAGGGCGCCTGATGCCACGTGGCAGTGTGCGGAGGGCGCCTGATGCCACGTGGCAGTGTGCGGAGGGCGCCTGATGCCCACGTGGCAGTGTGCGGAGGGCGCCTGATGCCACGTGGCAGTGTGCGGAGGGCGCCTGATGCCCCAAATCTTCCCCAAGGGCAGCCCTCCTCGCAGCTGTGCTGCATTCCTCCCCTTGGCAGTTCCGTAATTTATTCAGCCTGCTCTCCTTTCATACAGAACATTTAAGTTCCTGATTTTTTTTTCTAATAAAAATAATACTTAGACTTTTGATTAGGTAATGGATTGGCTACATCTTTTGACCTCCTCTGACTTCTTGAACCCAACTGAAATGATCGTAAAGGGAGAAAAGAGTGTAAATCCACATGGACGGTGCAGGCAGGAATGGATACAGTGACCGATGGGCGCTTTCCGCACGAAGGAAGATGGTGGCCGTGGCTGTGGAAGGTGACGGCTGTGTTGTGGAGCGAGACCTGTGGGAGATGCCGGCAGCCCACCATGGGCCGCTCTGGAGGCTTCTGTTATCCCAGCAACAATGGGAGAAACTGGGGCTGGAATGGGGACGACAATGGGTGGTGAGCTCAGCTCCTGCCTCCCCCGTCTTTGTACCAGCTCCTGGCCCCATGCCGCCTCCCTGGAGACCCGGATGTGGGGGTCAGGCTCCTGGAGGGTGGTAGCGTGCCAGGCTGCAGGAGTCATTGAGGGAGAACCTGCCCATAGACCCCTCCCTGCCTAGGATGGCTGCAGCCAGACCTCCAGCCCCCACAGGAGCCAAAGGACCTGTCTTTGGCAGAATTGGGCACCTCAAAGGGGAGAATGGCATTGGCTGGTGCACAGGGCCTGACGAAGGCCAGCACTGTCTGGACACTGGCAGTGAACCCAGTGGTTGGCAAGCCCCACCCAGGCCACAGGGCGTCCAAGCAGCAGTTTAGCGCCCCCGTCTCGAGGAAGTGAGGCACATTGGGAAAGAATGGAGCCTGAAAGGATAGACATGGGGCTTGGGGAAACACAGGAAACATCAGGAGTTATAATCAGGGACGCCAAGAGGGCAGAGCAGGGCTGTGTCCATGAAACAAGAACAAGACGCCATGAAAAAGGAACCGAGGGTGAAGAGGATCTCTCAGAAGTTAAAAATGGGATTACCCTACTCAAAAAAGAAGTAGTACACATTTAGGAAAGAAGATACCACTCAAAGACAAAGATGAAAAGGCAGGGGGAAGATGCACCGCTGGGAGGTTAATCCAGAAGTCCCGCTCTGGCCTACCAGGGTTCCAGAAAGGCGAGAATGAGAAAGGGTGTTATGGTTCAGAATTGGCTCAGAATTCAAGACACCGGACTTATCCCAACCAGTGCACGAATCCCCCAAGGCTGAATGGAAACGCACGCGTGTCAAGGCGTCTCATCCTGAAACTTCAGGGAAAAAAGAATATTCTAAAAGCTTCCATGGTGAGAGGGAAGAAACGAGGTCCCACCAAAGGCAGGACAGGAAGGGGCCCCCTGGGTCGTAGGCGGGTGGCACTAAGCAGTTCTGGAATGAAACCATAAAACTTCAGGAGAAACAAAACATTCTATGAGAAAAAAATGTAATTGTAGAGCACGACTTGGCTCAGCAATGAGCATGTTCACATTTTCTTAACACTGTGAACGCGCATGAGTTATCTTACCCCAAAAATGGGATGTAACAATGTCTGCAGAAAAGAGGTTACAGTTATGGTGGTTGAAGGTGGGGTGTGTGGGAGACCCAGATTCTCAACTCTACAAAGTCACCCAAAATGTGTAACATTAATATGCCAATAAATGGCCAGATCAGCATTTAGAAGTAGGGATAGTTACATGGGTTGGTTTTGAATATCACATGAGCCAAGATCGCGCCACTGCCCTCCAGCCTGGGTGACAGAGTGAGACTCTGTCTCAAAAAAAAAAAAAAAAAAAATTACATGTACAATTACTTTGATAAGACAAAAATTAACTTAAAAACATGCTCAGTCACCAAAATTCACTCAAGAAGAAATAAATAACATAATCCTATGGTAATTAAAAAAATTAAATTCATAGTTTAAAACCTTCCAGGAAGAAAATTCCAGGCCCAGGTAGTTTCACTGGTGAATCTAACAAAAATTTAAGGAATAAATAACACCAATTCTACATGGTCTCTTCCAGAAACATGTAAGAGGAGGGATCCCTTCCCAACTCATTCCAAGAGGCCAATACTCCTCTGATACCAAACCAGAGACATGACAAGAAAAGTAAAAACAAAGACCAGTGTCTCCCATGAACTCATGCGAAACTCCTCAACAAAACATCAGTAAATCGGGGTTGGTAAAGACATAAAAAGCACAGCACATCACGGCCAACTGAGGTTTTTCTCAGGAAAGCAAGCTTGGTTCGATACTCAAAACCAACCCATGTAATTCACAATATTAATGCACCAAAGAAAAAATGCCAGCTGTTCATCTCAACAGATGTAGAAAAAGCGTTTGACTAAATTCAGTATCCATTCATGATTTTTAAAACAGCACTTTCAGCAATTTAGGAATAGAAGGGAATTTCCTTTTCCTGATAGAGAACATCTACCAAAAAAACCCTACAGCTAACAACATACATAGCAAAAGACTGAATGTTTTCCCGTTAAGATTGGGACCAACCCAAGGATGCCTGCTCCCCACTCCTCTTCAGCACCTGTTGGCAGTCCTAGAGAGAGCAGTGAAGCAAGGAAAGTAGACGTCGTACTATTGGAAAGCAAGAGAATAGAACTGCATATGTAGAAACACGCTGTCCAATTGGAAAGCAAGAGAATAGAACTGCCTATGTAGAAACACACCATATGATTGGAAAGCAAGAGAATAGGACTGCCTATGTAGAAACACGCCGTACGATTGGAAAGCAAGAGAATAGGACTGCCTATGTAGAAACACGCCGTACGATTGGAAAGCAAGAGAACAGGACTGCCTATGTAGAAACACGCCGTATGATTGGAAAGCAAGAGAACAGAACTGCCTATGTAGAAATTCCCAGGAAACCCACAACAAAGCTTAAGAAAATTAAGGGAGTTGCTAGCAGTGAACTATTGGAATTCAAATTTTTTAAAGTTCATTAATAGCACCAAAAACCATGAATTGCTTACATGCAAGTCTCACAGCCTAGGTCCAGGATCCATCTACGTGCTGATAATTACAGCTAAATACAGCTGATAATTACTGATAAAGACTGAAATCAACGAAGGCCTGCAGTGCTCACGCGCTGAAGACTCGGTGTGACTAAGATGTCCACCCTCCCCATAGTCCATCTCCAGATTCAGTGAAATCCCATTCAGAATCCCATTTTCTGCAATATTTACAAGCTGATTGTAACATCTTTATGGAAAGGCCTAGGAACCGTTTTGAAAAAGCAGCAGTTGGAACTGACACTGCCTGCTTTCACGATTTGTTCTGAAGCCACAGCAGGACAGTGTGGGGAAAGGACAGGCGTGGGGTCGTGGACACAGTCCAGGAATAGAACCACATGAATGGGGCCAGCCGGCGTTTGGCAAAGTGAAAAGGCCGGGCACGGAGAAAGAATCGTCTTTTCAACAAATGGGGCTACAACAACTGAACTCCCATATTTTAAAAAAACACAACCCATGCCTTACGTTTTATACAAAAATTCAACTCAAGGTGGACCGTGGCCCTAAACATATAACATTTAAAACTATAAACTTGTAGAAGAAAACATAGAGGTGGCCTTGCCAATGGAGAGTAAGGAAGGAGTTCCCAGACGTGGCGTCAGATACGCGATTCATGAAATATGAAAATGGATAGGCTTCACTTCATTAGAATCTAAAACTCCTGGCCTAGTTGGGGTCTCAGGCCTGTAACCCTAACACTGAGAGGCCGAGGTGGGAAGATCACTTCAGCCCAGGAGTTCACGACCAGCCTGGGCAATATAGCAAGACCCTCATCTCTATTAAAAAAATTCTTTTGACTTTTGTCCACAAAAGACTGTTAAGAGAATGAAAAAACAAGCCTCAGACTGGGAGAAAATATTTGTAAATCACATATCTAACAAAGGACTTGTAATTAAGCTATATAAAGAACTGTATAAACTCAACTGTAAGAAAATAACCTGATTTTAAAAGGGACAAAGTTTTGAACAGACACTTCACCAAAGAAGACACGCCTATGGCAAATACAGCGCTGAACTGTTATTAGGGAAATACAGAGTTAAGCCACAGGAGCTGTCACTCACATGTTAGAAGGGCCCTGATCTAAAAACCAGCCGAGAGCAGCAAGCTCAAAGGAGGGTGCGCGGCCGGCAAGGCTCAGGACCTGCAGGCCATGGAGTGGCGAGGCTGCCATGGAGTGGCGAGGCTGCCGTGGAGCGCGGAGGCCGGGTACACCTGCGCGTGGAGCGCGGAGGCCGGGTACACCTGCGCGTGGAGCGCGGAGGCCGGGTACACCTGCGCGTGGAGCGCGGAGGCCGGGTACACCTGCGCGTGGAGCGCGGAGGCCGGGTACATCTGCGCGTGGCACGCGGAGGCCGGGTACACCTGCGCTCATCGCACACCAGCGCCCACGCCCAGGACGTACTCGCGGGAAGGACAGCGTGTGTCACGTACAGAGCGAGTGTTCAGCCGGCTTTATTCAGCACGGCCTAGCCCGGAAGCAGCCGACACGGACCGCGACGGCCGGTGCCAGATCAATCCCGGTGCATCCACGGTGCGCGGTGAAAAGCAGCAAAGGGTGGGTGCCCGGGACAGCACGAATGGGCTCGCAGGGCCTGACGCGGGAGAGGCCAGGCCAGGAAGCCACGCTGCGATCCCGTCTATGGGATACCTGGGAAAGCCAGGGGTTGGGGGCCAAGACTGGGTGGGCGGGGTCCGGCTGTGAGGCAGGGAACGGCGGGGGGAAGCTGGGGGAGCTGTCCTGCGTCTTTGCGCTGCGTTTTCGCGGTAGTGGTGGTTCCAGGACCGTGATTTGTCCAGACCCATAAAGCTGAGCTCTGATGAGCGAGCAGGTCCTTTTGCATAAATCTTTGGGCTCATTTCTGACGTTCCCTGACAACTCCCCAAAATAGAATTTCTAGGTCAAAGTGCACACAGTCTTTGAAGGCTTTTAAAATATATTAGTGCAGAGTTTTACGAGTTTATACCCTGCCCCGCCTGGACCACCCTGGGCCCCAGAACCTTGGCTGTGGCCGTGACCCAGGGGACACTTGTCTGGTGGGGACAGGGCTGAATTTGTGTGGCTGCTTGGGGACCAACTCAGCAGCTTCTAGTGAACGATGAGGAGGGGCCTGTCTGGCAAAGGTGAAGACATGTCTGTCTGGTAAAGGTGAGGATGTGCTTATATGTCTTAGAAGCCAGCTGTTCCACTTCCAGGTACCCTGGGTAAACGCTGGCCGGTGAGCACACAGCGTTCCCAGCAGGCATGTTTTCGTTTTTGCTTTGGTGATAGTGGATGATGCCGTTTACAGGGCCCGTCATGGCGGCTGCAGCCCCTTCTGCCATTTAGCACAGACTTGCACCGGCGTCCCCACCGGCACGTCCACGAGGGCTCCATGCAGCCCGGCCCACTGACCCCCAACTCGGGTGTGCCTGGGTGGGGACCGTCCCCCGCCCCCGTCTAGCCAGTCCCCACGTCCTGACGTTTCTATCCCAACCCCCGCCCTGCCATCTTTTCTTCTCCCAGTGCCTCCCGGAGGCTGGGCCCTCTTCTCCCACCAGCCTCCCGCCTGCAATTTCCGTGGCACAGGCCGACCTCTCTCTGCCAGCACGAAGCCAGAGCTCAGCTCCCCAGCACAGCACAGAAGCTGCAGGGGCTCCGTCCCCATGCCCCTCCCCATGCCCCATGTCCCTGTTCTCAGCCCTCCTCCCGCCCCTCCCTGTGGGCCCCACACCTGCACCCCCAAGAGAATTCGCCCCATCTAGGTCCCACCTAATGACACACACTCCCGTTCTCAGTCCTTCAAGGAGGCCCCCAGCTCTGCAGCCCCCACCACTGCTGGATTCCCGTCCTCCGGTGAGGGCGCCTCTGCTCAACCCCGGCCTGGCAGGGACTGGCTGGTTCCCTTCCTTGGTTCCCCCAGTGGGATGGAGCCCCGGCCACTGGGTCCCCGGGGGAGAGCCAGGCTGTGATGTCCCGATGCAGTGGAGGAGCAGGGCTGGGTCTGGGCCTGGGCCTGGGCGTGGCAGCTCCCCAGGCCCACGGGGCAGGAATTCTAGATTCTGGGATTCCTTTCATCGTTGCTTTTTGTGTTTTCTACCTAGAGCGGAGAAATGTTTGTGGTTTCCAAAGAGACCGGACACGCCCAAGGCCCACAGACACGTGGCTTCGTGATGGGGAGCCACGGGGGCAGGGGTCCGCCCGGCTCTGTGTTCCTCGGGGGGGCTCATCCTGGGGCCCAGGAACTCGGGAGCGGTTTACCCACAGGTTCCTGTGCGTGGGAGCAAACTTGCTTTTCCCATTCACAGAAACACAGTAGCGTGCGCGGGTCGGTGATGCAGCCAAGACACCATCCCTGAAACTGTGATAATGAGAGCGTCCTGACACCAGGGCTGGGAAGCCCACACTGATCTCTGAGTGTGCGGTCCACTTTCCCTCCCCAAAGAAGCGCTTGCCCAACTCTCGGGGTGCTTGCTCACACCCCTCACAGTCCCCATCCCTTGAACCTGAGACCACAGACCCCACCCTGACAGTAGAGGGCAGAAGCTGCCAGGAGAGCCTGCTCAGAGCACAGAACATCGTGGAGCAGCCCAGGGCTGTGGAGCAGAGTCTGAAGGTGCCCGCCCAGCCAGGGCACGCAGGAGCCGGCCCTGGCACCCCACAGAAAACCCTGAATGTCTGTTAAAAAGCACAAAAAAAGCCAAACAATCTAGAGGGCGGTGGCTGTGCGGGCCTCAAAGCTGGGTGAGCCAGGCTGAACGTAGACTTTTTTTCTGACCTGATTTTTGGCCAAGTAGACCAGGTGCATCAAATCTGATCAATCAGGGTCTGTTTTCTGGGCTGAAAGTTCCGGAAACGTGCCCGCCGACCATCCCACCTGTGGTTCCGCGGGTGGTCTCTTTCTAACCACGGGCAGACCCGGTCCAGGTGGTTTCTGGCTCTGTGGCTGCAGCTGCACTGGGTCCCTCCTTGTTGTGGGCAGGGCGGCGCTCAGAACACACACTCAGCCCGGGCGCTCCTGCCCCACCGGTCCCTATGCCCGGCCAGGGACACAGGATTCCTCAGAAGGGCTTGCGTGGAAGGCAGCATCCACCAGTGGTTAGGACAGTGCCCTGGGGCCAGCCTGGCTTCAGTCCTGGGTGTGCAACCCAGTGACCTGCCCAGGGGACATGGGATGGGGACACACCGGGGACACGAGGGAGATGCCTGTGGGGACACAGGGACAGGAACATGGGGACACAGGACAGGGAGATGGGGATGGGAACATAGGGACGTGGGGACGGGGACATGGGGACACGGGACAGGGAGATGGGGATGGGAACATAGGGACGTGGGGACGGGGACATGGGGACACGGGACAGGGAGATGGGGATGGGAACATGGGACGTGGGGACAGGGACATGGGGACACGGGACAGGGAGATGGGGATGGGAACATAGGGACGTGGGGACAGGAACATGGGGACACAAGACAGGGAGATGGGGATGGGAACATAGGGACGTGGGGACGGGGACATGGGGACACGGGACAGGGAGATGGGGATGGGAACATAGGGACGTGGGGACGGGGACATGGGGACACGGGACAGGGAGATGGGGATGGGAACATAGGGACGTGGGGACGGGGACATGGGGACACGGGACAGGGAGATGGGGATGGGAACATAGGGACGTGGGGACGGGGACATGGGGACACGGGACAGGGAGATGGGGATGGGAACATAGGGACGTGGGGACGGGGACATGGGGACACGGGACAGGGAGATGGGGATGGGAACATAGGGACGTGGGGACGGGGACATGGGGACACGGGACAGGGAGATGGGGATGGGAACATAGGGACGTGGGGACGGGGACATGGGGACACGGGACAGGGAGATGGGGATGGGAACATAGGGACGTGGGGACAGGGACACGGGACAGGGAGATGGGGATGGGAACATAGGGACGTGGGGACGGGGACATGGGGACACGGGACAGGGAGATGGGGATGGGAACATAGGGACGTGGGGACGGGGACATGGGGACACGGGACAGGGAGATGGGGATGGGAACATAGGGACGTGGGGACGGGGACATGGGGACACGGGACAGGGAGATGGGGATGGGAACATAGGGACGTGGGGACAGGGACATGGGGACACAAGACAGGGAGATGGGGATGGGAACATAGGGACGTGGGGACAGGGACACGGGACAGGGAGATGGGGATGGGAACATAGGGACGTGGGGACGGGGACATGGGGACACGGGACAGGGAGATGGGGATGGGAACATAGGGACGTGGGGACGGGGACATGGGGACACGGGACAGGGAGATGGGGATGGGAACATAGGGACGTGGGGACGGGGACATGGGGACACGGGACAGGGAGATGGGGATGGGAACATAGGGACGTGGGGACAGGGACATGGGGACACAAGACAGGGAGATGGGGATGGGAACATAGGGACGTGGGGACAGGGACATGGGGACACGGGACAGGGAGATGGGGATGGGAACATAGGGACGTGGGGACAGGGACATGGGGACACGGGACAGGGACATAGGGCCATAGGGACAGGGACATGGGGGCATGAGAGATGCCTAGGGACACGGACAGGGACACGGGGACAGAGGGACAAGGACACAGGGAGGGACACAGGACAGATGGGGACAGGGACACGGGGATATAGGGTCACAGGGACAGGGACACAGGGAGGGGACATGAGGGAGATGCCTGTGAGGACATGGGGACAGGACACAGGGACGGAAATGCTGAGACAGCAGAGGCGGAGGCCGCCCTGGGCCAGAGGCCACGGGACTGTTTCCAGGACACACTGGGCTCAGAGCCACGGGGCTGCCTTGGGGCCGACCTGTGCTGAGATGCCCTGTGCTGCTTCCTCTCAGCAGGTGTTTCAAGGTTCACGGGTCTTGAGCTCCGGCCTGAATTTGCCAACTCCTGGTCACTGCCTCACAGAGACAGACGTGGGAGGGAGGACTCAGCCTGGGCACCTCCTGAGCTGAGAACTTTCTAACCACCCCCCAGCTGGGCGCATCAGGGTTTCAAACCCGCATCCAGCTTCCCAGGGGCTCACACACCGTGGATGCCCAAGCCTGGCGTCCCGAGGGCTCACAGCCCCAGTGGTTCAGAGCGCCTAGGCCCCTGAGCTCTGGCCACGAGCCTCCTGCACCCGGACACGTTGCCAGGTGGGAGGGGCTCTGCAGGGGCTCCCTCGGGCACAGATCGGGGCTCGGGGGGTGGCTCCCCCACTTTTCCCAGGGCCTGTGAAGTTCGGGAATGGACTGGAGCCAGGGATCCACGCAGCAGCCCACCCGCCTTGAATGTCGATCAAGACTTCACTGTGGTCTGTGGTCAGAGAAGGCTGCAGAGGGAGGCGAATGGGGAGTGGATGTCTGACGAGGCCACCGTCTCGGGCTCACAGGGTAATAGCCTTGGAGACAGATGGTGAAGGCCACACAACATTCTGAATGCATTTAACACCCTTTAAAACGGTTCAGATGGTGTCTTGTTACATGTATTTTACCACAGTTTTTAAAATGCTAGGACAAAACCCACACCCCAGACCTAGGCCTCGAGGGTGGAGGAGGCCATGGGAAGCACCCAGACCTAGGCCTCAGGGGTGGAGGAGGCCATGGGGAGCACCCGCCAGGCCCAGATTCAGTCCCGTCCACGCGGTGGGGACCACGTTTGGGGTGGCACGCTGGGACCAGTCCACGGGGCTTCCACCAGCTGTGCCAACAGGCTGCAGACTCCTGAGAAGGTCCCCAGCCCACATCTGGGGCTGGGTCGGCCCTGAGGCTGCAGGGGGGCTGGGACAGCAGCATCCTCCTCATGAGGCCGCGGTGGGGCCGGGACGGCGGCGTCCTCCTCATGAGGCCGCGGTGGGGCCGGGACGGCGGCGTCCTCCTCATGAGGCCGCGGTGGGGCCGGGACGGCGGCGTCCTCCTCATGAGGCCGCGGTGGGGCCGGGACGGCGGCGTCCTCCTCATGAGGCCGCGGTGGGGCTGGGACGGCGGCGTCCTCCTCCTGAAGCCGCTGTGCGGTTCTCATTCCCGTTTCCCTGATGACCAGTGATGTCAAGCATCTTTTCATGTCCTTCCTGACAGTTGAGAGCTCTTCTTTGAGGAATGCCTCTTCAGACCTTTTGCCCAATTTTTTTTTTTTAGAGAGTCTCACTCTGTCGCCCAGGTGATCTCAGCTTACTGCAATCTCCACCTCCCAGGTTCAAGCAATTCTCGTGCCTCGGCCTCCCGAGTAGCTGGGATTACAGAAGTCCACCACCACGCCCAGCTATTTTTTTTTTGTATTTTCAGTGGAGACAGGTTTTCACCATGTTACTCAGGCTGGTCTCGAACTCCTGACCTCAAATGATCTGCCCACCTTGGCCTCCCAAAGTACTGGGATTACAAGCATGAGCCACCACGCTGGCCCTCCTTTGCCCAATTTTAAATTGGGTTGTCTTTTTATTATTGAGCTGTAAGAGTTTCTTATCTATCCTGGATGCAAGTCCCTTATCAAATATCTGATTTCCAAATACTTCCTTCCATTGTGTGGGTTGTCTGTTCACTTTCTTGCTGTTGTCCTTTGAGGCACAAAAGTTTTTAATTTTTATGAAGTTCAGTTTATCAATTTTTTGTGCTTTTGATGCCATATCTCATAGCCCTTGGCTAATCCTTTGTCGTGAAGATTTTACCCCAAGTCTCCTTCTAAAGTTCTGTAACTTTAGCACCCACATTTTGAGCTTTGGTCCATTTTTTCTTAATTTTTGCGTATGGTTCAGGTAAGCGCTCAGCTGGATTCCTTTGTGTGTGGACATCCAGGCACCCCAGTACCGCTTGATAACAAATTGTTCTTTCTCTATCAAATGGTCAAAATTTAGAGTTTCTTTCAACAGTGTTTTGTAGTTATCAAAGTGTAAGTTTTTTTGTTCTTTTGTTTTAGTTATTCTGATGCATTTCTTCCTTTTGATGCTGTTGTGAAGGGAATTACATTAATTGTTCATTGCGAGTGTATAGAGATAAAATGGATTGTTGTCGCATATTCTACAACCTTGTTGAACTCACTAGTTTGAATGGACGTTTTTAGTGGATTCCTAAGGATTTTCTATATACGAGGTCCTGTCATTTGTGAACCAACATGACATGACCTTCTCATTGGCCTAGTAGGCGTCTGTGCACATTCTGTTTAACCTGCCTGATCGTCCTGGCTGGAACATCCGGTACAGAGTCCACTGGAAGTGACGAGAACAGACGTTAGCGTCTCGTTCCTGAACGGAGGGAGCACGGAGTCTTTCGTTACCATGTGTGATGTTAGCTGTGGGGTTTCTATAGATGCCCTTTTTGCGGAGGTTTCCTGCTTGTTGAGTGTTTCTGTCATGAAAAGATGTTGTATTTTGTCAAAAGCTTTTTTTCTTCATCAGTTGACATGATTGTGTGATTTTTCTTTTCTATAATATGGATATGATGTATCACGTTAAGTGATTTTCAGATGTTAAGCCAGCCTTGCATCCTTGGGATAAATCCCACTCAGTCCTGATGTCTAATTCTTTTTCTACACTGCCGAATTCAGCTTGTTGATATTTTCTTGAATCTTTTAACATCGGTATTCACGTGTGGTTTTCTTGTGATACTTCATCTGGTTTTTGTATCAGGGTGATGTTGGCCTCATAGAATGAGCTGGGAACCATTCTCTCCACTTCTGTATTTTCATAATAGTTTGTGAGGAATTGGTATTAATTCCTTTTTTATGAATAAAATTTTTTTAATTGCTTAATAATCTCAGGTTTTATTTTAGGTTCAGTGGGTATGTGTGCAGCTCTGCTACCCGGACATATTGTGTGATGCTGAGGTTTGGGGTAGGATTGGTCCTGTCACCCAGGTACCAAGCACAGCACCCGACAGCACGTTTCCAGCCTTTGCCCCTTCCCCCTCCCCACTGGCAGTCTGCAGTGTCTGCTGTTGCCATCTTTATGTCCATGAGCACCCAACGTTTAGCTCGCACTTACGAGTGAGAACATGCTGTATTTGGTCTTCTGTTTCTGCGTTAATTTGCTTAGGATAATAGCCTCCAGCTGCAGAGGACAAGACATCGTTCTTTCTGTGGCTGTGGATATTCTCCTTTGACCCTTTGGCTGGATTCAGTGAAGCATCTGGCCCTGGGCTTTTCTTGTGGGTAGTTTGAGGGTTTCTGACTGAGTCTCTTCACTGATGATTAGTCTGTGCAGATTCTGTTCCTTCCTCGTTTCTGTAGTTTGTTTTTCTGTGAATGGATCCATTTTACCTGTTACCTACTGTGACGGCGCACGATTATTCACAGTGCTGCTTTATCACCCTTTTTATGTCTGTAAGAGCATGAATCACATCTCTGCTTTCACTTCTGATTCTAGTCAATGGAATTTTCTTTTTCTTCTGCTCAAACGAGCTAAAGATTTGTTGATTTTGTTGATCTTTTCCAAGAACCAGCCTTTGGTTTCATTGGTTTCTCTATGGGTTTTGTCTTCTGTTTCATTAATTCCTGCTCTCATCTTTGTTATTTCCTTCCCCCACCTGCTTTAAGTTTTATTTACTTTTGTTTTCCCAGTTGTCTTAGGGTGGAGTGTGAGCTTATTAATTTGAGATCTTTCTTCTTTCTTATAGGCATTGAAAGCTATAAATTTCCCTCTAAGCATTACTTTTTCTTTCTTTATTTTTTATTTTTTTTTCAAGACAGGGTCTCGCTCTGTCACCCAGGCTGGAGTACAGTGGCACCATCATGGCTTACTGAAGCCACAACCTTTTAGACTCAAGGGATCCTCCCATCTCAGCCCCCCAAGTAGCTGGGACTGCAGGCATGAACCACCACACCCAGCTAATTTTTGTATGTCTCGTAGAGATGGGGTTTCACCATGTTGCCCAGGCTGGTCTCCAACTCCTGAGCTTAAGTGATCCTCCTGCCTCGGCCTCCCAAAATGCTGGAGTTACAGGCATGAGCCACCACGCTGGCCCTCTAAGCATTACTTTAGCTGCACCATATAAGTTTGGATACGTTGTGTCTTCATTCTTACTCATCTCCAAGTCTGACTGCCTTCTGATTTCTTGGTTGGCCTCTTTGATTATCTAGGAATATGTTTAATTTCCACATATTTGTGAGGTTCCCAATTTTTCTCCTGTTATTAATTTCTAATATTCTATTGTGGATGGAGAGTATATTTGTATTATTTCTATCCTTTTAAATGTATTGAGGTTGGTTCTATGGCCTGGTATATGTCCTGTTCTGGAGTCTGTTCCGTGTGCACATTGAAAAAATGTATATTGAGTTGTCCGGTGCCATGTTCTACGGATGTCTGTGAGGTCCATTTGGCTTATGGTGGTGTTCACACCTTCTGTTTCCTTGACTCTCCTGTGTACTTGTTCTACCCATTATTGAAAGTGCAGTATTAATTAGCTGGGCACAGTGGTGCAAGCCTGTAGTCCCAGCTACTCAGGAGGCTGAGGCAGGAGAATCACTTGAACCTGGGAGGCAGAGGTTGCAGTGAGTCGAGATCGCAACACTGCACTCCAGCCTGGATGACAGAGCAAGACTCCGTCTAAAAAAAAAAAAAAAAAACAACACAGTGCGGTATTGAAGTCTCCAACTATTATTATGGAATGTCTCTTTCTCAATTTCTGTTTGTGTTCAGTTTTTGCTTCATTTACTTATTGCTGTATTATTGGTGCATACATTTTACTTGTTATATCTTCTTGATGGATTGACCTGTTGATCATTACATATTATCTCTAATAATATTTTTTGTTTTAACGTCTACTTTGTCTATTAGTACAGTCATTCCAGCTTTCCTGTGGTTGCTGTTTGGATGATATATCTTTTCCTATCTTGTTACATTGTATCTATTTCTGTATTTGAATCTAAAGTGTGTCTCCTGTAGACAACATATAGTTCAACTATTTTTTAAAACCCAGTCTGCCTTTTGATTGGGTTGTTCACTCCATTCACATCTAATGGTACAATTGATATAGTTGGGTCTGTGTCTGCTTTTAATTGGGTTGTTCAAGCCATTCATAACAATTGATATAGTTGGGTCTGTGGCCGCTTTTGACTGGGTTGTTCACTCCATTCACAGCTAATGTTACGATTGGTATAGTTGGGTCTGTGTCTGCTTTTGATGGGGTTGTTCACACCATTGATAACGATTTGATATAGTTGGGTCTGTGTCTGCTTTTGATTGGGTTGTTCACTCCATTCAAAATGATTGATATAGTTGGGTCTGTGTCTGCTTTTCATTGGGTTGTTCATGCCATTAATAACGATTGATATAGTTGGGTCTGTGTCTGCTTTTGATTGGGTTCTTCACTCCATTCACGTCTAATGTTACAATTGATATAGTTGGGTCTGTCTGCTTTTGATTGGGTTGTTCACTCCATTCACATCTAATGTTACGATTGATATAGTTGGGTCTGTGTCTGCTTTTGATTGGGTTGTTCACTCCATTCACATCTAATGTTACAATTGATATAGTTGGGTCTGTGTCTGCTTTTGATTGGGTTGTTCGCTCCATTCACATCTAATATTATGATTCATATAGTTGGGTCTCTGCTTTTAATTGGATTGTTCACGCCATTCACATCTAATGTTATGATTGATATAGTTGGCTCCGTGTCCGCTTTTGATTGGGTTCTTCACTCCATTCACATCTAATGGTACGATTGATATAGCTGGGTCTGTGTCTGCTTTGGATTGGGTTGTTCATGCCATTCATAACGATTGAGATAGTTGGGTCTGTGTCTGCTTTTGACTGGGTTGTTCACTCCATTCACATCTAATATTACGATTAATATCGTTGGGTCTGTGTCTGCTTTTGATTGGGTTCTTCATTGTTAACAATTCATATAGTTGGGTCTGTGTCTGCTTTTGATTGGGTTGTTCACTCCATTCATATCTAATGTTATGATCGATATAGTTGGGTCTGTGTCTGCTTTTGATTGCGTTCTTCACTCCATGCACATCTAATGGTTCGATTGATATAGCTGGGTCTGCGTCTCCTTTGATTGGGTTGTTCACTGCATTCACATGTAATTGATATAGCTGGATATGTGTCTGCTTTTTATTGGGTTGTTCACTCCATTCAAATCTAATGGTTCGATTGATATAGCTGGGTCTTGTGTCTGCTTTTGATTGGGTTGTTCACTCCATTCACATCTAATGGTACAATTGATATAGTTGGGTCTGTGTCTGCTTTTGATTGGGTTGTTCCCTCCGTTCATAACGATTGAAATAGTTGGGTCTGTGTCTGCCTTTGATTGGGTTGTTCATGCCATTAATAACGATATAGTTGGGTCTGTATCTGCTTTTGATTGGGTTCTTCACTCCATTCGCATCTAATGTTAACGATTAATATAGTTGGGTCTGTGTCTGCTTTTGATTGGGTTCTTCACTCCATTCACATCTAATGTTAACGATTAATATAGTTGGGTCTGTGTCTGCTTTTGATTGGTTTCTTCACTCCATTCACATCTAATGTTAACGATTAATATAGTTGGGTCCATGTCTGCTTTTGATTGGGTTGTTCACGCCATTCATAATGATTGATATAGCTGGGTCTGTGTCTCCTTTTGATTGGGTTGTTCACACCATTCACATCTAATGTTATGACTGATATAGTTGGGTCTGTGTCTGCTTTTGATTGAGTTCTTCACTCCATTCACATCTAATGGTTCAATTGATATAGCTGGGTCTGCGTCTCGTTCGATTAGGTTGTTCACTCCATTCACATCTAATGTTACGATTGATATAATTGGGTCTGTGTCTGCTTTTGATTGGGTTGTTCACTCCATTCATAACGATTGATATAGTTGGGTCTGTGTCTGCTTTTGATTGGGTTGTTCATGCCATTAATTACGATTGATATAGTCGGGTCTGTGTCTGCTTTTGATTGGGTTCTTCACTCCATTCACTTCTAATGTTACAATTGATATAGTTGGGTCTGTGTCTGCTTTTGATTGGGTTGTTCACTCCATTCATAACGATTGATATAGTTGGGTCTGTGTCTGCTTTTGATTGGGTTGTTCACTCCATTCACATCTAATGTTACGATTGATATAGTGGGGTCTGTGTTTGCTTTTGATTGGGTTGTTCACTCCATTCACATCTAATGTTACGATTGATATAGTGGGGTCTGTGTCTGCTTTTGATTGGGTTGTTCACTCCATTCACATCTAATGTTATGATTGATATAGTTGGGTCTGTGTCTGCTTTTGATTGGGTTGTTCACTCCATTCACATCTAATGTTACGATTGATATAGTGGGGTCTGTGTATGCTTTTGATTGGGTTGTTCACTCCATTCACATCTAATGGTACGATTGATATAGTTGGGTCTGTGTCTGCTTTTGATTGGGTTGTTCACTCCATTCACATCTAATGTTACGATTGATATAGTGGGGTCTCTGTCTGCTTTAGATTGGGTTGTTCACTCCATTCACATCTAGTGTTACGATTGATATAGTTAGGTCTCTGTCTGCTTTTGATTGGGTTGTTCACACCATTCATAATGATTGATATAGCTGCGTCTGTGTCTGCTTTTGATTGGGTTGTTCACTCCATTCACATCTAATGGTACAATTGATATAGTTGGGTCTGTGTCTGCTTTTGATTGGGTTGTTCACTCCATTCATAACGATTTATATAGTTGGGTCTGTGTCTGCTTTTGATTGGGTTGTTCATGCCGTTAGTAACGATTTATATAGTTGGGTCTGTTTCTGCTTTTGATTGGATTGTTCACTCCATTCACATTTAATGTTACAATTCATATAGTTGAGTCTGTGTCTGCTTTTGATTGGATTGTTCACTCCATTCATAATGATTGATATAGTTGGGTCTGTGTCTTCTTTTGATTGCATTGTTCACTCCATTCATAACGATTGATATAGTTGGGTCTGTGTCTGCCTTTGATTGGGTTGTTCATGCCATTAATAACGATTGATATAGTTGGGTTTGTGTCTGCTTTTGATTGTTCACTTCATTCACATCTAATGTTATGATTGATATAGTTGGGTCTGTGTCTGCTTTTGATCGGGTTCTTCATTCTTAACGATTGATATAGTTGAGTCTGTGTCTGCTATTGATTGGGTTGTTCACTCCATTCACATCTAATGTTACGATTGATATAGTTGAGTCTGTGTCTGCTTTTGATTGGGTTGTTCACTCCATTCCCATCTAATGTTATGATTTATATAGTTGGATCTGTGTCTGCTTTTCATTGGGTTGTTCACTCCATTCACATCTACTGTTTTGATTGATATAGTTGGGTCTGTGTCTGCCACATCTTATTTTCTGTTTCATGCACCTCACGGAGCACGTTGTTTCTGTATCCTTCCTTAACTGCTTTCTTTTGCATGGGGTGAATATTTTCTAATGGAGCATTTTAATTCCACTAATTAGATATATATATGTATTTTTTTTTGAGATGGAGTCTCACTGTGTTGCCCAGGTTGGAGTGCAGTGGCACAATCTCTGCTCACTGCAGCCTCCACATCCTGGGTTCAAGCAATTCTCCTGCCTCAGCTTCCCAAGTAGCTGGGATTATAGGCGCATGCCACCACACCCAGCTAATTTTTGTATTTTTAGTAGAGACAGGGTTTTGCCGTGTTGGCCAGGCTGGTGTAGAACCCCTGACCTCAGGTGATCCATCTGCCTTGGCCTCCCAAAGTGCTGGGATGACAGGCATGAGCCACCACACCCAGCCCACTAATGATATTTTAAAGTTTTTTTTTTTTTTAGTTCTTTCTTTTAGTGGTTGCTCTGGAGTTTACCACAAATAATCAGAACCTACTTCAGGTTTGTGCGTAATTCCAGTGAGATGGAGATATTATGCCTATAGAGCTGTATTCACTTTTCTCCCTTTTGGTGCGATTGTTGTAATACACATTGTTACAATTGTTGCTTTTGCTTCACTGTCATTTCCTTAGACCATTACACTTTTGCTCCCACACACCTCCTTTGTGCTTTTATTGGCAAATACATTGCACATATATTACATTTCTATATGATGCAAGCTTAATACGTTATATACATCTTATTTTTATACAGTTGCTGTTCAAATCCGTTAAAAAATTCATTTATAGTGTCTTTTCTAATTACATAATTACCTTTACTAACACTTTTTGTGTCGATCCAGATTATCATCTGGGTTCACTTGCTTTCAGCCTGAAGAACTTTCTTTAGTATTTCTTGTGAGGCAGGTCTGCTAGCAGTGAATTCTCTCTATTTTTGTTTACCTGGGAAAGTGTTTATTTTTTACTTTCATTTTTCAGCAGTAACTTTGCTGGATATAGGATTCTTGATTGGCAGGGTTTTTTTCCTTTGAGCACTTTGGATGTGCTATCCCACTGCCTTATGGCTTGCAGTGTTTCTGCTGGTAAGTCAGCCGTTTATTTGTGAACTTCCCTTGTAAGTGATCTTCATTTTGCTCTTGCTGCTTCAATACTTTTTCCTTGTCTTTGACCTTCGTTACTTGTATTATGATGTGTCCACCTGCGGGCCTCTGTGTTTATCCTGCTGGGAGTTCATTGAGCTTCCTGGATATGTAGGTTATTGTTTTTAAAAAATTGTTTTTTTTTTCAGCATTATCTCTCTGCATAGTTTTTCTTTTCCCTTCTCTCCTCTCCTTGGGTATTCCCATTATGCATATATTGGTGCATATAACGGTGTCCCACACTTCCTAAAGCGCTGTTTGGTTTATTCTTTTTCTCTCTATTCTTCAGCATAATTCCTGTCAAACTCTTCATGTTTACTAATTCTTTTCTCTGCCAGTTAAAATCTACTTTTAAGCTTTTCTAGTGATTTTTAAATTATTTTATTTCAATTATTGCACTTTTCAATTCCAGAATTTCCGTTTGGGTATTTTTTTAAATGTCCATCTCTTTACCAACAGCCTCTATTTGTGGCATGTTCATTTATGCGTCCTTTAGTTTTGTGAACATATTGATAGTGGCTGCTTTGAAATCTCATTCAGTTAAATTTGACATTTGGTCACTCTCACAGCAGTTTTTGTTGCTTTCTTCCTAATGTATGAGTCATACTTTCCTTCTTTTTCTTTTTCTTCCTTCCCTCCTCCTCCTCCACATACCCTGTCATTCTTTGTTAGAAACTGGACATTTTAGACAAGATATTCTAGCCCTTTTGGTAGTCCCCATCCTGGGCCTGTTATTCACTGGTTTAGTCTTTGGTGACTGGCTGGCTTACTGTTGTGATGCCTGTGTGCCCCTCTTCCTCCCCAGCAACAGTCTCGGTGTCGAAGCACCAGTGTGCCACCGTCACCCTGGGATGACAGGGCTTGGGGAGCAACCTCTTCTCTGTCTCACTGACCACACCCAGTAGTTAAACTCCTAGCAGCCAGCTGAAAGCTCTGTTATTCCTTTACAACCTGCTCATATCGCAGCTCCTTCTCATTGCTTTCTGAGAGTGCCTGACATTGCTCTGACCCCAGGAGGGCTCCTGCCAGCTGTCTTCTCCCCTCATTCCCCGGCACCTTAGCCAGCGTGCAGTCTAGGCTACGTGGTCAGCACACGCATGAATCCTAATTCCCTTCACCACCACCTCCAATAGCGTTGAGAGTGCCCTTCGGTGTAAACTTCTTCATGTTCCATTGCAAAGGAAGTCAGTTCCTTTGAGAAGAGATTACTTCCTTCATCTCCCTCCAGGCAGGAATCTCTGAGCCAGGGATTTGGGGGATGGGGACAGCTGCGAGCCTCAGTGTGAATGACACCCTCCCTCTCTAGGAGCTGAGAGCTTGATAGCACCCTGAGACCCCATTGGCCTCTCCTGGCCTGGAATCACTGCAGCAAGGGCAGTCAGGCCCTGCCTTCTCAGTGTGCCACACCCAAGGCCAGCCTCCCACCCACGAGAGTGGGGACTGGGCAGGAGGAGGGAGCCCCACCCCTCCACCGGACTCCCCAAGGACGTAGCCCCAGGAGCTGAGGGCGGAATGTGAGATGCTGATGTCAGCCCTTTCTAGGGAAGAAGCCCTCCTGACTGGGAGCTGTGGGTGGGGTGGAGGTGGGGGTGGGGGTCTGTGTTCGTGGCTGCAGCCATTCCACGTGGCGTCTCCCCCTGGCCAAGCTGAGAAGGAGGATGCAGTCTTGACACAGATACCACAAATGCTCACCTTTCTTCCAGAATTTTCACATATAAATAGATGTTTCTTCGTTTGCTGTTTGCTCTTAAGACCATTTCCCAAGGCTTTAAAAGGTCAGGGGTTTTAACATTATTTTCACCAGTTTCCTGGGTCAGCTAAGCGCATCCGCTCTCAAGCCCGAAGTGATCACCATGAAATCTTGCTGGTTTTCTGGGTTTTTCCAACAGGAACTGGGCCTGTCAATATCCCCTGCACCCGCTTCCGTGGGTTGGGGCGGGAAGGGTGGCCTGGGGGACGCCTCTGGTCCTGGGAAAGGAAGGGCAAGGCGCCCCCGGCCCTCCAAGAGGCCTGCGCCCCCAACCCCGTGTCCCCTCTCCCCGCAGGGCGAGTGCTCCCCCAAGTGCCGCAGCCTGTTCGTGCTGGAGACCGTGTGCGTGGCCTGGTTCTCCTTCGAGTTCCTGCTGCGCTCCCTGCAGGCCGAGAGCAAGTGCGCCTTCCTGCGCGCGCCACTCAACATCATTGACATCCTGGCGCTCCTGCCGTTCTACGTGTCGCTGCTGCTGGGGCTGGCGGCAGGCCCGGGCGGGACCAAGCTCCTGGAGCGCGCGGGGCTGGTGCTGCGGCTGCTGCGTGCGCTGCGCGTGCTCTACGTGATGCGCCTGGCGCGCCACTCGCTGGGGCTGCGTTCGCTGGGCCTGACCATGCGCCGCTGCGCGCGCGAGTTCGGGCTGCTGCTGCTGTTCCTCTGCGTGGCCATGGCGCTCTTCGCGCCACTGGTGCACCTGGCCGAGCGCGAGCTGGGCGCGCGCCGCGACTTCTCCAGCGTGCCCGCCAGCTATTGGTGGGCCGTCATCTCCATGACCACCGTGGGCTACGGCGACATGGTCCCGCGCAGCCTGCCCGGGCAGGTGGTGGCGCTCAGCAGCATCCTCAGCGGCATCCTGCTCATGGCCTTCCCGGTCACCTCCATCTTCCACACCTTTTCGCGCTCCTACTCCGAGCTCAAGGAGCAGCAGCAGCGCGCGGCCAGCCCCGAGCCGGCCCTGCAGGAGGACAGCACGCACTCGGCCACAGCCACCGAGGACAGCTCGCAGGGCCCCGACAGCGCGGGCCTGGCCGACGACTCCGCGGATGCGCTGTGGGTGCGGGCAGGGCGCTGACGCCTGCGCCGCCCACACGGAGACCCCCTGCCCCCTCCAGCTGCAGCGTCGGGACCCCCGAGGTGCGCCAAGGGGTGGGGGGCGTCTGGCCTGGGGGAGCGGCTCCTGCCGGCCGCGTCCTCGGCCCTCGTGCGTGAGCAGCCCCAGAACTTGGCGGGGCCCTGCCTGACTCCCCGTGGCAGCGCTGGGCAAAGTCACTGGCCTTTGTCCTCCTGCCCCACCCCTTTCCTTGGATTTTTAATTTTCTACGCCTAGCTAAAAATAAATTTAGTAAGTCCGAGAGATTCCACGCCTGCTGTGGATGACTTCATCCCCCTGCCTCCAGCCAGGGAGGAGGGAGCACGGCCCCTGCCAAGCCCCCATGGCATCCGGAATGGGCAGGTCCCTGCAGAAGGAGGCCCTCCGCATCCACCTCTGCCCAAGGCCACATCACCTTCCCAGGGATGGGACAGAGGTTTGAGCCAATGCTCACAGCACCCCCAGTGCCACCGCAGTAACCGCCCTTTCGGGGGTCGGGGAAGAGGGTTCCAGCCCTGACCTCTAACCTCCATCCCCTGACACCACCTCCCTAGGGAATCTTTAAGGCTTGACCTCCGGGAGGGTGACAAGGGCCTCCTGACACTCCCTCTGCACAAGGTTGCGTGTGGCATTGCAACCCCTCCATGGCCTTGTTCTTCTGGGATCCTCCTGTCCCAGAACATGGCCTTGTTCTTCTGGAAGGAACTTTCGACATCGCGCTGCTCTATGCTTCATTTTAATGAGTTCATCCAGGAAACCTGAGACATGGTGGCCGCAGCCCGAAGCAGGAGGGGGACACCTCACCAGAGGGTCCCACTGTCCATTACACGGCAGCAGGAGTCTGTAGGGGACGCAGGTGTGGAGAAAGGGCAGGAGACGTGCATGGCCCCGGTGAGTGGCTGAGTGCAAGCCCCAGCCCCTTCTCCATGGCAGGCAACAGCCCACCGGGACCACCTGGGGCTCAGACCTGCCTCCCCCGACAGGCAGGTCAGCTGGTGCCCCAGGTGCCCACGACATGGCTGGGTCCGAGGACGCCAGGCACACAGCGCGGGGGAGGGTCTGGGAACTGGCTGTGCACTGAGGGCTTCCCTCTAACAGTGACAGCCTTGGGTGTCGCTCAGGAATGAGCAGAGCTTGCTACCGGTCTGAGAGGCCCGTGCAGGACAGCCCGAGGGGCCACACGCCGAGGCCGGTGCCCCCCACCCTCTGCTGCTTGTCCCAGCGTTGCTGGTGACCCCCAGAGACAGAAGGATTCCTCCTGTGTGGTGAGGTGCTGACCACCACGAAGACCCCCAGAAATAAACACAAGTTGTTCTTCCTCGGAGGGTCAGGTCAAAGGTGAGGGCCAGGTCAGAGGTGGGGAATGACGGGGGATAGGAGGTCTCGGACCTGCCCCTCCCCACCCTGGGCTGCAGGGTCTGGTGGGGGAATCCCAGAGCCCTCCAGGACCAGGGCCCACCAGAGACCACCCTGGGTCACCAGGATGGGGGTGCCAGGCAGTTGTGCTGAGACTGGGGTGGGGGTACATTTCCTCCTGAGCAAGCGGCCCACCCAGCCCCTGGGCATCCTTTTCACTCTACAGGTGCCCAGTGGGCCGCTCTCTCACACAAGCCCCTGGGAAGGGCACAGGGCTGGGGCTCAGGGCAGGTCTCAGTTTCCTCATGGGGTGAGGGGAATGTGAACTTCCCAGGCTCTCACAACCCGCTCTCTCCCACGGAGGGGCCCTCACTGGGAGCCCTCCTCGGCCTCCTGCTTCCTTGGTGCTTCTTTGTTGCTTAAAACCATCAGAAGGCATCACAGGGTGGCAGTGACCTGAGAGTTCAGAAACGCAGCTATTTCCACCGCTGCCCCCACCTGCCACGGCCCCTGCAGTGCGGGGCTGAGACCTTGCTCCCATTTCCTGTTAAAACCCAGAGTGGTCCCCAAGAACCGCCTGTCTCCACACCCTGAAGACACACAACCCCATCCCTGCGCTAGATCTCGGGTTCATCTGGCACCGCCCGCCAGCACTTGAGGAGGGCGATTTGCATCTGAGACGTTCCAGACACGCTAGCCTTCATCATCTCCAGTCTTCCCCCAGGCTGCTGCCTGGACGTGGCCTGTGCCCTCTCCTAGTACCCAGATGGGCCCTTCAACCCAAATCCTGCCCTGCACCCACACACCTGGTTTTTTACTGGACAAAGAAACATCTTGCCTTCAATGTAAACTGCACAGAAAAAATCGCTATGCACACACAGCTCCATCTGTATGTGCTGCTCCAAGATCGCAAATCTGGAAACACTTCTCTTGGCCTTTACAGGAGACCCTTCCCATGCTCTAAGCCTTCGGTGGTGGGAGGCAGAAGGGCGGATGTGGCCAGGGCAGCTAGAGGCAGTGCCAGACCCGTCTGTGAGGAGCCAAAAGGACCCCCGGGCTGCCGGCCCACAGGCACAGGCCAGTGACAGGTCGAGGGGGCTGGGCTGTTGTTTGGGGCCCTGGAGGAACCCAGGTCACACAGGGGCCTTCTAAGGTGGCCCAGGCTACAAGGGTGTGTCTGGGCAGAGGCCAGGACCACAGCCAGATCCTTCCCTCTGCCCAAGGCCAACTCAGGATCCACAAATGGTTTATTGATTCCAAGTCGCCACACAGGGTACATTCAGCAGTCACTGCGCCTGCAGTCGGCGACAGTTTAATGTGAGGCAATTACCGCTACAGACATCTTGCTTCATCTTAAAAAAATAAAAATTTTCAAAGCATCTCACAGGCCAAAGAGCTAAGCAGGACCCTCACTCAGACATTCAAGAGTGTTTCCGAGGAAAACTCGAGGAGGAGGCAGCGTGGAACATCTTCCCATGGCCACGGCCCCGGCACAGAGCTCAGATGCCTGCGGGAAGCGGCCCCTCCACCTGCGGAAGGGAAGACGATGCCTGTTGGAGCCGCACGGAAGCATCCAGAACTCTGAGGCCTGGGGGCCGGCTGCGGTCAGTGCAAGGCTGCTGACATGGTGTGACCTCTTGCAACGGGGTGGGGGCAGAGCGTGCGGTGACAAGGGTCAGACTGGCGGCTCCCACTGCAGCCAGAAGTGAGGGAGCCAGCACACGGGGGTGGGCAGTGGACAGGACAGGATGCGGCAGGCCCCAGTACCCCCCACTCAGGAATTTGCTTCAGGCCAAAAGCCCAGGGCAGCAGGGTAAGGCGCCATCGGCCAGGACCTGCACGGCAGGGGCAGCCCCCTCCACTCCCTGGACCCGAGACCGTCTCTCCTGGAAGATGGACATCAAAACTGCATCCGGAGGTGCAGTCTGCACCCAGAAGGAAGGGGATCTCCGCCAGCAGAGCCCAAGAGTGGCGTGCAGACTGCATGTGCACAGCCTCAGCCCGGCCCCCTCAGCCATTGCCCATGAGGGCCTCCACGTTGTCTGATGGTCGCTGGCATCTGCCACGTCCCCAAGGACTCGAGGAGAACCAGAGGCTGACAAGAGCAGCATGAGCTAGCCCTGGCGATGCTCAGCCGGGCTGGACACAGCGGATCCACAAGGCGTTCAGGCCTCGCAGCCACTCCAAAGGCCCAGGAAACACCGACTGTCAGAAAACCCGGAGCACGGTGACCCTGCGTCCGCACAGCCGCCTTTCCGTGTGTACCAGGCAGAGAAAGCCCCAGCCCTCCCCCGTGCCAGACCCCTGGGTAGCAGAGGCCACCCCAGTCCAAGCAGGGTGTCTGGCCAGGGTGTCACGGGGTCGAGGGCTCCGCTCACAGGCCTTACAGGGTCTCCTGCGGTCACCCCAGCTTCAAGGTTCGCGGCTGCTGGCCCGTGTGTCCACCTGGAGCAGGTTCCTGCAGGCCGCCCAATGTGTACCTTGGGCTCAGACGGTGTTTCATAAGAGGAAATGGGGAAAACACTTGCTTTTTATGTCATCCTAAAAACATCCAAAACCCTCGGGGCCAGATCAACCCTGGCTGTCCCCGCTGAGCACAAACAGCGTCCCAGCCCCACCCCCACTGCCCACCCTGAGACACCCCACAGAGGCTGATGGAGACCCCAATGCCCATGCCCCATCTCTGCCACACCTGCAGGGGCCACAGCACCCACCCTCCCCGCGGGGAGGTCAGGGCCCACCAGTGCCCGCGGCTGGCGGTCCCACATCCTCGTCCTCCCCACTGTCAGAGGGCCTTGGTGCCAGTGGGGTGCACGGCGTGGGGCGCCGGCTTCTGGGGGTGGCGGGCGAAGGCGTAGGCCTGCCCCAGGATGGCCAGGTCCACCAGCACCTGCAGCAGGCCGCACACGGAGAACTGCAGAGGGGCACCCTTCAGCAGGAAGTAGGCCGTCTTGAAGGCGTCACCACTGGTCCACATGAGCACCATCTTGATGCTGTGGAGACACAAGCAGGCGGTCAGCGGTGGGGAGGGCGGCGACCTGGGCTCAGTCAGTGGGGAGGCCTGGGGCTTAGACAGCGGGGAGACCTGGGGCTCAGGGGCACCCAGGGGGCTAAGGGGACCCCCAGGCAGTCGGCGGGGAGGCCTGGGGCTCAGGGGGCACCCAGGGGGTTGAGGGGACACCCAGTCTACAGGGTGACCCAGGGGTCAGGGACACCCCAGGGGGCCAAAGGACACACCCTGACCCCACCTGTCCCATGCAACCCCCACCCTTGACTTCTCTGTGGCCGCAAGAGCTGCCGCCTGGCTGGGGCTCTGCAAGCCCAAGAACAGTGAGACCAGCTCGAGGCTACAGGGGACAGCAGGGCGAGCAGCTGACGTCAGGGCCCCTGGTGCGCGGTGGCAATTCTGGGAGGGGCCGGGCCTGGGAGGGTGCTGAGGACGCAGATCTGTGCCCCCAGGCACACAGCCAAGTGGAGCAGAGCAGCTGCTTTTGGGTCTCTGCCGGCCTCCCTCCCTGGTGATAGATGCAAACCTTCCTTTCCTGGAGTGAACAGGGAGCAGCCGCCACCCACCATCCCAGTCCGAACACGCTTCCCCCACCGCTGTGTTCATGCCCTGGCTTGCCTAGCAGTGAACATGAGTGCTGCTGCACTTTCCCGTGTGAAATGTTTAAATCAGCGGCCGCTGACCCTTCCACAGCTCCTGAAGCCAGAGGCAGAGCCTGGGTGGGGAGCGCTGCCTGGACAGAAAGGACAGGACACAGCCCTCCCCCACCCTGGGGCGTCCGTCCCGCTCATAAGCCAGGGTGGGCACCTGGGTGCCGTAGCCGCCCTGTGTGAGAGTCTTCAGGCACAGCCATGGCCGGGTGTGTTCAGGGCTGGAGCTAGGAACCCGCAGGAGACAGCCGGCATCTGCACCCCCTCCTCTCTCCCAAGCCCACAGTGCTCGGCTCTAGAGCATCTTGTTGGCCTCTGAGAACATAAATCCGGCTTTATCATTACACCCACTGGGAAAAACCAGGAGGCTTTGGGACTGTTTCCACTTGGGTCGGTTTAGCTAAATTATAAGGCCCTGACCCACAGAGGGCATTTTCCTCCCATTTTTTATTCTCTGGGATGTGTCCTCCCCTGGATGCAGCTCCAGCTCCACAAAATCCAGTCTCTTCCACAGACAAAAAGACAGGGTGGTGCCTGGGTAGCACCGGGGGAAGGTGGTGCAGGCCCCTCGGCCTCTCACACACCCCAGCAGTCAGCCCAGGCTTCGGAATTCCCCCCTGCCTGCTTTAGGCCCAGGCAGGGCTGCACAGCTGACTTGGGGTGGGGCTCCGGGCCTGGGACCACAGCCCCGGTGCAAAGGCGCCTGCCTTTCCTGCGCTAGCCATGCACACAGCAGGCGCCCGAGCATTGCGCGGTGACCCCGCCACCGGTCACCTTCGCCCCACGCAGCTTCCGGTTGACCCCTCACACCAGGATGGGAAACAGAGCTCGCCTGACCCTCACACACGGCTGAGATTTCCCAGGATGTGCTTGCGAACAAGACTCAAGGCCTGAGAGCCACCACCACGCCTGCTTCAGGGACAGGCTACTTCCCACACAAAGCCCGTGGCTTTACTTGGCATGCAGCATCAGCTCACACTTGAGTTTCAACACTTTGTTTCTAATCAGTTGGTAACTCTGTAAACACACACACACCCACACACAGACACAATTTCTGGCTTCTCTGGAAAAAGAGCCTTTTCAGACTTTAGATTATGCATCTACAACTTCCTTCATAGATACGGGTTATCTACTTAAGAGATACTCAAGCTATTTCTTCTTGGGTTAAAGGAATTGGTCCATTTTATCCAAATTTTCAAATGTATGGGCATGAGGTTGTTCATTGTACTCTTTTGATGCCTGTGGGGTCTACAGAATATCCTCTTCCATACCAAATACTGGGGATCTGTGCTTTCTTGTCATTCTGGCCACTGGTTTATCAGTTAATGATTTGTTCCAAAGAACCAGCTTTCAGTTTGGTTTTTTATGTTTGCTGCAGTTTTGTTTTCATTTTTGTTGCTTGGTGTTAGCTCCGTTATTTCCTTCCTTCTGCTGGCTTGGGGTTCCTTTGCATTTCATTTTATAGTTTCTTAAGCTTAGATTGATGATTTGAGAACTTTTTTCTAAAATCAGTATTTAATACTACACATTTAACTCTAAGCATTGCTTTAGTTGCATCCCACAAATTTTGATATGGTGGTGTATTTTTCAGTTCAAAATATTTTCAATAGTTTGCTTTGCAATATCCTCTTTAACAGATTGTTTAAAGGTGTGTTGTTTAGCTTCTAAACCTTTGGAGACTTAAGATCTATTTCTGCTATTAATTTCTAGCTTAATTATATTATATTCATAGAAAATACTTTGCACAATTTCAGTTCTTTTTTAAAAAAATTCTCATGACCCAGGATATGGTCTGTTTGGTGAATGCCCAACGGGCATCTGAAAAGAATGCGCACGTTCACTTGGCTGTTGATGGTGTTCAGATTTTCTACATCCTTGCTAACTTTGTCTGCTTTTTCTATCAGTTACTGAGGAAAGCTGGAGTCCCTAAGTGCAACTGGGGATTTGTCTTTGCATTTCTGTCAGTTCTGACCTTATGGACTTCCAGGCTCTGGGGTTCCATGCATACACACTCAGAACTGTTGTATCTTCTTGGTGAACTCACCAGTTTATCATGATGCAATGTCCTTTTTTATTCAAGGCAAATGTCCTTTACTTTGCCTGATATTAATACAGCGACTCCAAGCTTTCTTTGGTTCATATATGCATCTCTCACTGCATGGCCTCCTGGTCAATACATCCTGCACCCCAGCATCCGCCATGGATGTAATCAGACTTCAATTGAGTTTGCTGTAAACAGCAGGTAGCTGAGTCTTGTGTTTCTTTTTAAATTAATCTGAACATTGCTGTCCTTTAATTGGTATGATTAGGCCATTTACATTGAATGTTATTATTGACAGGTTTGAATTTAGATCGACCATTTTAATTTTTTTTGGTCTCAGCTTGTCCCTACGGTTTTATTCCTGCCTTCTTTTAGATTATTTGAAATTTTTAAAATATCCCATTTTAATTTATCTATTTGGTTTTTCACTGTATCTCTTTGTATAGTTTTTTTTTTTTTTGGTTGTTTTTTTTTTTTTTTTGAGAAGGAGTCTCGCTCTGTCACCCAGGCTGGAGTGCAGTGGCGCGATCTCAGCTCACTGCAAGCTCCGCCTCCCCAGTTTAAGCAATTCTTCTGCCTCAGTCTCCCAAGTAGCTGGGACTACAGGCGCCCGCCACCACACTCCGCTAATGTTTTGTATTTTAGTAGAGATGGGTTTCACCACGTGGCCCAGGCTGGTCTCAAACTCCTGAGCTCAGCCAATCCACCTACCTCGGTCTCCCAAAGTGCTAGGATTACAGGCGTGAGCCACCGTGTCAGGCCTGTATAGTTCTTTTAGTGCTCTAGGGCATTGGTTCCCAAATGGGAGTGATTATGACCCCATCCTCACACCCCTGCCCAAGGAAACATCTGGCAATTCCTGGAGACATTTTTAGTTGTCACAACTGGAGGAACACTGCTGGTATCTAGTGTGTAGGGGACCACGGATGCTGTTAAACATCCTATAATACCAAGATAGTCCCCCACAATAAGGGATTCTCCAGTTCAAAGTATCAATAGTGCTGCTGTTGAAAAATCTTATTCTAGGGACTATAATATATTTAACTTGTCAAAGTCTCCTTAGGATCAACATTTTATTACTTTAAGTGGAATGCAGAAGTCTTAGCACCAAGTTCACTATCGTCTCCCTCTTTTACATTGGACTTGTCACGTACAGCTACATTCACTAAAAACCCCACCAGACAATGTTATATTTTTTGCTAACTTTCACACATATTTTAAATAACTTAAGAAGAAAAATATATATATTATATTTACCCAGATATTGGCCATTTCTGTTGGTTTTCCTTCATTCCTGGAGTCCCAAGTTGCTCTCCTCCAGCGGAAGAACTTTTTTTAGTATTTCCTGTTGAGTAGCACTGCTGCCCATGACTTCGCTTTGTTTCCTTTCATTCGAGAAGGTCTTTATTTTGCCTTGATTCCTAAAGGAATTTTTTTTTTTTTCCTGAATATAGAATTCTGGGTCAAACGTTCTTTTCTTGCAGCATCTGAAAAATGTGCCACTTCCTTCTGACCTCCCTCGTTTCTGGTGAGAAACCCATAGTAATTTGGATCCTTTTCCTCTTAACTGCTTTCGACATTTTTTATTTGACTTTGATTCTTACCAGTTTGATTGTGATGTGATATGTTTGGGATTCACTGAACTTCTTACATCTATGTTTGTCTTTCACCAAATTTTGGGTGTTTTCAGCCCTTATTTCTTCAGCTATTTTTCCTCTGTGTCACACTCTCCTCTCCTCTGGGCTCAGATGACAGAATATTAGACCCTTTGGAATTTGTCCCTGACTCTATTCATGTTTTTGTTACTGTTTTTCAATTGCTTCCTGTTCAGAATGGACATTTTTTAATGATCTGCCTTCAACTTCACTATTTCCTCTCATCTCCATTCTACAGTTGTGTCGTGAAATATATTATTTAGATTATTGTATTTTTCAATTTAAAATTATCTATTTGGTTTTCTTTAAACTTCTATTTCTCTATGGAGATGTTCGGTCTTCCCGTTCATTCCAAGAACGTTTGCTCTTACCTGTTAGAGCACAGTTACAACAGTGACTTCAAAATCTTGGATAAGTCTGATCTGTCAGCCTGAGTTGGTTTCTATTGACTGTCATTTCCGTTGGCAGCTGAGAAACTCAACTCTTCATACATAACTTTGGTTTTTATCTTGGACATTCTGAACATTATGCAGTGAGATGTGAGTCTTCCATGGTCCTATCAACAGTGTTGCTTTTCCTGCTACCAAGCACTTCATGTGGTTAGATTCAGGGTGTGAGGTCTGACTTGTTTTTGGTGGACTGCAGTTCAATTTAATTCCATTTCAAAACCTCCCTTTTGATCTTTGGATCTGTCTTTCATGTGCAACACTCAGAGACAAGACTGGGACTTGAGCAGTCAACTGTCCACAATGACACTGAGTTCACAAAGCTGTTGGCATGTAGTTTAGGGCCAGATCTATGCATGTGTAGTTCAAGGGTGAGTCCAGAAACTTCACTACAGTGTCCCCAGTCTTCCTCACCACGATGTACCCAACCTTCCCCATCAGAGTACCACAGAGTCCTCAACCTTCCCCACAACCTCACCAGAGTCCCCAACCTTCCCCACAACCTCACCAGAGTCCCCAGCCTTCCCCACAACATCACCACAGAGTCCCCAACCTTCCCCACACCCTCACCAGAGTCCCCAGCCTTCCCCACCATCTCACCAGTCTCCAACCTTCCCCAGCATCTCACCACAGAGTCCGCAACCTTCCCCACATCCTCACCATAGAGTCCCCAACCTTCCCCACCATCTCACAACAGAGTCCCCAACCTTCCCCACCATCTCACAACAGAGTCCCCAACCTTCCCCACCACCTCACCAGAGTCCCCAACCTTCCCCACATCCTCACCATAGAGTCCCCAACCTTCCCCACCATCTCACAAGAGTCCCCAACCTTCCCCACCACCTCACCAGAGTCCCCAGGCTTCCCCACCATCTCACCACAGAGTCCCCAACCTTCCCCACACCCTCACCATAGAGTCCCCAACCTTCCCCACCATCTCACCACAGTCCCCAACCTTCCCCACAACCTCACCAGAGTCCCCAGCCTTCCCTACAACCTCACCAGAGTCCCCAGCCTTCCCCACACCCTCACCAGAGTCCCCAGACTTCCCCACACCCTCGCCAGAGTCCCCAGCCTTCCCCACCATCTCACCAGTCTCCAACCTTCCCCACACCCTCACCATAGAGTCCCCAACCTTCCCCACACCCTCACCAGAGTCCCCAACCTTCCCCACATCCTCACCATAGAGTCCCCAACCTTCCCCACATCCTCACCATAGAGTCCCCAACCTTCCCCACATCCTCACCATAGTCACCAACCTTCCCCACCATCTCACACCAGAGTCCCCAACCTTCCCCACCACCTCACCAGAGTCCCCAACCTTCCCCACCACCTCACCAGAGTCCCCAACCTTCCCCACCACCTCACCAGAGTCCCCAACCTTCCCCACCACCTCACCAGAGTCCCCAGGCTTCCCTACCATCTCACAACGGAGTCCCCAACCTTCCCCACACCCTCACCATAGAGTCCCCAACCTTCCCCACCATCTCACAACAGAGTCCCCAACCTTCCCCACCATCTCACAAGACTTTTTCTAGTTCACTCTCTTCTAAATTTGAGCATTTTTTTCGCATCACACATGAATGAACTAAGCTGTAATTTAAGGCAAGTTTAAGCTGTAATTTAACATTTTCTCATTCTAAAAGAGACCATATGAACCACACAAATCCTATATAAAGGACCAAAGACAGGTGTAAAATAGAGAAACGTGGCACCCCGGAGAATCTGCTGACTGTGTCTATTTTGCCCAGGGTTTCCCATATGGCTGGGCGTGTTCCAGTGTAGACGGAGGAGGCCAGGGCACGTTTGTTTTGGCTGCTTTGACAGACAACGTCCCTCCTCACACAGCGGCCACACAAGTTAACTGTGAACAACTTTCAAACTATCTTCAGTGAAACAGTCAAAGCAAGCAACCCAGACCTAGAGAGACAGCTTTTAGCTCCCACTGTAAAATCAGGTAAAGCCATGTGGTCTGCAACTTGGAATGCCCCTGGCTGCCAGGTGTGGCAGGGGAAGGGCTAAGAGGCTCACTGCAGCACCCACACCACGGCCTCAGGTGGGGACAAGTGGGAAGGTGATGCCTGAGCCCAGCCCCCAGGAAGGAAGAGCAGAGCCTGGAACAGCGTGGGCTGCTTTGCTGTCTGGAGGGAAATCGGGGGTCGGGGCCACTCCTGAGGCCCCAACCACACAGGCAGAGCCCAGGCCCATTCGGAGCCCACCCTAGGAGGGGGCTGGTTAGCCCTGAGGGGCCAGTGGGGGCCTGGACATCTTTCCGTCCCCTTCCCTGCTGACGCCTCCAACACACAGAACCCCAGGGAGCCAGGCAGGCCAGGAGGCAGGCGGCTGGCCCACGCCCCGTGAGGATTCCGCAGTGGCAGAGCTCAGGTCTGCACACACCAACAAAGACAGAGGGCTCCAGAGTTCCAGCCGGGACACAGCCCTGGTCAGACGGGGGCCGGCAGGACGTGCAGCTGAAGCCTGATCCCAGGACCACCTGTCCCTGTCCCCAGGTCACCGCCCGGCTCCCTCACTGTTAGCGTCCCCGGGGCCCTGACGCACAGGTGCGCTCTGCAGCATGGCAGCTGCAGGCACGGAGCCATCACTGGGCTGGGCTCTGCTGGCTGCGGGGACATTCCAGCTGCCGGGACGCTCTGTCAGAGAAGATGGCTCCACCACCATGGCACGGGGACTGGAATCCCAGCCATCCCCCACCCCCCTAGCTACATCATTTAGAGGGCAGGGGAGGGGACGGGAGCAGGGAGGGGACGCAGCAGGGAAGGGACAGGAGCAGGGAGGAGACAGGAGCAGAGGGGAGGCAGCAGGGAGGGGATGGAGCAGGAAGGGGACAGGAGCAGGGAGGGGAACAGTAGCAGGAGGAGATGGCAGCAGGGAGGGGACAGGAGCAGGAAGGGGACAGGAGTGGGGGGGACGGGAGCAGGGAGGGGACAGCAGCAGAGAGGGGACGGGAGCAGAGGGGACAGGAGCAGTGAGGAGACGGGAGCAGAGGGGAGGCAGCAGGGAGAGGACAGCAGCAGGAAGGGGACAGGAGCAGGGAGGGGAACAGTAGCAGGAGGGGATGGCAGCAGGGAGGGGACAAGAGCAGGAAGGGGACAGGAGTGGGGGGGACGGGAGCAGGGAGGGAGTGGGAGCAGGGAGGGGACGGCAGCAGCGAGGGGATGGGAGCAGGGAGGGGACGGAAAACAGGCTGGCAGCTCTGCAAATTATGAAACAGGGTCACATCCAACCGGCGATTCCACCCCCAGGTAGAAGGGAAAACTACGTCCACATAAAAACTCGTTCATGAGTGTCCATCACATGTAACAGCATAAACGTTAAACAACCAAATGTCCCTCAGCTGAAGAACGAAGAACGAAGAGCAAACGTGGCAAATCTATGGAAGGAACATTTTTCAACCACAAAAAGGAAAGAAACGCTGACCCCTTCTGCAGCATGGATGAACCCTGAGAATACGAAGTGCAGGGAAAGACGCCAAGCACAAGGTCACATATCGCCAGGCCACGTGTCGCCAGGCCACGTGTCACCAGGCCACGTGTCATCAGGCACCACTGATGTGATGTGTCCTGAAAGGCAAGCCCATGGAGATGGGAAGTGGAGGAGTGGCAGCGGGGGTGAGGAGGCTGGGGCGGTGGGAATGACTGCCAGTGGCCGCGGGGTTGCTTCCTGGGGTGCGGAAAATGTTCTGGAATTAGACCGTGGTGCTGGCTTGGCAGCCCCGTGAGTATGCTGTGATGTGAGTCACATCTCAGGCGGGTCACACTTTGTAATGTTCCAGAGCCTCCGCTGAACCCTCCTGTCACATGGGCCAGCCTGCGTGCACCGAGCTTGCTTCCTGTTAACCCAGGCATCCTGTGCAGCACTCACTCCACTCAGAACCACAGGGGCCTGCTCTGCATCAAAGGCATAAGGAAAGGCACAGTGGGTGAGGGGGGGTTCTGAGTGTCATGAAGACGTGGCCCCAGGGGAGACATGCCACATGCCCAGAGGCTGAGGACCCACACAGCCTGCTCTAGAGTTTGGGTAAGAGCTCGGCTTCTGGATCCAGCCCATGTCCTGGCTGGACAGGGGCAGCCCCAAGGGGTGAGGACTGACGTAGTTGAAATCCTCTCCTTGCGGGGCGGCCTGAGCCTCAGCTTCACCTGCTGCAGGCACCATGCCACACCTGCCTGGTCACCCATCCTCACTCAGCCACGGTGGTCACACACTGTCGGGGTCCACACAGGCACCTGCCCAGGCTCTTCCACAGCCACGGTGTCTGTATTCCGCATTTCAGGCTCCTCCCCATCTGTCAACACCAACGCACCCCCGCTGCCCTCATCATCTACACCCACCTCACCCTCCAATCCTTGTCAGGGAACAGTCTTCAAATCCAGTAAAAACTGGAGGAAGAGGAATGCAAACACTCTCAGAAAATCCGCCCTTCGGAGCCTGCTGTGTTAATTAGCAAAGCTGTTTCTGAAGCTTTATCACATCTCATTACTGGTTCAGAAACTACAACCACGTAGTATTTTCTAAAGGGAAGTCACTGTTCAAAAATGCCTCCGGCAGTTGCTCACAGGTGGAAACCGTGTGTGCATCGCTGTGTGTGTGTGCATGCGCGCACGCGCGCATGGAGGCAACTGTGCATGCCGGCCTGTGCACGTGTGTGCAAGTACACGAGACACAGGACTTTCCAGAAGCAGGGCTGCTACGAGATCAACTCGGGAATTCTTGAGTCACTTCCTATCAAACATCCTAGAGACCTTCGGTTTAATGTGGAGCTGAGGCTGTGGGTCCCAGGGAAGATTCCAGGCAGCATCTACGCCTCCCTCACCTAGGGCAGTGGCACTAGCAGGTCCCCAGAGAAAAGGAGCTGAAGTTCAGGCTGTCACGTTTCAGGCTCATGTCACCATTCGCCACCAAAGTCTTGTTTGTTTTTTTACATGGAGTCTCACTCTGTTGCCCAGGCTGGAGTGCAGTGGCGCGATCTTGGCTCACTGCAACCTCCGCCCCCCAGGTTCAAGTGATTCTCCTGCCTCAGCTTCCTGAGTAGCTGGGATTACAGACGCCTGCCACACCTAGCTAATTTTTGCATTTTTAGTAGAGACAGGGTTTCACCATCTTGGCCAGGCTGGTCTTGAACTCCTAACCTTGTGATCCACCTGCCCTGGCCTCCCAAAGTGCTGGGATTACAGGCGTGAGCCACCGCGCCCAGCCCAAAGTCTTGGTTTTTTGGGTATCTGTTAAGTACGTGTGTGTGCACATTTTAAATACGTCATCTTAAACACGACCCTGGAGATTATACAGGAAGCACACATGATCTATCAAACCTGCATTCAGAAACCACTACCCACAATGGCTTCAAGAATCACAACTCCTGACAGGGCTGGGGATACCACGACGCCCCCATCAGGCAGATCGGAGCACAAAGGAACCTGAGACGTCTCTGACCTGCCTCCAGATGGGGGGTGGTCTGACAGCAGGAAGTGGGGGGTCACTCCAGCCCACCCCAAGGCTGCCGTGGCCCCGGAGGAACAGGCAGGTACCACAGGAGCACCCAGGAAGTGGCAAAGGGGAGAGACACCCCCTTGCCCAAGCTGCGTCTGGAGAGCGAGTGGAACCCAGGCCGGGGAGGGCTGAAGATCCACGGAGCGGTGGCCTGGACCCATGCGGAGAAGCCAGAAGACCACACAGCAAGGGGGGCAGAGGTGGGGACCCTGTGCCCCACAGGCTGCAGTGCCAAGGGAGGAAGGTGGGCAGGGCCCACAGGCCCAAAGAGACGGAGCTTCAGACGCGCAAGTGGAGCCGGCTCCAGACTCAGCCCTGCCCAGAGGGAGCCTCAGGAACAGCCCCCAGGTCGCCGGCCCTAGCCCTGCAGGCCCTGCCTTGCCCAGGCTGCCAGGTGGCGTCTCAGGTTGTGGAAGGCAGCTGCTGGGCCTCCAGAATTCACACTCGGGTGATACTAAAACCCAGGGCCAAGGTGAAACGCGGCGTCAGAGCAGCAGAAATAAGGACGTGCGGCACAAAGGCTGGGCCTGGAGTGGTCCTGTTCCCTTTCCCGTTTAGTGAGAACCCTCCCAAAACCTTCCCTCAGGCCATGCAGAGGCAACGTCCCCACAAGCAGACCCCAGACTTTGCCTGGCTGGCAGGCATGGGGTCAGGCTGGCTGTGCGTTCTAGCAGCAAACGCCTTATGTGTTCCAGTGGGAAAACCGCCCGATGGTCACTCTTAAAAGCGCAGACCGGATGAACTGGGCCTGGGGAGGGCTGAAGCTCCCGGCAGCACGGGCGGGGCCAGCCCCACCCCCTCCGCATCCCCCCAGGGCCCGCCCTGTCCCCTCCCCATCCCCCCGGGGCCAGGCCAGGGCCTCAGTGCACAGACTCTCCGGGGCGCTCATTACCGTAACTACAACCACACACTCCATCACTCCGAGCCGACCCGACGCTGCTGCTCCTGGTCCCCGTTCCTGACGAGGATGCACAGGGTCTCAGCGGTCCCGCACTTGAAGCTGGCTGACCTCGCTGCCTACTTCCTCCGCAGAGACTGCTCCATCTCCCTCAGCCTCAGGACTCCATCCAAGCCCTCACAACGTGCCAGCTGTGTGGGTCGCCCGTCTTCTGCCCGGCCCTCCCGGCAGGGACAGAGGCCAAGCCTCCTGTGGCCCGATGGGGAGATGGGGTGCCTGTGACATCCCGTCCCCAGCCACACCTGAGGTTTATAAAAGCAGAAGTTAGCCCAGGTGATCTCACAGGGGCTTGGCACTCACCCAGGGAGCAGGGCAAACTCAGAGGTAGAACACCTGCACCTCCTGGGATCCCTGAGACACGTTCCAAGTTCCGCAGCCAAGGAGAAGTATGCAGGCAAAGGACCATGACCCCGGCTCCCATCTCGCCCACACAGCACCCCCAATACTATTTTACATGTGTGTAAGTGTATCCGCATCCCACACACACGGGTTTTCATCCACGGTTCCAGGGTGCTAACTCCCACAGTGCTTCTGTACCCGCGGTGCTCTCATAGCCGCAGTGCTCCCGTACCCTCCCATACCCACGGTGCTCCCGTACCCATGGCGCTCCCATACCCACAGCGCTCCCGTACCCACGGTGCTCTCATACCCGCAGTGCTCCCGTACCCTCCCATACCCACGGTGCTCCCGTACCCGCGGCGCTCTCGTACCCGCAGTGCTCCCGTACCCTCCCATACCCACGGTGCTCCCGTACCCGCGGCGCTCTTGTACCTGCGGCACTCCCGTACCCGTGGTGCTCTCATAGCCGCAGTGCTCCCGTACCCGTGGTGCTCCCGTACCCGTGGTGCTCCCGTACCCGTGGTGCTCCCGTACCCACAGTGCTTCTGTAGCTCTTGTCATGACGTTGGGGTGCTTTAGGCCTCAGAAAACAGAATCTCTCTGACCTTTTGCCCTCTGTTCACCTGCCCAGGCAGGACTCTAACCCTCATTCCAGAGAGGGTCCTGCCGACATCCTGGAGGAAGGAGCCTGCACAGAGGACAGAAGAATCTCAACAGACCCTGCTGGGTTCACGTCGCACCCTTAGGTCCAATCACATTTCAACACCATTGTCCATCACGCCTATCCAATGAGGTCTCCCAAGTAGACAGGCTTTGGGAGGCTCCGGGGAGAGCTGAATTTGCGGGAGCCGGCAGGAGAGTGAACAGGAGCTCATCTGTGTGCCGTGAGGGCGGCAGCCCCACTCCACGAGACCGAGCTCCTGCCTGGGGACCCCTCCACAGCTCCCTCTGTGTATCCCCTCACTCGGCGGTTTATGTCTGTCCTTTAAAATGCTCTTTGTAAAATATCAGCAACCGTGTTTCCCAGAGCTCTGTGAGCCGCTCCAGCAAGCTGACAGAGCCCAAGGAGGGGTCATGGAACCCTAACATGGCCCAGAAGTTCCAGAGGCCCAGATTTGCGATGGGTGTCTAAGTGTGGGTGGCATCTGGCGCTGTCTCTGGGTCAGGACAACCGGCGGTGCCCGCCGCAGGACCGACTGCCTGCTCGGTGCTGGGGAGACGCCTGCACATGGAAGTGTGTGTGCTGCTTGTGGTGAAGTGAGTGAGAACAGGAAAAGCACGTCCAATGTGTTTCTTCCACACACAGACCCCCCTTCCACAGGCGTTTCTGGAGCCTTCCCCGTGTGTGAGAAGAGCAGACCTCAGGGCCTAAGACAGGCCTGCCTGCAGGGCCGCCTCGGCCAGCATCTGGAAACTCGGGTTTGAAGAGGATTCCCACGTCCCCCCAGCTGACGGGGCAGCCCCTGGGCTGAGACCTTGAACAACATGCCTGCGCTGAACAGCAAAACCTGCTACCCTGGAATCGAGAGCAACAGCTCCTGCCAAGCCTGGGGCCCCTGTGAGGTCACACACGGCCAGCTCCTTGTGAGGGGCCAGGAGGCCGGCATGTGGGGTCCGGATCCGCTAGACCCTCACCACGAGGCTGTGGTGATGCTCTGGAGGGCACAGGCCTGGCACCCAGGCACCTCCCACAGATCTCCAGGTCGCAAGCTCGGCACGCGGGCACTGCCCACAGGATCTCCAGCTGTGGGGTGGCTGGGGACGCCACACTCCGCCGGACAAGGCCCACGTCCAGCCGGGGAGCCTACATACGACGCCCGCCCTGAGACCCACTTTCTCTCTGGGAGCATCCCTGCCTTTTGGGCTCCACACCGAAGCCCTCAGGGCTGCCACTGCCCAACCCAACAGTGAGGGAGCCTGTTCCAGCCATGGACACCCTCTCGGGCCTCCATGCACCCTCGCCCGAGAAACCCCAGCAACCCCCCTGGTCTTGATTCACTGTAATCACACCAACCAGGGCAGCCCAATCCCCACCTGCACCCCACACCACACCCCAACCTGTACCTACCTCACACCATGCCAGCACCCCACACCTGACCCATGCCCCACACCTCTACCTACAGCCCACACCGGAACTCCATACCCCACACCCCAGCCCACACCTACACTTCACATCTGTGCCTATGTCCCACACCCACACCTACGCCACACACCTGTAACTGCAACCCACACCTATAACCCTGGCCTGCACCTACATCTCACCCCCTACCACCACCCCACACCTACGACAAGCCCTCCTACCTTTACCTCTCACGGGCAACTGAACCTACACACAACCCCCGGCCCTCACACCTCTGCCCACACGCCAAACCTGCAAATACTCAGAGGTCTCTGAAAGCCCTCAAGAGAGTGCTGTGGCCCCTGGGCACCCGTTCTCCAACACAAAAACGCGTCAGCCCCTCTCTTCCAGGCTGTTTCCCACAAATAACAAATCCAAGAATAACATTCCCTCCAAATCACAGCCTCAGCATCTGTATTGGAGACCAGACTCAAGCAACGTGTGGGGGCTCAGGGTGTTCTCCGTGAGGAGCGGGCACCGGGGGGCGGATCCCCAGTGAGGAGCGGGCCCGGGGGGGGGTCCCCAGTGAGGAGCGGGCACCGGGGAGGGTCCCCAGTGAGGAGCGGCACCGGGGGGTCCCCAGTGAGGAGCGGGCCTGGGGGTCGAAAGTGTGAGGGACTAGAGTTTTCTGCCCCCGCCACAGCGAGCAGATCTGTTTTTATTACAATGCAGTTTCCATCCAGGACCTTGACTGAGCCCGTGGGCATCATGCTGCTCGCGTTGTGCCCTACCTCTGGCGGTCACGGGGACGTCCAGGCACGCACTGGTGCAGGGCGCCCAGGCATGGTCTGTGGTTCCGAACGTCAGCCTGCCCAGCCTTCTACCACATACCTCAGAGGCCGGAGGCCGTGCTGGGGCCAGTGGGGAAAGACCGAGGACAGTGTCCAAGGCAGCCCCCAGACCACCTTCCCTGCCCCACCAGACCCGCCCTGACCCTGGGCCAGGCTGGTTGCCCTGCACTCCTCCTGCCCCGTCTGGCCAGGCACTCGGACATCCCTCCCACTGGAAGGTTCCGTCTCAACGGCCCTGAAGGAGCAGCTCCCAACCCCGTGCTGGGTCTCGGCTGCCCCTCATGCGGCCCACACAAGCTCATCTGCTCCAGCGCGAGGTCGAGGGGCCAAGGCCTATAAACCTGCTATTCTTTAACCGGCAGCTTCACAGGTCAACGTGGGAAATACACAGCCAGACACACAGGCGTTTGATTTTTACCAAATCTGCAGCCATGTGGTGCCTCTGGAGCAGTGGTGCTTCCGTGGCGGCATCCCCGGCCTACCTCATGCCCTCCGTGGACTGGTGGCGGTGGTTGCGGTAAAGCTGGGGCACACCCAGCATGGCTTCGGTCAGCACAGCCAGGAAGCCCAGGGTCTCCACAAACAGGGCGGAGTCAATGGACAGGTAGGTGATGTAGCCCGCCACGCCCGTGAAGGCCAGGACGCACTGCACGTAGTCCGAGAAGCTGCTCCACTGCCAGAAGTGGTGGGGGTCGAAGTCTAGGGCGAGAGGGAGAAGCAGCCTCAGCACAGCTTAGGGTCCAGGTGAGGAGTCAAGGTCAGTGGGGAGAGACGGAACCGAGTGAGAGGTCAAGGTCAGTGGGGAGAGACAGGAACCGAGGGAGAGGTCAAGGTCAGTGGGGAGAGACAGGAACCGAGGGAGAGGTCAAGGTCAGTGAGGAGAGACGGGAACCGAGGGAGAGGTCAAGGTCAGTGGAGGAGAGACAGGAACCGAGGGAGAGGTCAAGGTCAGTGGGGAGAGACAGGAACCGAGGGAGAGGTCAAGGTCAGTGGGGAGAGACAGGAACCGAGGGAGAGGTCAAGGTCAGTGAGGAGAGACAGGAACCGAGGGAGAGGTCAAGGTCAGTGAGGAGAGACAGGAACCGAGTGAGAGGTCAAGGTCAGTGAGGAGAGACGGGAACCGAGGGAGAGGTCAGGGTCAGAGGAGGAGAGACAGGAACCGAGTGAGAGGTCAGGGTCAGTGAGGAGAGACAGGAACCGAGTGAGAGGTCAAGGTCAGTGGGGAGAGACAGGAACCGAGGGAGAGGTCAAGGTCAGTGAGGAGAGACAGGAACCGAGGGAGAGGTCAGGGTCAGTGGAGGAGAGACAGGAACCGAGGGAGAGGTCAAGGTCAGTGAGGAGAGACAGGAACCGAGTGAGAGGTCAAGGTCAGTGGAGGAGAGACAGGAACCGAGGGAGAGGTCAAGGTCAGTGGGGAGAGACGGAACCGAGGGAGAGGTCAGGGTCAGTGAGGAGAGACAGGAACCGAGGGAGAGGTCAAGGTCAGTGGAGGAGAGACAGGAACCGAGTGAGAGGTCAAGGTCAGTGAGGAGAGACGGAACCGAGGGAGAGGTCAGGGTCAGTGAGGAGAGACAGGAACCGAGGGAGAGGTCAAGGTCAGTGGGGAGAGACAGGAACCGAGGGAGAGGTCAAGGTCAGTGAGGAGAGACGGGAACCGAGGGAGAGGTCAAGGTCAGTGGAGGAGAGACAGGAACCGAGGGAGAGGTCAAGGTCAGTGGGGAGAGACAGGAACCGAGGGAGAGGTCAAGGTCAGTGGGGAGAGACAGGAACCGAGGGAGAGGTCAAGGTCAGTGAGGAGAGACAGGAACCGAGGGAGAGGTCAAGGTCAGTGAGGAGAGACAGGAACCGAGTGAGAGGTCAAGGTCAGTGAGGAGAGACGGGAACCGAGGGAGAGGTCAGGGTCAGAGGAGGAGAGACAGGAACCGAGGGAGAGGTCAAGGTCAGTGAGGAGAGACAGGAACCGAGGGAGAGGTCAAGGTCAGTGAGGAGAGACGGGAACCGAGGGAGAGGTCAGGGTCAGTGAGGAGAGACAGGAACCGAGGGAGAGGTCAGGGTCAGAGGAGGAGAGACAGGAACCGAGGGAGAGGTCAAGGTCAGTGAGGAGAGACAGGAACCGAGGGAGAGGTCAAGGTCAGTGAGGAGAGACAGGAACCGAGTGAGAGGTCAAGGTCAGTGAGGAGAGACGGGAACCGAGGGAGAGGTCAGGGTCAGAGGAGGAGAGACAGGAACCGAGGGAGAGGTCAAGGTCAGTGAGGAGAGACGGGAACCGAGGGAGAGGTCAGGGTCAGAGGAGGAGAGACAGGAACCGAGGGAGAGGTCAAGCTCAGTGAGGAGAGACAGGAACCGAGGGAGAGGTCAAGGTCAGTGAGGAGAGACAGGAACCGAGTGAGAGGTCAAGCTCAGTGGGGAGAGATGGAACCGAGTGAGAGGTCAAGGTCAGTGGGGAGAGACAGGAACCGAGGGAGAGGTCAGGGTCAGAGGAGGAGAGACGGGAACCGAGGGAGAGGTCAAGGTCAGTGAGGAGAGACAGGAACCGAGGGAGAGGTCAAGGTCAGTGAGGAGAGACGGGAACCGAGGGAGAGGTCAGGGTCAGTGAGGAGAGACAGGAACCGAGGGAGAGGTCAGGGTCAGAGGAGGAGAGACAGGAACCGAGGGAGAGGTCAAGGTCAGTGAGGAGAGACAGGAACCGAGGGAGAGGTCAAGGTCAGTGAGGAGAGACAGGAACCGAGTGAGAGGTCAAGGTCAGTGAGGAGAGACGGGAACCGAGGGAGAGGTCAGGGTCAGAGGAGGAGAGACAGGAACCGAGGGAGAGGTCAAGGTCAGTGAGGAGAGACGGGAACCGAGGGAGAGGTCAGGGTCAGAGGAGGAGAGACAGGAACCGAGGGAGAGGTCAAGCTCAGTGAGGAGAGACAGGAACCGAGGGAGAGGTCAAGGTCAGTGAGGAGAGACAGGAACCGAGTGAGAGGTCAAGCTCAGTGGGGAGAGATGGAACCGAGTGAGAGGTCAAGGTCAGTGGGGAGAGACAGGAACCGAGGGAGAGGTCAGGGTCAGAGGAGGAGAGACAGGAACCGAGGGAGAGGTCAAGGTCAGTGGAGGAGAGACAGGAACCGAGGGAGAGGTCAGGGTCAGAGGAGGAGAGACAGGAACCGAGGGAGAGGTCAAGGTCAGTGAGGAGAGACGGGAACCGAGGGAGAGGTCAAGGTCAGTGACAAGAGATGGGAACCGAGCAAGAGCGTGAGGGGCAGCCGAGGGTCAGAGGAGGAGAGACGGGAACCCAGGGAGAGGGCAGGGTCAGAGGAGGAGAGACGGGAACTTGGGAGCAGAGTAAGAGGTCAGGGTCGGTGAGGAGAGATGGGAACTGAGCGAGGGGTCAAATCAGGGAGGAGCCATGTGTTCTTGATCATGCCCCCCTGAAGGAGCCTTGGTACAAATAATAACTCAACATAAAAGACGCTGACATCAGGCCAGGTGCAGTGGGCACCTACAGTCCCAGCTCTTCAGGGGCCAAGGAGGGAGGATCGCTTGAGCCCAGGAGTTGAGGCCAGCTTAGGCAACACAGAGACACTTGTCTCTTTGAAAAGAAAAAAAAAAAAAAAAAAGCTAAAATCCTTCAAATTAATCTTAATCTCTGAGAAGCCGTAGAGTGCAGGGAGTGCCCTGCACTGGATCTGACGCCTGGGTTAGGGGCGCAGCCCCCCTCGGGTTAACCACGGTCTCCTGTTCCTCAGATGTTACCAGGAAGAGACAGAGACCACTCCTAGGACATTCTGGGGATTCAACGAGTTGATCTTGAGTTCTACAACACGCCTCGGCCACGGTGCCGCTCAGTAAATCCGTACCACATCCCTCCTGCACGATGTCATTTGCTAGATGCTGTATTCTGTAGAAACCACACTCATAAGCACTCTCAGAAATTAGCAAATTAAAGGAGGCAGGTGGACATGTGCAGTCCAGGGGACATAGCGGCAGGGAAAAGGTGAACGGAGACAAACCTGCCAAGAAGCCTGCAAGGCCCGCACCTGACCTCTCCTTACAGCAGCAGGGCCAGGGCATGGGCTGCAGGGGTGGGGTGATGGGAGGCGGTGAGGTCGAGGGGGTTGGGGGTGCTGAGGGGTGAGGATAGAGGGATTGGGGGGGTTGGGGTATGGTGAGGTTAGGGGGGCTTGGGGGCATCAGAGGGCAGAGAGGCCAGGGGTGTCGGGGGCCGGCTGCCTGTGGGGCTGGCAGTGCAGTGAGGGCAGGGGTGGCCAGGCTGTGCACCTTCTCCCCATCCCCTTGGACCCTAGATCTGTGCCTCTCTTCCTGCTCCACCCTCTCTCACTCTGAGTGAGACGCTGCTCGGCATCCGAGCTGGAAAGGGGCTGCACAGGAAGCAAGGCCAGAGGAAGGATGGGCATGGTACGCGGCACCTCCCAGAACACAGCGGGGCGTGGGCTCATGTGTATTTCATGAAGAAGCCCGGCTGCAGTGAGGGGGGCTGAGCAGGATGGGCTATGGACAGGGGGGCTGTGGACGGTGAGGGGGTGGATGGGGGGGGGCCGTGGACGGGTGGGTGGAGGACGGGGGGCCATGGACAGGCGGGTGGTGGACAGGTGGGTGGTGGATGGGTGGATGGTGGACGGGCAGGCAGGGGGGCTGTGGACAGGTGGGTCATGCATGGGCAGGTGGTGGATGGGCAGGCTGTGCACGGTGGGCTGCGGACACAGGACGCCAGGTGAGGGTTTAAGAGACTTGGGAAAGCCAGGTCTAAGGTCCATCTCTGGGAGACCTATTTTAGTTTCCCCAGGAAGGAGTCAATTGGCAAATGACTAACAGAAAATCCTCACTAAACAGTTTCTGAGAAAAGAATGAACCTGGATGCTTACCTTATACCACATACGAAATTTAACTCAAAATGGATCAAAAACCTACAAATAAGACCTGAAACTAAAACTCTCAGAAGAAAACATGAGGAAACACTTCAAGACATTGGATTTGTCAATGAATTTTTAGCTGTAAAACCAAAAGCACAGGCAACAAAAGAAGAATAAAAGATAAACCGGACTTCATCGAAATCTAAAACATGGCCAGGCGCAGTGGCTCACACCTGTCATCCCAGCACCTTGGGAGGTTGAGGTGGGAGAATCACTTGAGTCCAGGAGGTCTTGAACATCATGAGATTCCATCTTTACAAAAAAAATAAAAAATTAGCAGGGTGTGGTGGTGCGCACCTGTGATCCCAGCTACTTGGGAGGCCGAAGCAGGAGGATCCCTTGAGCCCAGGAGTTCAAGGCTGTAGTGAGCCATGGCTGTGCCACTGCACTGCAGCCTGGGTGACAGAGTGGGACCTGGTCTCAAAAAAAAAAAAAAAAGGCACTGGCGAGCTTAACCGTACACGCCAAACACCCTCAATTCGTGCATTTACCACTGCCGGGCCGGCGGAGAGGCTCCCGAGGATGGCAGAGGGACAGCAGGGTGAGAGGCACGAGGCGAGGCAGCTGAGATGCGTGGTGCAGGTGGGGGCAGATTTCCAAACAGAACGTGGCCTGGTGCACAGTGGAGTATTAGCCACAAAAAGGAAGAAAGGGCAGATTCATGCAACAACACGGATGGACCTTGAAACAGGACACCAAGTGACAGAAGCCAGACACGGGAACCACACACTAATGAGTCTGTTCCCATGAAGTGTCCAGCACAGGCGAGCGCACAGACAGCAGACGAGCCGCCGTCGGGGCTGGGGGAAGACGGAACTTGGGGAAAAGAAGGAAACTGGTTCGAAGGGGTTTCTTTGGGGGTGATGAAAGGCCCCCTAATGAGACAGTGGTGATGGCCGCACAACTCTGTAAATACACTAAAAACCACCGAACTGTGCACTTTTAAATGGTGATAAAATTGTGAATTTTATGTTATGTAAATTATATCTCTAATTTGAATGTTATGTAAATTATCTCTCTAATTTGAATGCATAACGAAATAGAAAATTTTAATGTATGTGACTTGTCTTATACCAAAAGATGCAGACATATCTACTTGTTTTATTAAAAAGTATCTACTTATTACTTATTAGTAAATACTTATCCAGCATTTTCTGATGCTGAAGTTGAAAATAGTTCCTTCAACTCCAAGTCTGGGAATTAAGGTGCTGTCATTTGTATCCAGAACAATTTGAAATAAATTTAGCAGCCATCTACCATTAGCTGTCAGCTCACATGTGCTGGGGAATTGGAGCAGGTGGCGGGGAGGAGCTGGGTAAGGAAAACGCTGGCTGAGGCTGACCTGGGGTGGCTCAGACAGCGGGAAATGAGATCTCTAAGTTCAGTCAGGAGAAGTCGGCGGACACGGGGGACACCTGGTGGGCATGGTGACTCCTGATCTGTCCGGTGGAAAAGAACATTTTCTGCACTTCTGAGACATTCCTGTGTCAGGAGATTTTCATTAATAGTTTTTTAAATCAGCAAATAAGAGAGAGGCGCCTGGCAGTCCTCCCAGAAGAGCTGGCCCTATTCCGAGGGACCTGGGAGGGGAGGGCACCCCCCTTTCCAAAGCAGCCAGGCCCCCGCACTGCTGAGCCCGACAGAAATCCAAGAGGGCAGGTGGCTGTGGGAGAGGAGGGGCTCTGAGAACAAGAACAAAAGGGCAAGAACGCAATTAGGATGCACACCCGTGGTCACGCAAGGTGCCAACAGAACAGCTGACAGCCGGCAGTGCAGACTCACACGCCGTGACTTCCCGAGATGTGTTTCTAGAGAGCGGCACCAAAGATAAGGCTTGAAAACGAGGCATTCAATGCTAAACGAATGTTTCCAGGCTTGGGGGGCTCACCAGAGGCCCACCCTGGCATGCACTGAGCAGAGAACAGCTGATCCTCAGAAGCTTCCGTCGCACGGGCGTGGCTGCCCTCAACTCACAGACAGATCTCTTCCAGCACCCCCCATGGGGAGCCCTGTGGGAACAGACCAGCTCCAGTCCAACTGCTCCTGGATTAAAAAGCAATTTTACCACTTGGGGAATGTGCACCAGGAGACTGTCTCCTAATGGGTAAGGAAGATCCGATTTCTCATCAGGTCGTGTTTTCATGTCTACAGGAGCACATGAGAGAGCCTGGTGTAAGAGGATCTGATGGCCAACGTGTCCAAGGCATTGGAGCAAGAGCAACTCCATTGTGAATAGAGGCTGGCTAAGATGAGGCTGAGGCCCTCTGAGCTGCGTTCCCAGACGGTCAGGCATTCTTAATCACAGGATGAGACAGGAGGTCGGCACAAGATACAGGTCATAAAGACCTTGCTGATAAAACAGCTTGCAGTAAAGAAGCCGGACAAAACCCACCAAAACCAAGACGGCCACAAGAGTGACCTCTGGTCGTCCTCACTGCTACACTCCTACCAGCACCGTGACAGTTTACAGATGCTGTGGCAACATCAGGAAGTTACCCTATATGGTCTAAAAAGGGGAGGCATGAATAATCCACCCCTTGTTTAGCATATCATCAAGAAATAACCATAAAAATGGGCAACCAGCAGCCCTTGGGGCTGCTCTGCCTATGAAGTAGCCATTCTCTTATTCCTTTACTTCCCTAATAAACTTGCTTTCACTTTATGGATTCACCTCAAATTCTTTCTTGTGCGAGACCCAAGAGTCCTTTCCTGGGGTCTGGGTGGGGAGCCCTTTCCAGTAATAAACATGAGAGGGACAGAGAATGCCAGAGAGCTTCCTGTTGGGACTGGGATGGCTGGAGGGCATCACAGCACTGGTTTCGAACACTGAACGGAGAACTGCCATGCAACAAGAACCTGGGCACATCAGACCCCTGCAGGCACCCTCGGGACCCACAGATCGCACACTCGATGGGCGCTCGCAGGACGTGAATGGCATCTCGGTAACGCCAAGCTCCACCCCAGAGCCACAGGGTGCCTTTCACCAGGCTACGGAGCCTCCTGGGCCACACTGCTCAGGGACATTCTGCAGGGGAGGAAATTGCTCTTTTTTTTTTTTCATGATTCTTGTATGAATTCTAATTAAGAAACATTACATTCAGAATTATAGCACTCACAGTGATAGTTTTCAGAAGACTGTAACAGCTTCTTTGCTACTTAAGGGGTACAGACGGTGCAGCTGCTTACCTGAATGACTTCTTAAATGAGTGACTACCACCACTCTAATTTTCCTAGTTGTAGCTCTGTTACAGGTTACTGACCACAAGTGTTGGCAAAGAAACTGTTCTTTTAAGCACTTTGGCGCTCCCTGGAGTGACGGCCATTCCCAGCAGCTAAACTGTATCATACTCCCACTTTAACTCTGTGACTGTTTCAGTATTTTTAAAAATACAAATCGACTCTCCAGGAAAAAACAAAAAAACGAAAAAACTTCTCACTTCCTTCAAATCCCTGGTCCAGGCTCACCTGACCTCCTGCAAGCTGCCCTTCAGGGCAGGTCCCAGCCCTACCTGCTGCGTCTGCTTCTCCACCCCACTCCAGCTGAGCAGGCAGAGCCTGTCCTTGGAAACGGCCCGGCCACCTGGGAGGGAACAAACAGGCACTGCCCAGACCCGGAGCTGCAGGCAGGGCTCAGCAGGACCCCAGGCGGGCACACAGGGGCTCATCTGGAGGGACCTGAGGGGCACAGGCTACAGTCGGGAGAGCCCCGGGCAGGCACACAGGGGCTCATCTGGAGGGACCTGAGGGGCACAGGCTACAGTCAGGAGAGCACAGACAAGAGGCCCCCGAGGCCACCAGGGCCGACTTTTACTTTATCCTAAGGATCAGGGACGCAAAAGGATTTTAACAAAGACGGCCACACCACCTGCTGCAGAATGAGTATAAATGCCCTTCTTAGCCTTCGAGGCCGGCACTGGCCTCGCTGACCCCTCTAATCCTGCCACCTGTGCAGCAGGCGGCAACAGGGACAGGCAGACGACACAGCTGGGGCCAGAGGACGACGCAGAGAGACCCACATCAGAGACCCTCGGGGAGTGACAGAGCCCCCGCCCCAACCCCAGTGAGTGGGACAGGCTGAGTGGGGACTGAGCACGTCTAGGGCCAGAGTGGGAGGGCCAGCCGTGCCGGCTTCCAAAGAGGACCCCGGGAAACAAACACCCTCCCACTCGGCAAGGACAAATCAAGCAACTGCCGAGACAGGTGTCCGCGTCCCAACCCAAGGCTGCCCAGACAGACAAGCGCTCACCGCCGCACTGCCCTAACAGCTGCTGAGACACATTCCTGCAGCCGCCTCAGCTAGAGCCAGGGAGGCCCTGGGAGAATGGCCTTGCCTGCTCTCAGCCTCCTCTCATCTTCAGGAGCCTTTTCCCCCCTTTACCCTAACTGACATCTCCGGGCCCCTCATTTGCTCAGAGTCTGCTCAGTGGGGCACCCAACGGTGGACAGGTGAGAGAGGTGAGGGGCTGGGCTGTCACCGCGGCCAAGGGAGCCATGGCCCTCCAGCCTGAACGGCTTCTGCCCGAAATCAGGACACAAACACAGCATCATACACAGCAGAAACAGCCCAGAAAGGCCCCAGCCCAGATGGCACTGGAATAAACAGTTTTCCCCAAGTCACTTTAAAATGAAAGTTTTGGGCTACCTACTTCTAAAGAGGACTTCAGGACAGTTCCAGGAGTTCCTCCATGACACACCCCATGGAGAATGCTTGGCTGCTGCGTTTACTCAATGTAGCCATTGAACAGAAACTCAAGAGCGTTGCTCTGCCAGCCTGAAACCTTCTTCATGCTTCCAGCCATCAGGGTTTCAGCCAGGTCAGAAACAACAGAGGCAGTAGGCTCTTCCAGAACAGCAGTGTGAGGCTCTCCACAGACCCTCTCCAGCAACATCACTGCCAGTGGTGAACATTACAAACAGCACCCACTTAAAGTCCCTAACGTGTCTTAGGGACACACGGCGAATGGAGAAACGCTTATCCAAGAAAACCACCTAAGTGGCAGCAGGAACAGCAACTTCGTGACACTTGGGCCACAACCTGCTTCCCCATCCCCATGTGACAAAAGCTCTACTCCCAGCAGGCAACCGAGAAGACAGGCTCCCTCTCCCCCAGTGCCACTGCAGCAGTGGCGGGCACCCGAGCTCTTCATCGCCTGCTCAGCTCCTGTCTGCCCAGGCTCCCTTCCTCCACTCAGCCCCCACCCATGGCGCAGGGGCAGAGGACACTGAGCATCCCTTGTCCCTGCCTCAGCTTGCTCACTGGGAGAGGTTCCACACAAGCAGGGGCAAACTAAGAAGACCAGAGGCAACAACTCACTTCCCATGCAGCACTCAGAGCAGAGCTGTCACCCTCAGAGGACCAGAGGTTCTGTCCTGGGGATGGCGGTATCAGGATAGAGAGCTCCGTAGCTCTCCCTAGAGGGACTCCCTGCTTAGAGCAGGTACAAGTTCAAGTGTAAGGATGCTAACAAAAACAACAGAGACCTCGGCAGCCAGCAACTAAGAGGAGCTAGAAGCTCCATGATGAGCTCAAAGTTTATCAAACAGAACCAGAAAGGACAACCAAGAGGAGCACTCCTGGGAACAGAACCACCACCAAACACTGGCCCCAATGGCCACCCTGCCCAGCTGTGGGGAATACATCCCCCAGGGCATCATCAAATCAGCCAGCAGCCATCAATGAGTGGAGGCCAACAGCTGGTTTGACCACCAGAAGCTTAACGGGAAGATCAGGGAGGGTCACAGCCAGCCAGAACCACCACATCTGAGGGAGAAGAGGCCCAGAGACTGCACTAGTCCAGCCAAATCACAAAACAAACAAGCAAACAGTAAGTCATCCTTCCCCCAAGTGGGGGAATCTGTATCCACAGCTGCTACTATAGTTTACCTAAAATGTCCAGCTTGCAACAAGAAAACAAAATGAGTTATACAAAGAAACAGAAAAGTGTGGTTCACACAGGAAAAAAATAATAAGCAGGACACAAACTGCTTTTGAAGAGGCACAGGTGTTGGACTCAGTAGAAGAAGACTTTAAAATAGCTATTATAAATATGTTCAAATAACTAAAGGGATCCATGCATAAAGAATTAAAAGAAAATATGATGACAACAACTGATCACATAGAGGTTATCAATAAAGAGACAGAAATTCTAAAAAAAAAGAACCAAGTGGAAATTCTGGCATTGCAAAGCACAACTAAAATTTTAAAACTCACTATAAGGGCTCAACAACAGACTGAGCTGGCAGAAGAATCAGTGAATTCAAAGAAATATCAATAAAGACTATGCAACCTAAAGAACAAACAGAAAACAGAATTAAGAAAAAAGAACACAGTCTCAGAGAAAGGTGGGATGACAGGAAAGGGCACCGGCACATGCAGAATGGGTGAGATTGTGGAGAGGAGAGAGGGGAGCAGAAAAAAAAATTCAAGGAGATAATGACTTTTGAAAACTTCCCAAATATGATGAAAATATTAATCCACATACCCAAGAAGCTCAACAAATTGCAAACCTGATAAAGAGATCCACACCCTGACACATCACAGTCTAAATGATGAATGTCAAAAAACAAAGACAAAATCTTGAAAGTAGCAAGAGAAAAATAATTTATCACTTACAAGGAAACCCCAATAAGATTAACAGCTGACTTCTCATCAGAAACAATGGAGTCCAGAGGGCAGTGGAATAACATATTCAAAGCACTGAAAAGAAAAAAAAATCATCAACCAAGATTCTTACATCTAGTAAAACTTTTTTTAAAAAATAAGGGGAAAACAAAGATTCCCAGATAAACAAGAACTGAGAAAATCTGTTGCTAGTAGGCAGACCTTACAGAAAACAAATTTTTCATGCTGAAAACAAGAAACATCAGACGCAATTCAAATCCACATAAAAAAAGAGTACAGGTAAAGACAATGATGTAAGTTATTATAAAAGATGATATCGGTCACATGTCTTCTCCTTTCCTCTCTTAGTTGACTTAAAAAGTAACTGCATGAAACAATATGCATTGTATTGTTTGGGGGCCTTTAACATAAAGAAATGTAATATATTTGACAATAATATTAATAGCACAAATGAGATGGGATCAAAACTGTATTAGAGAAAGAAAATGACTGTAGATGGTAACTCAGTCTCAGAAAGAAATGAAAGGAACCACAAATGGTAAATAAGGTTAATATAATAACTCCATAATATATGTTTGTTCTCCTTTCTTTTCTCAAGTTCTTGAATGACATAAAATGTATATAAAGGAACAATCAGAAAAATATATTGTTAGGTTGTAATATATGTAGACAAAATATGTATAATAATCATACCATTTAAAAAGGGAGGAGGAAATCGAACCATGTAGGAGTAAGGTTCCTGTCACTGGAATTAAGTTAGTATAAATTTGAAGTAGATTCTGATAAGTTAAGATGAATATTGTAAGCCTTCAAGTAACTACTAAGAAAATAATTCAGAAAACATTATTTAAAGAAATTAAAATGTTACATTAGAAAATATTTACTTAATACAAAAGAAAGCTGTAAAGGAGCAACAGCTAAGGGGAAAAGGCATAGGATATACAGAAACCAGAAAGTAAAGTAGCAGATGTAAATCTGAACATATTATAACATTAAGTGTGAATGAAATAAACAATCAAATCAAAGGGCAGAATTGCCAGAATGGATTTTTTTTAAAGATCCATCGTATGTATACAGAAGACTCATTTTAAATTCAAAGACATAAAAAAGTTAAAAGTAAAACAATGGAAAGAATATATCAAATGGCAACCACAGGAGACATGCATGTGATGACACTAACGTCAGAAGACACAGATGTCAAAAGAGAAAATATGCATATACGTCCCTAACAAACAACAGTGCCCCAAAATACATCAAACAAAAACTGACAGAAGTGAAAAGAGAAAAAGATAATTCAAAAATAGTTACAGACTTCCACACCCACATTTAGTAATGGACGTAACAACTACACAGAAGAACAATAAATCATAGACTTGACCTAACAGACAACCCTCCACCTTCACCCAACCACAGCAAAATGCACATTGAATATTCTCCAGGACAGATCATATGCTAGGCCATAAGATGTGCCTCTATTTAAAAGTACTGGAATCTGGCTGGGCGTGGTTGCTCATGCCTATAATCCTAGCTCTTTGGGAGGCTGTGGTGGGTGGGTGCCCTGAGCTCTGGAGTTTGAGACCAGCCTGGTAAACATGGTGAAAACCCTGTCTCTACAAAAAATACAAAAAAAATTGGCCAGGGACGGTGGCACACACCTATAGTCCCAGCTACTTGGGAGGCTGAGGCACAGGAATTGCTTGAACTCAGGAGGCAGAGGTTGCAGTGAGCCAAGATCACACCACAGCCAACAGAGCAAGATTCTGTCTCCAAATATTAAAAATAAATAAATAAAAGTACTGGAATAATACAGAGTATATTCTACAATTATAATGGAAATAAATTTGAAATCGATAACAGAAGACATTTTGGGATATTCACAAATATGTGGAAGTTAACACATTCCTAATAAGTGGGTCAAAGAAGAAATCTTGGAGTAAATTTTAAAATACTTTTAGGTGCATGAAAACAAAAACACAACACACCAAAGTATAGGATGCAGGTAAAGCACCTGCTTAGAGAGAAATTATGGCTGTCAATAACTACATTAAAAAGGAAGAAAGAAAAAAAATCAATGTTCTAACCTCCACCTTAAGAAAAAGAGTAAATTAAAACCAAAGCAAGCATAAGGAATGAAAGAATATTGGAGTGAAATAAAACACAGAATAGAAAAACAATAAAGAAAATGAACAAAACCAAAAATTGGTTCTCTGATAGGCAATGTGGATGTGTTGTGTTAAAAAAAGAAAGAAAGAAAGAAAGAAAAGAAAAAGAAACACCTTTTAAAAAGTTGGTTATTTGACCAGAACAAAAAATTGACAAATTTTTAGCTAGACTGACCAAAAAAAGAAAGGAAAGGAGGGGATCAAATTACTAAAGTCAGGAATAAAAGAGGAACCATTACTAATGACTTTCCAGAAATACAAAGGATTATAAGGGAATACTAAGAAAAATTATATGTCAACAAATTAGATAACTTGGGTGAAATGGAAAAATTCCAATACAAACTACCAAAACTGACTTACAAAGAAACAAAAAATCTGAATAGACTTATAACAAGAGATTGAATTCGTAATTTTAAAACTTCCCACAAAGAAAAGCCCAAGCCCAGATGGCTTCACTGGATAACTCTAAAAATATTTAAAGAGAAATTAGTGTCAACCCTTTGCAAACTCTAAAAAGATAGAAAAGGAGGGGAACATTTCCCAACTTATTCTATAAGGCCAGTATTATCCTAATACTAAATCTAGACAAAGTCATCACAAGAAAACTACAGACCATCATGTCTTACGAATACAGATACAAAAAATCCCCAATACAATACTAGCAAATAAAATCCAGCAACAGATAAAAAGTGTTAGACACCATGACCACATGGATTTATCCCAAGAATGCAAGGTTGGTTCAACACACAAAAATCAATCAATGTAGTACATCATCATAGTAGAATAAAAAATAAAACCCACATGATCATCTCAACAGACACGAAAAGCATTTGGCAAACTCTTTTATTATAAAAACACCCAACAAACTCGAATAAAAGGGAACTGCCTTAACCTAATGAAGGGCAACTATGGAAAATCCATTAACTAACATCTACTTAGTGATGAAAGATGGAATGCTTTCTCACTAAAATGAAGAATAAGATAGGTGCATCCACTCTCACCGCCTATAACCAGGATAAGCAATAAAAAGAAATAAAAGCAACTACATTGGTAAGGAAGAATTAAAACTATATTTGCAAATGACAGAATCATATATAGAGAATCTACTAAACAACTCTTAGAACAAACCAGTTCAGCAGAATTGCATGATACAAGATCAACATGCAATGATCAATTACATTTCTATAAAGTAGCAATGAAGCAGCAGAACTGAAATTAAGAAAACAATTCCATTTACAATAGCATCAAAAAGGATAAAATACTTTGGAATAAATTTAACAAAGTCCAAAATTTGTCATCTAAATTTTTCTCCTCCCTTCCTGTCTCCCTCCTGCTTCCCCTTCCCGCCCCCATCTCCCCACACACAGAAGAGCATGGACAGGCTTCTAGTAACTACTTCATGCTTGAAAACAGCAGAGCTAGGAGTTGATTAGTTTGCTGTAGACTCGGCCACGCTTGGTAAAGATGACGCACGCACATGCACAGATGGAAGCAACAACAGGAGGAAGTACAGCTGCAGGAATGAAGCAAAAGGAACGTGCTGCGGACAGTGCACGCGCAGGGTACATACCCAGGAAGGACCGCCTGGGGGCAACCTTGACTTCTTCATCCTTGCTATCTGCAGCTACACGTTAAAAAGGGAGACAGAAACAGAAAGGGGAAAAAGACAGAAACATACTGGTTTTAACATGGGTAAACAGCTGTGTTCCCAGAACTTTTTGCATTTCTTTAAAAAAAAAAAAACAAACCAGAATAGAAAGATCACAAGATTTTGGTTTTTGTGCATTAGAAAACCCACTTTCTGAACTATTTTTCTGCAAACCTAACCTCTTCCAATATCATAAAAAAGTGAATGGGGAGAATGGGAGAAAAATTGAGCCAAAAATTGAAAGTTACCACATTTCCATTTAATCTCTCGGGAGAAAGGCAGCATGGGAGCCCGTCACAAGCGTGCTGTGCTGATGGAAAGCAGCCAGGCAGATCCTGCTTCCCTTTTCCTAGAAACTCATCTGTATGCAAGCTGCGGCTGCAATATAGCTGCCCCAGGTCAAAACTCTTCAGAAGGCTGCCTGATAAAGCTGTTTTCAGAGTACACTCTGCTGTAAAAGGACAGCTGGTTCCGCACATGCACTTGACAAGCACCTCTGCACAGACACAGACACAGGGACAATGTGACAGGGACCCAGCACCCTCCAGGGCCCAGCACTGGCAATGACAGGTTATAAGTCAACCTTCCTATCTGCGCAGCCCCAGGACAAGACAGCAGCCAAGGTCCTGGAAAACAGTGTGGCCTCTAGGTGGCTCCTGGGAAGCCCCATGGGGTTTGGGATTGAAGACAGTTGATAAACAAGAGACTCAAATAAGTCCTGGGATCAGAAAGCAGAAGTAGGATCAAAGGTTGTGTTTGCCTGCCCCAGGCAATGTAGACTTAAAATGGAAATTTTGCAAGTGAACAGCTAAAAGCAAATACGAGGTGACCTCTGACCTCTGCCCTCTGCTACTTGGACTTAGGGTGTTGTTCCACTCACAAGGCAGGAACTGCAATATCTCTACCAAATTTGAGGGTTTTATAAACCAATGCAGCATACAAAGTGCAGTCTTCTCTCCTCCCTCAGCCTCCCCCAGCACTGCCTCTTGGATTCTATGGGTCCCTCAGCTCGTCCTCTCTGTTGCTTTGATTTAGACAACATCCCTCTCCACGGGCGCCTCTTCTAAAGACCAAGATCCTCAAGGGGTGGGAGGGAGGGACCACCCAAGGCAGGACTGCTCAGTCCACACTGTTTCCCTTCTCACATCCAGGTGTGACTGTGAACAGGCAATGGTGGGAGGCAGCCAGCCGGCAGGCTGGGGAAGAAGACATGGTTCAGGCTGCAGAGTCACATCCCACACCAGGCTGTGTCCTAGGCACAGCCTCAAGCTACCTGAGGCTCCTTGCCTGGAAAGCAGTGTGATCAGATCCACGTTTGTGTAGGATGGAATGCAGAGTTCTGATGCTGAGAGAGCTGCCAGGAACATTTTCAACAGTCACACACTTCCACAGATCTGTGCTGAACACGTCCTCCAGACCAGGCACTCAGGATCCAAAAAGGGCCCAGCAACATTTTCCTTTTCCTCCACACTCGGCATCAGGAGGTGGTGTCAGTGTCTTCTCCCCTTGATCATGGGTGGGCTTGTGACCACTCCAGTCCACAGAAGCAATGCTGTGATTTCCAAGACTTAGGTCATAAAAAAGATACAGCTTCCACCTGCTTTCTCAGGTAGCTCCCCCTTGGGACCTGGCCGCCATGTTGTGAGGAAGCCCAGGTCTCATGAGGAGGCCTTGGTGGGTGTCCCAGCAGAGCCTGGGTGGAGGTCCCAGCAGATAGATGGCTAGCACCAGCCATGCCAAAGAGCGAGTGAGGGAGAGAGAGAGAGAGAGAAAAAGCAAGAGAATGAGCTTCAAGGGCTGCAGCCCTAGCCTTTGAGCCTCCCCAGATGCTCCTGAGGACAGCAGAGACCAGCTATTCTTGCCAAGCTCTGCCCAAAATGCACTCACAAGCAAAATAATTGTTGTCCTTCCAAGTCCTAAGATTTGGGGTAACTTGTGGAGTAGCCAAAGAGACTGGAACAAGAGAGACACAACAAGTTATGGTTCCACATGGCCAGCAGGAAGGAGGCTGGCTGGGCCACAGAGGCCATCACCTGCTTCCTGGGACTTTGGTCCATGTCACGACTGGAGACCACTGCTGTTGGCACATGAAGGAAGGTTTGCACTGTACCCTGTCGGTACGGCGTGTATGGGGAGTGCAGGGGTGATAGTGACAGGGAGGTGCCAGACAGCCTGGGACCAGGGAAGAGCACATGATCACAGTGGCCCAGGCGAGCCCCCAATGGGAGGTACACAGGCAGATACAGGGATTCCTAATGTGACGTCCAAGAATCTCAATAAACCCCTGAAAATGCATGCAAGATGGCACATGACCCCTACATACAACACATTTTCCAGCTTTCTTGAATTATAACTAACTCACCTGTTTAAAGTGTACAATTCAATGGTTTTTAGGATATCCACAGTTGTGCAAACACCATCACTATCTAATTTCAGGACATCTTCAGCACCCCAAAAAGAAACCCTTGACTAACCAGCAGCCACTCCCTCTCCCTGGCCTCCAGCCTGGAACTGAGTGTTGAGATTTGGGACAAATTTCAAGTAAATTCAACCACCTGACTTTGAGCCACAGACAATTATTTCTCAAATAACCCCTAAGAGGAACTTAAAAGGAAAAAAGTACATGATAAAACAAAGTTAAACTTTATAAAAGCAATATTTAAAATGAAACAAATGACCCCGTGTATCCAGTTGCTGGTGCACCCCTGACAAGGTGCGTTTGTTTCCTGGTGACGTATCATGCAGCAGCGACCTGACCTCCGTTCCCAGCGGGAAGTGTCCTGAGGATGTGCAATCCTGAGCATATAAACCTCCACCCCCAATAAAACAAACGTTTTCAGTAACCGGGAGGCCGGCGCTGGCATGGTGACCCTCAGACTGCCGTGCACAGAGAGGGCTAAGGGAGGCATGAGGATGCCACATTCCATTATTTGTGGGGTCCTTGAGGGCAGAAGGGAGGCAGAGCTCAGGCTAAGCGACACAGCCAGGCCTGGAGGTTTGAAGTCAAATGGAAAGAATTGGTGTCCACTCATGAAGTATTTCACCTCACCAAAAAAAACTCCCTAGCTCCATCCACTGAAAAAGCCAAAAAATCAACCTGTAGGCCAACCCTCACACATGCCTAGGCCGTGGTCTCCAAACACTGTGTCCCAGATACCAGAGCTCCTTGGAGAAACGACGGATTCTAGGTCTGGGGCAGGAGATGTAGCCGCCACACGAGCACCCTGTTATACCAGGATCCTGTGTAGAAGCGAGACCCCTCATGCTGGGTCGAAAGGGCCCAGCAGCATCTGACGCGGCTCCCCGGCCAGAGGGAAGAACTGGAGCATTAACAAGCGTAATAATCCAGTAACACACCAAACGTCCAACTCACATGTTCAGAATGACTCAGAAACATGCACTCATCATTGCAAGATGCTAGGGAACCAACTTTGAAAACTGGTAAAGAGACCCGCATTTCCTTTATAAATTACACCTGTGGATAGCTGAACAATGGGTACCCGCCCATTTCTCTGCAGAGGGGCTCCAGCTAACAGACAACAAACATCCTGCAGCCCCTGATGAGCTGACGGCCTCAGCATGAGCCCCACAGTGGCCGCTGACCACACGCACCTCCGACGGAACGACGCAACCATCCTGCGAAACACAAGAACCAAACCTGGATCCGATAGGGCCTCAGGGTCCGCTATCTTTTTAAAATGCTCTTTCACAGAAAGAGCCAAGGACAGAACACCTTGTCCTTGTCCACATCCCAGGGACATAAAGACACGAGGAAACACCAGGAGTGCCATCTCCACTGCAGGGCTTCCCAAAACTCAGCCTGCAGGAGTACTCAGCAATCTTGTTAAAAATGCAGGTGGCACTGATGCCGCAATACAGACCACGGGCAAAGTTGAGAGGAGCTAAGGGAGAACCCACGGATTTTTAAACAACAAAATCGTATATACTGCCAGACACAGGGGCTCACACCTGTAATCCCAACGCTTTGGGAGGCTGAGGTGGGAGGATCGCTTGGCTTGAACCCAGGAATTCAAGGTGATAATGAGCTTTGATAACACCACTGCACTCCAGCCTGGGCAACAGAGTGAGACCCTGTCTCAAAAAAAAAAAAAAGAAAGAAAGAAAAAAGAAAAACCTGCAGGAAGGAGACCTGAATGCAACTGTGGGTCCAATCACCCTCGGGACTTTATGCCACCCTACCTACTTGGTAAACGCTTGAAATTCTCCATAATGCAAAGTGAAAGGTAAAAAGAAATAACCCAGCACACGAGAGACAGGTGTGCACTCACTCCCAACCGCAGTCAGCCATGGCCTGGCCGAAGAGGCTCAGCTCCGCCCAGGGGTTGCACCGTGCTGATGCCAGCCCTGCCTTCCTCAGGCTGGGCACTCGGGGCCCTGTGGGACATCTCCCTCCAGTGAGGGGCTCTGACCCTGACTCACAGCAAAAAGGGCTTGGGAAAACATCTCAGTGGAATGAGGGTTTCTTTTTAAAGTCTGATCATAATTTTGAAAATTATGCCAATTTTGTGAAAGGCGACTGTAGAAGAAAAAAGGAAGAGACTTGGAAAGCATGCCACGAGGTTCAAAGTAGTCACCTCTGGAGGGTGGGGTGGAGGCTGTTTTTTTGTTTTGCTTTGTTTTGTTTTTTAAGATGGAGTCTCACCCTGTGGCCCAGGCTGGAATGCAATGGCCCAATCTTGGCTCACTGCAACCTCCACCTCCAGGGTTCAAGTGATTCTCCCACCTCAGCCTTCTGAGTAGCTGGGATTACAGGCATGCGCCACCACGCCCAGCTAACTTTTTGTATCTTTAGTAGAGACGGGGTTTCACCATGTTGGCCAGGATGGTCTCGAACTCCCGACCTCGTGATCCGCCCACCTCGGCCTCCCAAAGTGCTGGGATTACAGGCATGAGCCGCTGCGACCGGCCAGAAGCTGTTTTACTTTATATTCTGTCTTCCCCAAATGTCTACCATGAGCATGCACTGTTCTTTATAATCAGACAACAAATTATGTATCTAATTTTTTAAGTAACCTACTCTTTCTTAATACCATTTATGTTTCTTTTATATTAACTTTCAAACTGAATTTGTGACCTTCAAAACTTAAAATCCCTATAAAAGATAGCTGGAAAACATTTCCGCTTTTATTTCATTAGGTCGTCTGACCATCCATGAGCACAGTGAAATGCAGCTATTCAAACGTTTCCTCATAAGTTATTTTCATGTCCTCATCGGTCTGCCAAGAATTGTGCCTCTCAAGGCCCATGATCCCCCTTGGCATGTCCTCACCCTCAGGGTGAGGCTCAAGAATGTACTTGGCAAAAGCAATAATTGACAAAGGGGATCTAATTAAACTAAAGAGCTGCTGCATAGCAAAAGAAACTATCAACAGAGCAAACAGACAACCTACAGATGGGAGAAAATTTTTGCAAACTACGCATTTGACAAAGGTCTAATATCCAGCAACTATAAGGAACTTAAATTTACAAGAAAAAAATGAATAACCCCATTAAAAAGTGGGCAAAGGACATGAACACTTTTCAAAAGAAGACATACATGCGGCCAACAAGCGTATGAAAAAAAGCTCAACATCACTGATCATTAGAGAAACGCAAATCAAAACCACAATGAGATGCCGTCTCATACCAGTCGGAATGGCTATTAATAAAAAAAAATAACAGATGCTGGTGGGGTTGTGAAGAAAAAGGAACACTTACATACTGTTGGTGGGAGTGTAAATTAGCTCAACCATTGCAGAAGATGGTGTGGTGATTCCTCAAAGACCAGAAATACCATTCAACCCAACAATCCCGGTACTGGGTATAAACGCCAGGAATATAAATCGCTCTACTATAGACACATGCACACATATGTTCACTGCAGCACTATTCACACTAGCAAAGACTTGGAATTAACCTAAATGCCCATCAATGAAAATCATCTAGATTTTCTTCTGGATGAAGCAAATGTGGTACGTATACACCACGGAACACTATGCAGCCATAAAAGAGAACAAGATCGTATCCTTTAGAGGAGCACAGATGGAGCTGGAGGCCATCATCCTTAGCAAACTAACACGGGAACAGAAGACCAAATGCCGCATGTTCTCACGTGTAAGTGGGAGCTAAATGATGAGAACACATGGACACACAGAGGGGAACAACAGCCACTAGAGCCTGTCGGGGGGTGGAGAGCAGGAGGAGGGAGAGGACCGGGAAAAATAACCAGTGGGTACTAGGCTTAATACCTGGGTGATGAAATAATCTGCACACTGGCCGGGCGCAGTGGGTCACGCCCGTAATGCCAGCACTTCGGGAGGCCAAGGTGGGTGGATCACTTGAGGTCAGGAGTTCAGGAGTTAGAGAAATAATCTGTACACTAAACCCCCGTGACAAACAATTTACCTATATAACAAACCTGCACATGTACCTGAACTTAAAAGCTTAAAAAAAAAAACAGAACATGTTCAGAGCCAACAACCTTCCCTTAAAGGTGACGCCGCTGACAGGAAGACAAGGCTGGCCACCTTGCTTGGCATGGGGCTGTGCTGCAGGAGCTACCGATCGGGCGGCCAGAAGCCAGAGCTTTCAGTCTGAACTCCAGTGATGTTCCTGCCTTGCCCTCCCCTCTCCTGGCAGATGAGAGGACATGAGCCCACACCTTTCATCAAGACGCCCTGCAGGAACAGGCCTGGCCCATCCACCAAGGGGACGTGGACATGTATAAACTCAAACCGGACTCCAATATTAAGAGTGCTGCAGAGGTAAATCTTGAGAATTCTTTAACACACACAGCTACACCCCAGGACACAGAGCTCAAGAGCGGATGTCCCACTTGAGGTCATTTGGGGCCCAGGAGTCATGCAGCTTGGTTCTCAGTCCTCCCCGGGGGAGGGCAGGCACAGGTCACCCAGGCTGACCCCAGGAGCCCGGCCCCCTACCCCTCGTGGCGGCCCTGGACTGCTTCCCAAATACTCCAGGCCTGAGGAAAGGGTGCCCCAGCTTCCTATCGCCTCCATAACAAGGTACCACAAACGTGGCAGCCACAATGCAGGCTGATTATCTTAATTCTGGAGGCCAGAGGCCCAGTGGTCTCCTGAACTAAAACCAAGGCTGTGTCTCCTACCCATTCAAGTACAGGCAGAACTCAGCTCCCCGTGGTCGGGGGCTCTGCTGCCTGTAAAGCGACGGCCGACCCATGGCAGAGAGCCAGGCCCTCAGCTCCAGCACCTGACCATCTCCTCTGCGGCCCTTGTTCACGTCTGAGGACCCCTGAGATTAGGTTACACCACAGGATAATCCAGGACCAGCCCCCTCAAGAGTCTCTCTGCCATGTACAGTGGCACGTCACAGGTTCCCAGGATCAGGGCACGGACGTCTCCAGGGGCCATTATTCTGTACACCCACAGAGGGTGTTTAAAATTCAGATTCCAGGCCTAGCTCTGGAAACTGGGACTCACATTTTTAACTCATCCTGGGTAACCAGAAGAGAAGTACTCCTTTGGAAGAAGTGACACAGAACGCCAGGCATCCACCATCCCACTCCCTTCTTATCCAACGGTCCTCTGAGACAAGCCTGAACCTGCACCTGCTGGTAAAATGAATGCAGGTGGGGAGCTTACGATGCCGCTTCTAGGGGTATCCCAGTGTTCCAACACACACTCACATTAAACCCCACGCTGGCTGCTCTGCCTGGACACTCACAACCTGCCGTCTCTGGGACCTCACATCAAGCCACTGCCCACTGCCAACAAGGTCACAAGGTCTGGCCTCATGTCCAGAGCCCGAGGACAGCAGAAACACCCAGCAACGCACTGGGCATCTTAGGCACAAATGTCCAGAGCCCGAGGACAGCAGAAACTCCCAGCAACGCACTGGGCATCTTAGGCACAAACCGTTCTCTCGGCCAGCCGGCCCTCCCACAGTGAGAACATTCTTGTTCCAAGTTAAATACTGAGGTTCAAAGGGGCAGGGAACATGCCATGAGGAGCTCAGGTCCAGAGAAGGAGCAAAGCCTTGCGGGGAGCAAGACCGAGTCACCTAAGCAGAAATGTAAAACCGCAGCTCCTCATGCGGGGAATCCGGCTGGTTCTTAAAAGCCTGCTTTCTAGGCAAGATCTGTGGTATCCTCAGTACCATCTCTGGTGTAATTTCAAACCCAAAACACAATAGAAGGGAACAGAGCAGAGACTCAGAGGAGAGGAGAATGGCGTGAATGGGGAGAAAGAACAGAACACCGCAGAAAAGACGCTGGAGCTCATCTCTGTGGCCCCAACGACACTAACTGGCCCAGGTCACACTGGCTGGAGGCTGGTCTGGTTTCTACAGAGGCTGAAAGCAGCACACAGTCACCTCAGTCTAGAAACAGAAGCAGACAAAAAGGCAGAGGTGGGAATCCTCTCCAACAGGACGAAGTAGCGGTCAGGAATAGAAACACAGGGACACAGCTCCCCGGCAAGAGCTCAAATCCACAGAAGCCCCAAACTTAACAAACTCTGGGAAGATACTCTTCTCCAAGTGATAGCTGAGATCACTCTCTCTCTCAAAGCCAAAGTGAGTGCTGTCTTAGATTTAGTAATTAGAAGAAAAACAAAAGGAAGGATTTAACCCTCCTGCACACAAGAAGCCCGCCAGCCTGCATGTTCAAACAGAGTTCAGACTGGAACAAACTGTGCAATAGGCAAAAACTGGAAGAAGTATTTTCTATTTTCTAAGCTGCCAAAGGTTAAGGAGCCATGTGTGCTAAGCATGTGATTGGTCCTGCCCAGCTGTCAACACTGCAGTGTGCTCCGCATAAAGGGGCTGCCTGACCCTGCGGGGGGACTCTGGGTCTGTTTAACAAGGTCTGTGAGGAAGACCCTGGCTAAGGTACCCCTGAGTCACAGCAGAACTGAAAGGGTGTGTTTTGTGTACAGGCCACGCACACAGACGAAACGCCTGACCTGGTACCGTCTGACCTGATGGGCCAGGCACAGATGAGCACTTCTTGTTCTGACACAGAAAGCGTCTGGGATGGCGCTCACAGCCAAGAGGAACCGTGAAGATGTGTTGAGGCCTCACCCAACTTCCAGTGAAGAAACTATTATCTTGAATTGCTTCAAGTCATAAACCGTTTAACTGAAGTCATTTAACATACTGAAAACACTATCAGCTGGAGATAACAGCACCACTTGGTGAAATGAAAGCTGCTTGGATCAGGACAGATTAGAGTGGCTTTTGTTTCACCAGAGTCACCTACGCCCTGATTCCCTGCGACTTTATTCCGAAGCGCCGGCCACCAACCTGTAAAGGAGCGGCGCCTGGCGTTGAGCTCGTTGGCCACACGGACCTCGGTGCACAGCTTCAGCATCAGCAGCATGGTCAGGATCATGATGGCGCTCTGCCACAGCAGCGGGGACTCAAAGCGCCTTCCAAACCTGCGGGAGAGACACTGTGTCAGGAGGGAGGTCCACCCATGCCACTTCTCCCAGTCCCGAACCTGCAGCGGGAGAGACCCGGGTCAGGAGGGAGGCCCACCCACGCCGCCCCTCCCAGTCCTGAACCTGCAGCCGGAGAGACCCTGTGTCAGGCCCACCCACATCGCCTCTCCCAGTCCCGAACCTGCAGCGGGAGACACCTGGGTCAGGAGGGAGGCCCACCCATGCCGCCTCTCCTGGTCCCAAACCTGCAGCAGGAAAGATCCTGTGTCAGGAGGGAGGCCCACCCATGCCGCCTCTCCTGGTCCCGAACTTGCAGCAGGAAAGATCCTGTGTCGGGAGGGAGGCCCGCCCATGCCGCCTCTCCCAATCCCGAACCTGCAGCGGGAGAGACCCGGGTCAGAAGGGAGGCCCACCCACGCCGCCTCACCCAGTCCTGAACCTGCAGCAGGAAAGACTGCCCACCCACTCCCCCTCTCCCAGGCCCCAAGCGGCATCCCGGGGAAGGAGCCCAGGAGTTGGCAAACACCACAGTGACCAGGCACCTGTTGCCCATCTCCCAGACTCCAGGTGGGGTAGGGCTCCGGGGAGGGGCCGTAAGACCCCCATACAGCCTGACTCAGAACCCTTCGGCACATTTGGCGCTCCCCAGAACCAGTGGCCCAGGCACTGGTACCCGGGTCTAGTGGCCCTGAGTCCCCTCCCACAGCTCAGCCCAGGTGCCCCAGGCCCTCCCTGCAGCCTCCGGGTTGCCACCAGGCAAAAAGCCCAGTTTCTAGCTCACAGCAGCCCTGCTTCCTGCCTGGGGAAGGCGGGGATAGTGTGCAGAGCAGCAGGTGGGCCAGATGCGAAATTTCCACATGCACACACACTCCCACAGAAGAGAAGACAGCCAAGGCTCTGCACCACCCCCGCCCCCACGCCTCCCTGGCCCCGAGCTCCTCTAGCTGCAGGCTCCCAGGCCTTCTTGCTGACTTTTGACCAGGGTTGAGCATCTCTTCAGCTCAGCTAGGAGCCTCTGCAGGGCAGAACCACAGGCCAATGACTGGCAGTCTCTGCCTCCCTGCGGTCTCTGCCTCCCCAGAGCCACCACAGAGCTGGGACACATGCCTGCAGAGCCACCACCTCCAAGGCTGGGCTGTGTGTGGCACGCACTCATAGAAAGCCCCAACCCCTGACTGTTCCAGCGCGGGAATCTCAATCAGCCTGCAGTTTGGCCTGAAGGGAATTTTCAAAACTTGAACTGGTCACCAACATGTCAAAGTCAGGAGATCCTACATAACAGCCTCATTTCCCAACTTCTGAAAAACTGGAAGACCTAGCAACAACCACCACAGCCCCCACCTCTCTCCAGCTCCCATGCAGCATCCCCTTAACACGAAGCAGAAGAAGGGGGAACCCCGCAGCCCCCTCAGCAACCCCTTATCGACTCAGAGCAGAAGCAGGGGGAACCCCACAGCCCCCTCAGCACCCCCTTATCAACACAGAGCAGAAGCAGGGGGAACCCCACAGCCCCCTCAGCACCCCCTTATCAACAGAACAGGAACAGGGGGAACCCCATAGCCCCCTCAGCACTGCCTTATCAACTCAGAGCAGGAACAAGGGGAACCCTATAGCCCCCTCAGCAGGTGAGCCAGCCCAGCAGGTAAGAAGGTTCCACTTGCAGGTGAGGCTCCCACAGCAACCAGGAAAAAGCCACAGACGTTCTCCTGGGAGGACAGGGAGCCAGGATGCAGTCCTCAGAGGGTGGCCATGCTGATTCCCTCTGTGCTGGCTTCAGAGACCAAGGCCCTTCCCTGTCTCCTGGGAGCTTTTCAGCAGAGGGAGCAGCTGCCTGAGGTCACAGAGACTCAGGGAGCAGAGGGAAGGGCAGAGAAAACAGTAGCCTGGGCCTGGGGCAGACAGGGGGCCAGACAGGCAAGCAGACAAGCTGCATCTCACCCAGGTCAGCAGCCATGGCCCAGGGTGGACAGGGGCCAGGCAGGCAGGCACACAAGCTGTACCTCCAGGAATATCACCCAGGTCAGCAGGGGCCACCACCGTCCCCTTGCCTCACTGGATGCTTCCCGAGGAAGCCTCTGAGAAACACACAAGGCAAGACTAAGAGGCAAACAGAAGAAGGGAGGGTGATGGGCCCGGGGATAGAGGACGGCCAGCAGCAAAGAGGCAGCTTGAACAGGGTTTTCTGGGCCTGAGGCACAGGCCGGAGGTGCAGGGACACTGCAGGAGCAGGAGTGCAGGGGGCACGGGCACTCTGCCCACAGGCTGGCTCCAGCCCCCACACCGGCCCCCTCCAGGCCTCAGCCTCTGCACTATAAAGCACGATCGCAACCCCCAAGGCTGGAGGATACAGCCAAGCTCACAGTCACTTCCAGGGCCGTTCTCCACTGGCTACCAAGCGGCCTGGGTGCCGGTCAACCCACCCACAGAGACCTGAGGCTGAGGAGGTGACGCTGGGCAAGCATCTAAAATAGGCCAGTCCCCTGGGACACACGGAGGCCACTTCACACCACGTTCACCTCCAGCAATGAGGCTGCACGTGAGCCATTTTGGCCACTCTGTGTGAAAGGCCACCTGCATTTTTTTAAATGTTTAACAGAAGCAATGAATGACGAGACGGAGGAGGAGGCGGGTGAATCAAGGTTTGAGCTTCCCCATAATCCACACATCAAAAATCAAATCTAGAGAAACTCGATATGCACAGTAAAGAATGAGGCCTTTTAAAATGAAGTGACAGGGTGCCCGGGGAGATAGTAAACTAATTTTAGGGTGAAGACAAAGAAAAACACAAAATTTCAAAAAGCACAGTGTTCCACAAAAGATGCACAAGGAACAAAATGAAAACGAAACAGAATCCAGCAGCATTAGTAATTTTAAAAGCTAATTAAAATAGATGCCACATTTACTTCTCAACTTAACTTTTTCTTCCTTTAGTGATAACAGTCTGTGCTGGCCATGAACTTAGGAGAGCACTTTTCCTCTCCTGCCGGAGGGCGTGACTCCCATGCCTCTTCTCACGGCAGGTGCCAGGCAGCCCACCTGTGTGGTGCAGGAGCCTGCTCCTCGGGAAGCACCAAGATACCTCGTCTAAGGTGGACTCTGCAGGTGATCATGCCCAGGTGCCCATCCACAGGGAGAGACAGTATAGAGGGTGCCCCATAACTGACCAGGCCCACAGAAAAACTTCTCCATGTTCCAAAATCTCACAGAAAAACTCAAGCAGGGCTGGGCACAGTGGCTCACACCTGTAATCCCAGCACTTTGGGAGGCCAAGGCAGGTGGATCACGAGGTCAGGAGTTCAAGACCAGCCTGGCCAATATGGTGAAACCCCGTCTCTACTAAAAATACAAAAATTAGCTGGGCGTGGCAGTGGGCGCCTGTAATCCCAGCTATTTGGAAGGCTGAGGCAGGGAACTGCTTGAACCCGGGAGGCGGTGGGTGCAGTGAGCCGAGATTGTGCCACTACACTCCAGCCTGGGCAAGAGCGAGACTCTTGTCTAAAAGAAAAAAAAAATCCAGCAGAAGAGAAGCTTTGTAGCTTTGTATCTACTCTTAGGCACCACTAAAGCTATCACCTTTAGTAACAAAATGTTATGACCTCTCTGATACAATGTTTTCATTCCTCCATCTAAGAGTGCTCCAGCCTGGGTGCTACTGTGGGTGGAGCTGAGGCTCCCAGGGCCCTGCAGCCCAGTGTGGCCTGATCCCCGCCTGGCCTCTCCGCTTTTCCTCCACATACTCACAGCTGGCAAACACCAGCTATGAGGCATCATTTAGCCCTTCTCCTGGCTTCTGGCACCAACCTGCCAAATCCTGAATGTTGGCATTCCACAGAGTGTGATCTGCTGAATGCTGGTTTTGCAAAATGGTAGTAAGGACTGTAAGAAACAAAAACATGAGTGACCTATGTTTCAGAATCCCTGGGTTTGTACTGTTAAAGCAGCCCCTGCAGGACTGCAGAGCCCCATATGCCATGCACCCCAAATCCCCAACGGGGAGCTGCCCAGAGGGACTGGAGCTCTGAGGACCATGCCCCAACAGCTTTGGAGGCGTGAAGATTCGAACTCCACCTCTGCTCTCCCCGTCTCCCGCCCCTTCTCACCAGAGCCCAGCCCAGCCCCACCTCTGCTCTCTGCCCCCACCCCAGCCCCTTCTCACCGGAGCCTGCCCCCGCCCCACCTCTGCTCTCCTGCTCCCACCACCCCCAACCCAAACACCGAGTGTGCCTGCGCATGCGTGGAGCTGGGGTTGTGTGTGATGCATCCCGCGTGTCACTTCTGCTAAAGCACAAATCCTCTGCCCTACAAACCATGAAATCAAAGAGGCTGTGAACCTACAAAGCCTGGAGAGGGGAAGCCAGGAGTGGGGGGTCACAAGAGGCTCCCAAGAGAGAAACAGAAGGGGTCATCATCCCCCTCTGCACAGCAGGACCTGGGGACCGGGTGGGCACAAGAGGATGTGTGGTAGGTAGGGAGGTGGGCTTCGCTGTGTGGAGTGCAGGGATGGCGCATCCTCAGGCTGGAGGGACGCCCAGCAGGAACGAGCGCCCTCTGCTCTCCCCGCTTTCATCCCACCATCTTCTGGAACACACTGGGGCCCTGCGTGTGCACTCAGTGGTCACAGAAGCCATGCATGACCAGGACAGCCCAGGATGTTGATTCTATGAAGAGACCCATGGACAAAGTTCAGAATTCCCTGGAAGGCTGCCCTGTGCTCCACAAAGAAAGAGCTCAAGTGTCTCTCCAAGGCCTGTAAGCAAGAACTCCCAGTTCCAGCTTCAAACCTCTACGTCAGTGCCAGTTAGGTCATGAGGCAATGACAAGATGGCACCAGGAAACTGGGTTAATCTCTGACTTCTCCAAACCGATACTTAGATGGACATTAGATAGATTCTTTTCTTTCTTTTTTTGAGACAGGGTCTCTCTCTGTTGGCCAGACTGGAGGACAGCTCACTGCAGCCTCGAATTCCTGGGCTTAAGTGATCCTCCTTTCACAGCCTCGCAAGTAGCTAGGACTACAGGTAATGCCCCCACACCTAAGCTAATGTTTCAATTTTTTGTAGAGACGGTGTCTTGCTGTGTTGCGTTGGTTGGTCTTGAACTCCTGGCCTCAAGTGATCCTCCCACCCCGGCCTCCAAAAGTGCTGGAATTACAGGAGCGGGCCACCGTGCCCAACCTAATTTATTTTCTTTTAGCAACTTTGAACTATGAGCATACTGGGGAGGGAAACCTCTAAGCGGAACTTCTTTCCCGTATGGTTATCCACTCTCAGGCAATTTTCCTCCATTATTTTGGAGAGAATTTATTCTATAACCCTGAAGACGAGTGCAGCGCTCCTTCACAACACACACGTGAGCTGGGGCTGTAGCAGGTGGCCTGCCGACCAGCGTCTCCCCAACCCCCACAACATGCACTCAAAGTAAACAACAGCATTAGACAATTAGAAACCTACTTCCAGTCAACCTTACGCTCACTGAGGCCACTGCAGCACCGCCAGCCACGTCTCCAAAGCAGGCGATGGGAAAGAAAGAAGGAGTCTCCAAAATGAGCACCCCTGAACCTCCCTCAGATGCAGCCTGGCCCAGAGACAAACCTCGAGACGGGACTCGGACCCAAAATCCTCCTCCGAGGTCGTTGCAGGGGACAAACCTCCCTGCCTCAGAGACAACTCTGGGGAAGAGGCAGCCAACCCACTCGCTCACCTAAAAATCCCTGGCAGGGGCAAAACTAACACCCAGGGACACATGGACCAATGGCTGCCCATGGCCAGGGCTGGGATGAAGGCCACGGAGCAGGGAGCACCCCGGCTCATGAACACGGGACACCTCAGCATCAGAACTCATCAAATGGACACGAAAGGGGTGTATTTCATGGAATGCAAATCACACCTCAATAAGGTTGACTTAAAAACTAACAGGCGGGCCAGGCGCGGTGGCTCACGCCTGTAATCCCAACACTTTGGGAGGTCAAGGTGGGTGGATCATGAGGTCAAGGGATCGAGACCATCCTGGTCAACATGGTGAAACCTGGTCTCTACTAAAAATACAAAAATTACCTGGGTATGGTGGCAGGCACCTGTAGTCCCAGCTACTCAGGAGGCTGAGGCAGGAGAATCACTTGAACCCAGGAGTCAGAGGCTGCAGTGAGCCGAGATTGTACCACTGCACTCCAGCCTGGCGACAGAGCAAGACTCTGTCTCAAAAAAAAACAAAACAAAACTAACAGGCAAAGAAGCAGGTACGTGATTACTCAGTGACCAGAGTCAGAAGCAGAGTTCTTGACACCAGCTGCCTGGACTCCTTCTCTCCACCCCTCCACCAGGCCCTCTTCATAGGAAGAGCAGCAGACACCTTCCAATCTGCCCGGACAGAGAGGCTGGGATCACCCAGAAGAAAGAAAAATTTCAGACGTTTTTGGCCTTAGAATGCAGCTGTGAGACCTCATTTCCTCTGAAAACTCACCCTCCCAATTATGTCTGCCTTCAACAACTGTTAAAATTAATTTCAATTTCCTTAGCCTAATACAAATACAAAGAGGAAGTTGGGGAGAGGAACAAGACAGTCTCCAGAGAGAGTGACTTCCTATTTAAATAAGGCAGGCCAGGCGCCGTGGCTCAGCTTGTAATCCCAGCCCTTTCAGAGGCCCAGTGGGGAGGGATGCTTGAGGCCAGGAGTTCGAGACCAGCCTGGGCAACAAAGTGAGACAACCCCCCACTCCCCTGTCTCTACAAAAAATACAAAAAAAACAATTAGCCGGGTGTGGTGGTGCGCCTGTGGTCCCAGCTACTCGGGAGGCTGAGATGGGAGGATCACCTGAGCCCAGGAACGTGGAGACTGCGGTGAGCTGTCATGTCATCATGCACTTCAGCCTGGACCACAGAGCAAGACCCTCTCTCAAAACAACAAAGAAAAACTATACAACATGAAAAAGGAGGGCAGGAACGGCTCCTCTCCACAGGCAGGCCTAGGCCAGTGCCCAGCTGAGAGGTCCCTGCTAAGTACCCATGTGGAACATCATGCAAGGAGGCGGATCTGGAGATTTTCTCTGAGATTCTGTGCTCCAACCCCACCGTTTTTCTGGAAAAATAATCTCACCCTAAGAAGTGACTTGCCTGCAGCCACGTACCCCATCCACGGCAGAGTGGGACGCTGGCCCAGCAGGGAGGTGTGGACCCTGCTGCTCCCCCGGCCTCAACCAGAAACCCCAAAGGAGAAACCCTCTTCTCCGGGTGCAGCCCAGGAAAGCAAGCCCCCAACTTACCAGAAGAGTATCCGCAAAATGTTGGCCACCAGCAGCACCAGGCACACGTAGGTGGAGAAGCCGTCGGCGTTCTGCGTCCTGCGAATGTCCCGATACTGCGGGACGTAGGGCACCACCCCTCCGAAGACCATGGCCGCGGCCGCGCCCCAGGACACCAGCTGGTGCAGTGGCACCAGGAGCCAGTCCAGGCCCTCGGCCTCCATCGCAGCGCCCGCCTGGCCGAGGCTGTCACGGGCTCCGCGCCCCGCGGGCCACCGGCCGCCTGCTCATCGCCGCTCCGCGCGCTCCTGCGGCCTCGGGGCCTGCGGGGAGCGGGGAGCTGCTCGAGTTCCGCCCAGGGAGGCTGGGGCGGCGCGCACGGACCCGACCCGACCCGCGCCAGCCGCAGGACCCGAGGCAGAGCGGGGGCGACCGGGGCCCGGGGCGCGCGAGGAGCGGCCCCTGCCTGGGACGGGGGGGTGTCTGGGGGTCCCGAGACGCTCCCGGAGGGGGCTGGGGAGGGGTCCCAGCGCCGGGGTCGAGGACGGGCGAAGCCCCTGGGGTCACCGCCCGGGTGCGCTTAGCCGGCGGGGGTCCACGCGCGCCCCGGGATGGGGTGGGGGAGGGGGCGCAGGGCCCAGGATCGGGGCGCACTGTTCGGGGGAGGGTCACAGGGCCTAGCATGGGGGCGCACGGCTCGGGGGAAGGGGGCGCAGGCCCAGGATGGGGGCGCACGGCTCGCGGGAGGAGGTGCCGGGCCGGGGACCCCACAGGACCAAGCCAGGGGACTGAAGGCCGCGACCAACTGCCCCGGCCCTGCGTCCTCGGCCGCCCTAGGCCGCCCCCCGAGGACCCCGCGCCGCCCCCGCGCTCCTTACCTGCGCCCCCAGCCCCGCGCCCAGCGCCCCGCGTCCCCGCGCCGCTGACCCGCGCGCGTCTCGGCGTCAGTCCGCTCAGGCGCCGGGAAACCCCGCCCCGTGACGTCACAATGCCGGGCCCCGCCCACGCCGGAGCTGCGCGGAGGCGCCGCGGTGTCCTAGAGCGCGCTGGGCAGGGCGGGCGCAGGCGGGGCCGGGAGCCGGGGCTGTCGGGGCGGTGGGGGCGCGTGGCTCCTCCCGCCCGGTCGGGAAATACCAGCCGGGCGGGGCCGGTCCCTCAGGCCTGGCGCCCACGTTAACCCGTCTCCAGCTGTCCCGGCGCGCGGCCATCCAAGCGGAGGGCGTCGTCCTGGAGGGCCGGGGGCGCGGGGTCCGGACGCCCCTCTCACGCGTGTCCTGAATGCGGGCCACCCGGGGACGAGTCTCGTCCAGCTCTGTCCTGACCCAGGAGACCCGGGGACCCGGCTCGGAGTTTGCAGCGCCCAGAGGCGGCCGGGGTCTCGGGAAACGGAGCGCCCCCCGCGGGTCTCCGCTCCGATGCAAGTGCCCCACGAGCAGATGCGCCGGGGCCGTCGCCGGGGGGCCGGCTGGACGCGCGGCCGTCACCGTGGCCATTGTCATTATCGTGGTTGCGGCCACGGTCGCTGTCGCTGCAGAAACGCGGGGCGGCCTCTCCCCATCCCCGTGTAGTTCTCCGGGCTGAACCGTTGGGCGCCTATTTGCAGAAAAGGCAGCTCCTGAGCCTCAAGACAGACTCGGGGGCCAGGCGTGCGTGAAGCCCGGGCCCTGCTGCCGGCCTCGCGTGCCAAGCCAACTCCGAGCCCCACACCCGCCCGCGGGGAGCTGCCCTCGCCCGGGACCCTCTTGGCCCGCGCGGGTGAGGACTGAGGGCGAGGGGCGCGTGGATGAGGGGCGCGCGGGTGAAGAGTGAGGGGAGCGCGGGTGAAGTGTGAGGGGAGCGCGGGTGAGGGGTGAGGGGCGCGCGGGTGAGGGGTGAGGGGAGCGCGGGTGAGGGGTGAGGGGTGAGGGGAGCGTGGGTGAGGGGTGAGGGGTGAGTGATGCGCGAGTGAAGGGTGAGGGGCGCCTGGGTGAGGGGTGAGGGGTGAGGGGCGCGCCGGTGAAGGGTGAGGGGAGCGTGGGTGAGGGGTGAAGGGTGCGCGAGTGATGGGCGGGTGTGTGTAGGGTGAGGGACGCGTGGGTGAGGGGCGCGGGGGTGTGAGGCGAGGGGTGCACGGGTAAGGGGCGAGCCGCGAGGTTGAGGGGTCCACGCTGAGGGTTGCTTCCCCGCCAGCCGCGGCCTCTTCTCCACGATCCCGGCCCCCTGCCCCCTGCCCCCTGCCCGACTGGTTTTATGGGGGATCATAAGGACAGTCACCACCTAACTAGGAGCAAATCCCCAACAATCGAGGAAACAGGGCGCTCCTGCCTTGCGCCCCCAGGCTGGCGTTGGAACTTCTTTAGAGCCAGCGCTGCGGAGCCCCAGCACCAGGAACGTAGAGGTGAGTAAAAGGCACAGCAGGAAGCCTGGGAGAGAAAAAGCAGCTGCCCCTGCTCAGCCGCGCCCTAGCCTGAGCCCAGCAGCCTTTGGGATCATCTGTCCTCTCTGCCCTGGAGGTTGGAGTAAGCTCCGGACCTCCTTGACCCTCACGGGAGCACTGGGGTCCCAGACGCTATCCTCGGTTATCTTAAATCCAGAGGCTGTGGAGGCATGGGGCAAATTGTGCCCGCAGCCTGGGGCCTAGAGCTGCATCTGTGCACGGGGCCTCCAGGAGCCCGGCTCAGTGGACGAAATCTGGCATGCTCGGACGTCACCCCACAGGCCTCACGCCTCAGAGGCACCCCGAAAGGTGAGTTGATGACTGCAGAGTGAGTTTGTACCTTTTCGAACACCACCTGCCGGGGGTCCGAGCCCCCACCCCCAGTCTACATCAGCCAATCACAGCTCATTGCAGGTGCTGCGCTTGTCACATAGCTTCCTGCAAACAAGAGAAGCCGACCAAGCCATGCACAGCTGGAAAATGGCCCTTATAAAGCCATCAAGTCCTAATCCAGGCAACCTGTAAATATTACCTCGTATGGGAAAACAATTTTTTTTTCTAATGTCATTAAGGATCTTGAGATAGAGAGATTGTCCTGGATTATCCAGGTGGGCCCTAAACACTGTGGCTCACGCCTATAATCCCAGCACTTTGGGAGCCTGAGGCAGGTAAATCTCTTGAGCCCAGGAGTTCGAGACCAGCCTGAGCAACATGGTGAGACCTCGTCTCTACAAAAGATAGAAAAATTATCTGGGCATGGTAGTGTGCACCTGTAGTCCCAGCTACTCCTGAGGTGGAAGGATTGCTTGAGGCCAGGAGGTTGAGGCAGCAGTGAGCCAGGATCGCACCACTGCACTCTAGCCTCGGTGACAAAGTGAGACCCTATCTCAAAAATAAATACATACAACAGAGACAGGGTCTCTGTGTTGGCCAGGCTGGTCTTGAACTCCTGGCCTCAAGCGATCCTCCTGCCTTGGCCTCTCAAAGTGCTGGGATGACAGGCATGAGCCAGCGTGCCCGGCCACATGCATCTTTGTAAGAGGGAGGCAGAAGGAAATTTGGTGCCACACAGAAGAGAGGGCCATGGGAAGATGGAGCAGAGATGAAGATGGGGCCTTGAAAATTGACGTGATGCAGTCCCAAGCCAAGTAACGCCGGAGCCACCAGAGGCCCCAGAAACAAGGAGCAGATTCTCCCCAGGAGCCATGCGAGGGAGCCTGGCCCTGCCAATGCCTTGATTTCAGCACATTAAAAGTGATTTTGGACTTTTGGCCTCCAGAGCTGTGAAGGAATAAACTTCTGCTGTTGTAAAAGCCACTTAGCTGTGGTCATTTGTTGCAGGAGCCAATGAGTGACTGACAAGATCAGAGCTGTGACACAGAGGAAGCAGAGCTGTGCCTCATGCTTTCCAGGCTCTGCTCATGAGAAACAGGTCACTGGGTTGGCCCGGTGCAGATTAAGGTGTCACGTAGGAGCATGAATACCTCAGGGAACCACTTAAGAATTTGCCTAACACATGGTGCTTATAAAAGGAAAAGCAAACAAAGCAACCTTGTTCTGAGAGCTGGGACATCAGAGGAAGATTGGAGCCACTGTTTCTCACTCAGCCTATTTCTTTTTATTTTATTTATTTATTTTATAGAGACGGGGAGCTCACTATGTTGGCCAGTTTGGTCTTTGAACTCCTGGCTTCAAAGGATCCTCTCACCTAGGCCTCCCAAAGTGCTGGGATTACAGGAGTGAGCCACCTTGCTGGTCGCGCACCCCATTTTTTAAGGAAACCTGTACGGAAGGTGGATTGGAAGTCTCACTTTAGGAGCCTGGCTCAGAAGTTCCGCAACTTCAACTGGTGTCATGTGACGTGCTTGGCAGTCACCACCCCCATCCTTACAGCAAAGAATAGCAGGGCAGCCTTTCATGGGCCCATCAGAGAACTAAGGCTGCCAGACAAACTGGCACCCTGCTCTGAAGAGACAGGCACATCCAGGGAGAGACAGCACCTGAGAGCTGCTCACCCAGAGCAGAAACTCCTGGATAAACTGGCTTTAGCAGAAAAATTAGACAACATGCAAGACCAGATAGGTGATATCAGCAGAAAGATGGAAACAATAATAAAAAAAAAATGCTAGAAGTCAAAAACACAATAGAAATAAAGAATGCTCATTAGTTGACTAGACAGAATGAAGGAAAGAATCAGTGAATATGAAGATAAGTCAACAGAAACTTCCCAAACTGAAATTCAAGGAGAAAAGGTGATGAAAAAAAAAAAAATCAACTGATCTAGTTTGAGTGTGTGTCCCCACCAAATCTCATGTTGAGTTATAATCACCAGTTTTGGAGGTGGGGCTTGGCAGGGGGTGTTTGGATCATGGGGGCGGGTTCCTCATGAATGGCTTGCACCATCGCTTCATCCCCTTGTGATGAGTAAGCTCTCACTCTGAGTTCATGTGAGATCTGTTTTTGTTTTTGTTTTTGTTTTGAGACGGAGTCTCGTTCTGTTGCCCAGACTGGAGTGCAGTGGCACAGCACAGTCTCAGCTTACTGCAACCTCCTGGGTTTAAGTGATTCTTGTGCCTCAGTCTCCCGAGTAGCTGGGATTACAGGCTTGTGCCACTATGCCTGGCTAATTTATTGTATTTTTAGTAGAGATGGGGTTTCACCATGTTGACCAGGCTGGTCTCAAACTCCTGACCTCTTGATCCACCCACCTCGGCCTCCCAAAGTGCTGCGATTATAGGCATGAGCCACCGCGCCCGCCTGAGATCTGTTTTTCTTTAAAGTGTCTGGCACCTACCCACACCCTCACTCTCTCTCTCTCTTGCTCCTGCTTTTACCGTGTGAAATGCCTGCTCCCACTTTGCCTTCCGCCATGAGTAAAAGTTCCCTGAGGCCCCCAAGAAGCTGAGCAGATGCTGGTGCCATGCTGGTATGGCCTGCAAGAACTGTGAGCCAATTAAATCTCTTCTCTTTATAAATTACTCTGTCTCAGGTATTTCTTTATAGCAATGCAAGAACAGCCTAATACACCAACAGAAAACACCATCCAAGAACAACATCAAAGGATATGATTGGTACAATGGGAGAATCGGAAGGAGGAAAGAGGAGAAGGGGCAGGAGAAATGGTGGAATGGCAAGAATGTCCCCAAATTAATGACAGACACCAAACCATAGATCCAGGAAACATACAGAACATCCATCAGGACAAATAACAAAAAACATAAAGCAAAACAAAACAAAAAACCACACCTAGGCTTGTCACATTCAAACTGAATAAACCTGCCTGACTGAACCCTCGTCCACCAGCCACAGCTACACCTCTGACAAGACAAGAGACAGATTTCAGTAACTCTCCTGGTAAGAGACCACTGACCATGGCTGGTCCCGGCTGGTTTACAAACTCTGTGCACCAAGTGCCTTTGAGTCTTAGAAAGACCTTTTGATGTATAGGGCCTAACTGTAATACATGTAAATGTTACATCTCTACCCCAAAGTGAACATGGGTCATGTGATACATACAGCAAGACCCCCTTCATGAATATTCATAGCTCCTCATGTAACCTATTAAGTATATTTAGCCAACCAAGTCAGCATAAAGCTCGTGCCCCATCCTCTCCTCCTCTGAAGGGCCTGTGTCTGGTCTTGTGGGATGTCTATCTTGCAAGTTATTTAAGAAATAGTCTCCTTTTCTAAATGCAGTGTTGTGTGATTTTTTAAGTTAACAAGAGGAATATGAATAAAAATGACCGTGGACTTCTTGTTAGAAATCATGCGGATAACAAAAGGGTAGAGTGAAATCTTTTTTTTTTTTTTTTTTTGAGACAGAGTCTCGCTCTGTTGTCCAGGCTGGAGTGCAGTGGCGCAATCTCGGCTCACTACAAGCTCCGCCTCCCGGGTTCACGCCATTCTCCTGTCTCAGCCTCCCGAGTAGCTGGGACTACAGGCACCCGCCACCACATCCGGCTAATTTTTTTGTATTTTTAGTAGAGACGGGGTTTCACAGTGTTAGCCAGGATGGTCTCGATCTCCTGACCTCGTGATCTGCCTGCCTCGGCCTCCCAAAGTGTTGGGATTACAGGCGTGAGCCACTGCGCCTGGCCGTGAAATCCTTAAAGTGTTGCAGTTGAAAAAAAAAAAATCTGCCCACCTAGAATTCCATATAGCAAAAGTATCCTTAAGGTGCAGGAAAAATAAAGACTTTTTCAGAAAAACAAAAACTGAGGGAATGTATTGCCGGTAGACCTGCCCTGTGAGAAATGTTAGAGAAGAGACAAGGAAGATGATACAGGTCAGAGGCTTAGATCTACATCAGGAAAGGAAAAGCATCAGAGGCAGAATAAATGAAGAGAATTAATGTCTCTTGTTTTTCTTTTTTTTCTTTCTTTTTTTTTTTTTTAAGACAGAGTTTTGCTCTTGTTGCCCAGGATGGAGTGCAATGGCGCAATCTCAGCTCACTGCAACCTCCACCTCCCAGGTTCAAGCAATTCTGCCTCAGCTTCCTGAGTAGCTTGGCTTACAAGGACATGCCACCATGCCCAGCTAATTTTTTTTTTTTTTTTTTTTTTTTGAGACAGAGTCTCGCTCTGTCACCCAGGCTGGAGTGCAGTGGTGCAATATCAGCTAACTGCAAGCTCCGCCTCCCGGGTTCACGCCATTCTCCTGCCTCAGCCTCTCAGGTGCTGGAACTACAGGCGCCCGCCACCGCGCCCGGCTAATTTTTTGTATTTTTAGTAGAGATGGGGTTTCACTGTGTTAGCCAGGATGGTCTCGATCTCCTGACCTCGTGACCTGCCCACCTTGGCCTCCCAAAGTGCTGGGATTACAGGCGTGAGCCACCGTGCCCGGCCTATAATTTTTTGTATTTTTAGTAGAGACCGGGTTTCGCCATGTTCGCCAGGCTGGTCTCGAACTCCTGTCCTCAGGTAATCAACCCATCTCAGTCTCGCAGAGTGCTGGGATTATACGCGTGAACCACCTCGTTATTCTTTTTTGTTTTTGAGGCGGAGTCTTGCTCTGTTGCCCAGGCTGGAGTGCAGTGGCGCGATCTCAGCTCACTGCAAGCTCCGCCTCCCGGGTTCAGGCCATTCTTCTGCCTCAGCCTTCCGAGTAGCTGGGACTACAGGCGCCCACCACCATGCCCAGCTAATCTTTTGTATTTTTATAGAGACGGGGTTTCACTGTGTTAGCCAGGATGGTCTTGATCTCCTGACCTCATGATCCGCCCGCCTCGGCCTACCAAAGTGCTGGGATTACAGGTGTGAGCCACCGCGCCCGGCCAACCTCGTTATTCTTAATTGATCTAAAGACAACTGTTAAAAGCCATAAAGTAACAATGTACTGGGTGATTACAGCTTGTGGACAAAATGTCACAAGGGACAGTGGGAGGAGCTGGGACTTTTCTGATGTAAAATACTTCCATTGTGCTGCCCTCCCTACCACGGGTCTAAAGCTATATTCCACAGCTTAAGCCACTTGGTCACACACTGAAACCCCTGGGCAGCTTTAAAACCACAAATGCTCAAGTGCCCGGGCCCACCCGCAGAGCACCGATAAAGGGGACTGTGCCAGTCAGGGTAGCCTTCTAAGCCTTCCCCAGAAGTTCTGATGTGCAGCCATATTTGAGAGCCACTGTTTTAAAATTCACACCTACAAAAGCTGCATGGTACAGGAGGTCCTCATTACCCACAATCATGACTTCTTGGAAAGACCACTTACTCAAACAGGACCAGAATTGCATAGTAAATAATTCATGGGATTAGAAAATAGTTGGTTGATATTGCATTAACAATGAAAATTAAACTTATGAAAATATTGCAATTATTTTAGAATAAGTAAAACAGAGCGGGCCAGGTGCGGTGGCTCACTCCTATAATCCCAAGACTTTGGGAGGCTCAGGTGGGTGGATCCCTTGAGCTCAGGAGTTCAAGACCAGCCTGGTCAACATAGTGAGACCCCCCATCTCTACTAAAAATACAAAAATTAGTGGGGTACATTGGTGTGCATCTGTAGTCCCAGCTACTCAGGGGTCTGAGGTGGGAGGATCACCTGAGCCCAGGAGGTCAAGGCTGCAGTGAGTCGTAATTCTGCCATTGCACTCCAGCCTGGGCAACAGAGCAAGACCCTGTCTCAAAAAAAGAAAGGAGCAACAGTCTCTACTCAGATCTGTATACCCAAATCTATACCCAAAAGAACTGCTTTTATATAATTTTTAAATAAAACTTTTCAAACACAAAAGAGCGTAACATAATGAAAGGCATGTATCCATCAACCAGCATCAATAATTATAAAATCGCTCTTTTAATGAGTATAAAATAAGAACTGAACTTAACGTTTAATTGGCAGCGTTTCTCCATTTCTGATAATAACAGTGCACCCTAAAATCAGCAGCGTCTTAGATTTAGGGCCTCAGAAACAAGGCCACCCACACTGGATCCGAGGGGCAACTGGGCACCTCCATGGACACCCATGCTTCATAAAGACAGCTGCACCCTACACTGGGTTGGACTGGGACGTTTTCAGCTATCCAAAATAAAACGTTGGTTTTCTAATTTAAAGCTTTGTTTCATGTCTACATTCTGCTCTTGTAGTCTGCATCTTCGCTCACGTAATTAGCTATTTCAGTCTTACCCAGACTGTTTTCTTCCCAATTGTCTGTCCTCACACCAGGGAAAGACTGGCTAATTTCTGTAACTTCAGAATACACATTAATATTCTTTAATATTTAGATTCCCATGGTCAATTATTCATCCTGGGCTAGTACTCGGCAGTTTCTCTTTTGTCAGTTCATGCGCCACCCAGGCAGCATATGCTGAGGAAGGCACAATTTCTACATTTATCCTAAGCCAAACATGAGCAGGAAAACTGAGAGCTATTCTAAACATAATTTTATCGGGTCAAAAAGAAACAACTGCTAGGCCGATCTGGCCGATGACTCCTCCAGTAGCTGTGAAATCGAGAATGCACATCATTTTCTTGCTGTGTTCCTAAGGTAGAGGAGACCACTTTGAAGACCCGCAGTCCATATTGGCATTGTAGAATTTGAGCAGAGGGCCATTTTGTTCTGTACTAAGAAAAATTCTTCTGCCTTGAGATGCTGCTAATCTGTAACCCTACCCCCAACCCTGTGCTCCCTGAAACACGTGCTGTGTCAACTCAGGGTTAAATGGATTAAGGGCTGTGCAGGATGTGCTTTGTTAAACAAATGCTTGAAGGCAGCTTGCTCGTTAAGAGTCATCACCACTCCCTAACCTCAAACCACTCCCTAATCTCAAGTACTCAGAGACACAAAACACTGCGGAAGGCTGCAGGGACCTCTGCCTGGGAAAGCCAGGTATTGTCCAAGGTTTCTCCCCATGTGATAGTCTGAAATATGGCCTCATGGGAAGGGAAAGACCTGACCGTCCCCCAGCCCGACACCCGTAAAGGGTCTTTGCTGAGAGGATTAGTAAAAGAGGAAAGAACGCCTCTTTGAGGTTGAGATAAGAGGAAGGCTTCTGTCTCCTGCTCGTCCCTGGGCAATGAAATGTCTCGGTGTAAAGCCAATTGTATATTCCATCTACTGAGATAGGGGAAAACCGCCTTAGGGATGGAGGTGGGACATGCTGGCAGCAATACTGCTCCTTAAGGCATTGAGATATTCGTGTATATGCACATCAAAAGCACAGCACTTTTTTCTTTACGTTGTTTATGATGCAGAGACATTTGTTCACGTTTTTACCTTCTGACCTTCTCTCCACTATTATCCTATTATCCTGCTGCCACGCCCGATAATGATCAATAAATACTAAGGGAACTCAGAGGCCGGTGCCAGTGTGGATCCGTATGCTGAACGCCGGTCCCCTGGGCCCCCTTTTTGTTTCTTTATACTTTGTGTCTCTTTCTTTTCCAAGTCTCTCGTTCCACCTAACAAGAAACATCCACAGGTGTGGAGGGGCAACCCACCCCTTCACTGTGTTGTCTCCATCAGATCCAGCTGAAGAGCTTTGCTCGAAAGCCAGTCCTTGGCCAGCATGGCCTCGTGCCTGTAAGTCCAGCGCTTTGGGGGGCCGAGGTGGGAGGATCACTTGAGCCCAGGAGTTTGAGACCAGCCCTGGCAACATATGGAGATCCCTGTCTCTAGAAAAATAATAAAAAATAGTAGCCGGGCATGGTGGCGTGCCTCTGTAGTCCCACCTACTCGGGAGGCTGAGGCAGGAGGATCCCTTGAGCCCAGTTCAAGGCTACAGTGAGCTATGATTGCACCACTGCACTCCAGCCTGGGTGACACAGCAAAACCCAATCCCAGAAAAAAGAAAGGCAGTCCTGTCATCTCCACAGACCACCCGGCCTATGTCGGTGAGGCCTGAGGCTGCTGTGTGCGGCGATGCTGGGTGGTCCTACTCGGGCTGCCCAAGAAGCCTGACCTGAAAAAGCAGCCAGGGCTGGAGGGACGGCCCAATATGAGCCTGGCCGATGCCGGCTGGAGAGGAGAGAGGCGTTCCCAGGTCAGAGGCAGGCTCGTCTCGTCTTCTGCAGGGCCAGTTCCAGGCTCGTGTGGGCCAGTGGGGCTCCCTGCTCGTTTAGCTGTCTGTGGTTAGGAACGCATAGCCCATGAGGACAGGGTGCCCAGCTTGAACCTGCACCCAGAGTCAGCCAGTCAACATCTGAAGATAACGGGTTCCACAGGGTGCCCACAAGCTCTCCAAAGTCCCAACGCCAGTCTGCCTTCACGGCTGTCCGAAGTGCTTTATCACTGGTGAGCTCAGTGCTGTCAAGAGCTCTGTGGCCCCTGCTCCGCCTGAGTAAGGGAGGAGCGGCAGCCAGGGAGCAGCCCCG